>NC_000008.11:140245390-140547467 GCF_000001405.40 Homo sapiens | reverse complement strand
GTGAGGCCCGGCCCCTTTACCTCCGCCTGCGGACCAGGGCACAGTGGGACGCTTGGCAGGGTGGGGTGCAGTATGCAGGGGGCAGGGGGGCAGGGTCCCTTCACCTGGGCCCAGCACCGTCCTGGCCACAGCAGAGCAAAGATGTCAGACATAGATCTGGCTGCTCACGCTCTGCTGGGGACCAGGGGCGTCTGCAGGAGTTTGAGCACTGTGGCCGGGTTTCCAGACAGAGAAATTTGTGCCTCGAATCCCAGTGGGCAAGGCAGAGCAGGGCATGCCTTGGATGGCCAGGAGATGGAGATGGGCTTCCCTGGCTCAGCAGCAGCAGCAGCTACCGTGTGGACCAGGGCCCTCTACCATGCTTCCCACACCAGGCTAGTCATGGATGCTGCGTCGTGCTGGGACTTTAGACTGAAAAGCTCCTCATGGGAGCACACTGTTGGCAGCTCCCAGGCCAGGACAGGATATGTGGCCAAGCGCTGGCCACCTGCCGGTCTCAGAGGCCCAGGGCTGACCGCCGGGGACGGGGGTTGGGGGTGATGGAGCTGCACCCTCCTCTGGCACCTCCTGACTGGCTGAGCATCCAGGTATTCCAGGGCAGGGCCAGGGTTTGCTTCTTCCCCTCCTCCAAAGCCACCAACCTGTGATGTAGGCAAGAAAGACGTCTCCACACAATGACAGGCATCTTTGCCAACCCTGGCAGTTGTCTTAACATTTGGACGACAACAACGGAGAATACGTAGAATCAGATTATTTGTGCGTTTGGGCAGGAGGGAACTGGAGGCCATAGGCAGCCCCTGTGGCGTGGATCTGTTGGAGCTCCCAGTCACAGTGGGGCTCAGCTGATAAAGCCATCCTAAGCCAGGCAGTGCGCTAAATCTGCATCACTGGCACGCCGTCACAGAGTTAAGAATCCTAAATCGAACTGCCTTAAGGCAGTGACCCTCTGTATTTGGAAAGTGGGCGGTGGTGAGCCCCTGCTGTGTGCACAGGCCTGTGCTTGGCCACCACAGTGTCCTCACACCTGAGCAGCTCTTGAACCCCAGCGGGGCTCGTTCCCGAGTGTCCTACTCAGCAGGACTGATTGGGGCCAGGAATTTCCACCCCTAGCAAGTGGACGGACACAGTGCCGATGCTGCCACATGGGGGACCAGGTTTTGAGAGCTACCGAGTTACACGCACCCAGAAACAGTCCGTTGAATTCATCAGGGAGCGGGATAATAACATGGGAAGAACCTGGATTCCGAGTGGAACGGCTGTGAGCGTGGGGTGCGGGCTCTGCAGTGAAACAGGTTCATGGGAATGAGCGAAGACCAATCCAGAGCTGGCTGGGAACTGAAAGTGCTGTTCCTCAGTCAACAGGTTCTGTATTTATTGAGTACCTACTGTGTGCAGGGAGTTTGGGCCATAAGTGGGCAGCACCGGGCCGGAAGTCCTGGTGGAGGCACCCAGGTCATGAGCCCATCGTACAGGCGGCAGGTGCACAGCAGAGCCATGAGAGGACCATGAGAGCAGACAAGAGACAGGCCCTCCCACGTGCTGCCTGGGGAATGCTGGGGAATGAAGGCTCCCTCTGGTGAGCTGGGGTGAGCTGGGGCCGTCGGAGGCACCCGACAGTGTGGCCACCTCTGGCTCCGTGAAGCCGAGAGGGGCTGGTGGCCTCGGCCACGCCAGGGCAGGGGCACAGAGTGGGAGCATCTAGACTTTGAGATGTTTTGAAGATAGAGCCCTGGGACTTGCTGGCAGGTGGGATTGGGCTGTGTGTGAAGGAAAAATCAAGGCCCTTGGCCTGGGCTGCAGGAGAGACCCCGTCATCATTAGACGGGGAGGCTGTTGGGAGGGTGAGCACTGGGCGTGGATGAACTGGCCCCCACAGCGTCTGCAGGTCATTTGAGTGCAGCTGATGAGTGGACGGTGGGAGCCAGGAGGCTGGCATCAGGGGAGACAGGATCCAGGAATCCTTAGCAGACAGGTGGTATTCCAAGCCCTGGGCCCTAGAGAAGGCTGGAGTTCAAGGCCTGGAGAGGGAGGAACCAGCAGCGGAGATGGGAGAGGCTGGGGCAGGGAGGCCGGCCGCAGGGCCCTAGGCACCAAGGGAAGTGTGTCCTGCAGCGGGCCAGACGCAGCGAGGCCTGAGGCTCGGCCATGGGTCTGGGTGATGCAGAGCTCATCGGTGACCTTGGGGAGAGGAGCCCTGTTGCTGTGGCCGTGAGAAGTCTGACTAGAAGGGGCCTGGGAGCCAGCGCAAGCAGTGATGGGTTCGGCTGAGTCGGAGCTCTGCCGCAAGGCAGGCGATGGGAGTGAGAGGATGTGGGCGGAGAGTGAGTCACAGGCATGCAGGGAAATGGATGCGGGGAGAGGGCAGCAGAGGCGAGGGCCTCATGTACCTGGTTTCCAACAGGCAGGGCTGGCAGAACGGCCACTTCTGATGCTTCCTGATGTTGCCTGCAGCAGCCGAGCAAGGCTGGGTGGGGTGTGCGGCGGTGCACTCTCAACCCGGGAGGAAGGTGCTGTCACCACCTCCGCCTTTCCCCGGAGAGCCCGAGGCCCACATGCCTGTCCTTGCCCCTGTGCGTGCTGCCTCCCAGGGAAGTCCCCACTGGGATATACTCAGGGTCTGAAAGTTCTCCATGGGGTGGTTTTGCTGCCAGGGGACGCGTGGTCATGTCTGGAGACATGTTGGGGTGTCAGGCTTGATGGAGTGCTACTGGCATCCAGTGAGTGGAGGCCTCTCAGCGTCTGCCCATGCTGGGGACAGCCCCCTACCCCAACAAAGAGCGAGCTGGCCCCAGGCATTGGTGGTGCTAAGGGTGGCGGTGAGAAACCCTGGCGTGGGTGTGGCTGCAGAGGGAGTAGAGGGTAGAAGGGTGAGCCCTCCTGGGCCTGGGCCTGAGCCCCAGCCTCAACAGCTGTCAGCTCCTGGCCCATCTGGTCTGGAGTACACTCCACCCAAGCCCCCCAACCCGTGGCTATTCTGAAGCAGATTTCAGACCTTGTGTCATTTAATCTGCAGGGTTTTTAGTATTCCGGTTAAAAGATAAGGATTCTTTTCAAAAGCATTACCATGATACACTGACCACCTCCAAAAGGTGATGGTGGCACCTACTAGCGTCAGAGGTCCAGGCGTGTCTCACCGTGGCCCCTGACGCCACTCCTCTCCGCAGGCCGCCGGTGTTCCAGCAGCCCGTCATCTTTCTGGGAGCAGACGTCACTCACCCCCCCGCCGGGGATGGGAAGAAGCCCTCCATTGCCGCCGTGAGTGTCAGCGCTTCCCCATGGGTCTTCCATTGACAACATGCAGGACGCTGTCGAAGTCCCACTGTCACAGCGTGGCCAGGGGTCCTTCCTGAAAGGCATGGGGTCTCACTAAGCTGCGGTAGGGACGGCCGGGGTCTTGTGGGAGAGAGGTGTCTGGAGGGGACACTAGAATGACACAAAATAAGTTCTAAGAAGCAGTCAGAGGTGGGGCATAGGGGCTCATGCCTATCCAGCCCTTTGGGAGGTCTGAAGGGCAAGGAGGCCCCCTTGCACATGGCCTGACTGGCGGGTGGTAGCCTAGGGTGTGATGACGCCTGTGCCCCCACAGCATGAGAACTCCGGCCTTGGACACAGCCCCGAACCCCAGACAGGCCCGTGCTGCTTCTGTTTTCTTGTTTCTCTTGCACAATGAGCTTAATGTTTCAGAACTTTCTTGGGTGTAAAATGAGGAAACAAATGTTGACCTCATGGGAGAATTAGGAAATGATGTCGTTAAGCCCCTGGCACGGTGCCTGGCACATAGTAGATGCTCAGAAAATGCTTACATTCCAGCCTGGGCAACATGGCGAACGCCCATCTCTACAAAAATAGCTGGGGGTGGTGGCGTGCGCCTGTAGTTCCTGCTACCTAGGAGGCTGAGGTGAGAGGATTGCCAGAGCACAGGAGGTCGAGGCTGCAGTGAGAAGAGATTGCGCCGCTGCACTCCAGCCTGGCCAACAAAGTGAGATTTTCTCTCAAAAAAGAAAAAGAAAATGCTACCATTATTATTTCATTAGTTGGGAGAGAATATGGAGCAAGAGAATCTATCTGGGACGCAAGGAAGCCATTCGAGCTGCCCCAGGTGGAAGAAAAGCAACATGATATGTGCTCTGGTGTTATTCAGGGCACACTTCCTTTAAGGAAATTCACATGCATCAACTAATTCTTGCCACTTGGCCCGATAATCACAACCCCACCACTCCCACGCATATACCGCTGCTCACTTTGCTGAGTCGTTTTTTTGTTGTTGTTGTTGTTTTGTGGGTTTTTTTTTGTTGTTTCTATTTTTGTTTTTTGTTTTGTTTTGTTTTGTTTTGTGAGACAGAGTAACTGTCACCCGGGCTGGATTGCAGTGGTGCGATCTCAGCTCACTGCAACCTTTGCCTCCCAGGTTCAAGCAATTCTCCCACCTCAGCCTCCCGAGTAGCTGGGATTACAGGCACCTGTCATCATGGCTGGCTAAATTTTGTATTTTATAGAGATGGGGTTTCACCGTGTTGGCCAGGCTGGTCTTGAACTCCTGACCTCAGGTGATCCACCTGCTTCAACCTCCCAAAGTGCTGGGATGACAGGCGTGAGCCACTGCACCTGGCCATGCTGAGCCATTTTCAGCCCTTTCCTCTGATGGGGAAGCACCGCATGGCTGTCACCGAGCCACAGCTGGGCACCAGTGTGCCCAGGAGGGAGCCAGGGCACAGAGGGGACCCCCCGAGGGTCCTGCAGCTGGGGAAAGCCCGCAGCACAGCGGGCTGGCGCCCTCCCCTGTCCCCACCTCACCTGGTCCCCGTTAGCTTTGTTTTTTTCTGTACAAATGTTATGAAGCATTCAACTATATCTTGGGCTTTTGGAGCCTTAGGCTGGTTTTTTTTTTTTTTTTCAAGTTTTCAGGAACAGAGAAATCTGTGTGTTTATCCCCTATCCCCACAATTCTCAATCAATAGGAACAGATTTCTGTTTATGTTAATGTATTTCTGTTTATACCAACTGGAAACATTACAGAGTTTATTTATTTTTCTCTTGGTTTAAGAGAAAAATTATAGCCCAAGGCAGGACAAAGGACGTGGAATAGTGGGAGAATTAACTGGGAAAGAACTTGTTCTGTAAGGATTTACGAAGAAGGAGGCAGATTGCCAAGAAGCAGTTCCTATTTTTCAGTGACATGAGAGGTTTTATTTCCATCAGTGTTTTTTCAAAATTTAAGGACCTTTCCTTCCGCAGCCAGAGGGTGGAGCGACACGTGGGGATCTACCCGGTTCCCTCCATGGGCTGGGCCACCTCATCCCTCACGCTCCCTTGGCCCCCGACAGAGAACCGCAGAGCCGTGCTAGGCTCTCTCTGTCTGCCCTCTTCATGGCTGGCACCTTCCGGTGGCTGCTTGCATGGCTGGTGTGCCTTCGGGGATGCTGTTGATGTGCTTGTAGTTTCTTTGGAAGAAATAGGGACACCCCCACCCATTGCCTTCTTTGGACTGATTAATTCAGCCACATCTGATCCCAAGCAGAGGATAGTTCTAATCTGTTTTTCTGTTTTTGTTTTTGTTTTTGTTTTTGAGATAGAGTCTCACTCTGTTGCCCAGGCTGGAGTGCGTGGTGTGATCTCGGCTCACTGTAACCTCCGCCTCCTGGGTTCAAGCAGTTTTCCTGCCTCAGCCTCCCGAGTAGCTAGGATTACAGGCACGCACCACCATGCCCAGCTCATTTTTATATTTTTAGTAGAGACAGGGTTTTACCATGTTGGCCAGGCTGGTCTCAAACTCCTGACCTCAGGTGATCCGCCCATCTCGGCCTCCAAAGTGCTGGGATTACAGGTGTGAGCCACTGCACCCGGCCTGTTTTGTTTTGTTTTGTTTTGTTTTGTTTAAACTATGTAACTTGGCAAACTTTTGTACTTCAGTACGTATTTACGAACACTATTGCCAGACACCAAAAGCCTAAAGGCTGAGTTCACACCCAGCCAGCCATTGTCACTTGACAGTGACATGAGTTCCAGGGTGGGGACACTTCTCGTCCCCATCTTCCCGAGAGTCCAGGCACATGCCCAGGAAAGGAAAGTTTTGGGAACCCCTGACCACACTCACTGCCTGTTCCTGCAGGTGGTGGGCAGCATGGACGCCCACCCCAATCGCTACTGCGCCACCGTGCGCGTGCAGCAGCACCGGCAGGAGATCATACAAGACCTGGCCGCCATGGTCCGCGAGCTCCTCATCCAGTTCTACAAGTCCACGCGCTTCAAGCCCACCCGCATCATCTTCTACCGCGACGGTGTCTCTGAAGGCCAGTTCCAGCAGGTGGGCGCCTCTTGGAACCTTCCCTCCCCTTCTCTGGGGTCTGTAATTCACCTGTTTGTGCAGCAGAACCACGCTCGATGAATGGCAAGAATGATGTGGCTCTCATTCGGCCCCAAGGCTGATCTGGTCACACCATGGAAGGGGGTCCAGGGGAGGAGATGGGACACGGGGCTGTCGAGACCCTAACACATGACACTGAGGCAGGACAGAGGGAGGGGAGGAGGGGCGGGTATGGGCCTGGGGACCAAGAGATGGGGGAGAGACGCTTGAGTTCCGCTGACTTGCAGAGCAGAGCTCCATCTGGGGGCTTCCCGAGGGCCTGGCTTTGCCTTGCAGGCTGTGGAGAGCTGTCGGGTGTCCCTGCGAGGCGGGGAGCTCATTGCGTCTGGGGACGCCTGTCTGCAGTGTGAGAGGTGTGGAGGCAGGGCCAGAAGGATGGATAGGTGGCAGCTCTGTTGAAGGTAGGGTCGCCAGGACGCGGCCACTGTCTGGATGTAGAGAGAGGGACGGCCACAATGGGTCACTGCTGAGTCTGGACAGGCAGGGAAGCCATCACAGAGGGGTGAGGGGAGTTTCGTTGCTGTCTTTGGTTGAGAGCACACGCAGCACCCCCAGATCAAGGTGACCTGTGGGCAGGAATGAGTCCATCTTGGCCTGGAACCCGGGCGATGGGTGCCCTGAATGTTTCTCCCGTTGGCTAGAGCCGATTCCTCCCCACCCCTCGCCATGCCACACGGTCGCTTCCTTGGGAGGTGTTAGCAAGAAAAGCAGAAGAAAGCGGCCCCAGGCATGTTGGGGGAGGAGCCCCACCCAGTGGGGTGGGAAGACATCCTCCGTGGCTGCCCCAGGAGCTTAGGAACTCCCCGGCCTTGATCAGGAGGCGGGATGGCACGCAGCCCAGCCTCCCCCATTTGCCTTCCCAGTCCAGAGCGGAAGCAGAGCTCGTTCCCGAGACCCATGGCCTCCTGGGAGGACAGAATGGATACACCTTGACCGGCCAGCACTTCTGGCTGGAGCCTGCCTGAGCTGCTTTGTTTTTTGTGTGTTTTTTGTTTTGTTTTTTTGTTTGTTTTTTTTGAGAAAGACTCTCGCTGTCTCCAGTCTGGAGTGCAGTGGCAGGATCTCGGCTCACTGCAACCTCCACCTCCCGGGTTCAAGCAGTTCTCCTGCCTCTGCCTCCGGAGTAGCTGGGATTACGACAGGTGCCCACCACCACGCCCAGTTAATTTTTGTATTTTTAGTAGAAATGGGGTTTCACCATGTTGGCCAGGATGATCTCGATCTCTTGATCTTGTGATCCGCCCAACTCGGCCTCCCAAAGTCCTGGGATTACAGGCATGAGCCACTGCGCCCAGCCCAAAGCCTGCCCTGAGCTTCTGCAGGAGCTTGGCCTCTGCATGTGCCTTCTCAGCGCAGAGCCCAGCCTGCATCCCTGGCGTTGGCTGCGCCCCTTGCACACACACAACCTCCTGGGCCCTCCAGGGGAAGTGTTCTTCCCATTCCTGAGTGCCAAGCCCCCGCTTCCTGCATCCAGTCCTCCCTGCAGAGAGGATGGTTTCTGCCCCCGTGTTTTCACCTCCCCGTGAACACACTCATTGTCTCTCAGAATCACCACGGCTGGGTGTTCTCAACCCAGAACCCGCACGTGGGACCGTTGCTCACATGCACTACCATCTTTAAGCACAACCTCCTCCCTCCCGTACCCCTAGGTTCTCCACCACGAGTTGCTGGCCATCCGTGAGGCCTGTATCAAGCTAGAAAAAGACTACCAGCCCGGGATCACCTTCATCGTGGTGCAGAAGAGGCACCACACCCGGCTCTTCTGCACTGACAAGAACGAGCGGGTGAGTTTCTGCATGACTCCAGGCAGGGGGCACGGTTCTCCCCTCAGCCCCACACCCCGAGCACACTCACAAGAGAACCTGCTGGCCACAGTGCCGCTGTCCCAGGCTCTAGGGTGACTCTGTCCTCTAAGGGGCTTCATGGGGACCCAGGTTTAGACACTAGAGAAGGCTGTCCTTGATTTGGTGAAGCTTTTTTGTTGTTGTTTTGGAGGGTTTTAAGATGGGGTCTGGCTCTGTCACCCAGGCTAGAGTGCAGTGGTGCGATCATAGCTTACTGCAGCCTCTATCTCCTGGGCTCAAGTGATCTTCCCACGTCAGCCTCCCTGGTAGCTAGGACTAAGGCATGCACCACCACACCTGGTTAATTTTTTTTTTATTTTTTGTAGAGACAGGGTCTCACTATTTTGTCCAAGCTGGTCTTAAACTCCTGGGCTTAAGCCATCCTCTTGCCTTGGCCTGCCAAAGTGCTGGCATTACAGGTGTGAACCACTGCGCCCCACCAAAAAGTCTTAATTTATAAATCCCACAGGCCTAGGCTAGGTCTAGGCACAAGATGTCACTTATCTAATAGATTACCAAAAGAGGTGGCTCTGAAAAAGTCCCAGTTAGAAACCACAGCATGGAGCTGTGCAGTCGTAAGAATTGGCAGAGTGGTGCAAACTCGGACCCTCCCGGCAGGTCCCTGTGGCAGGGCTGGAAGGTGGTGCTGAGGAGGGGAGGAGAGGTGGCGGCGTTGAAGCGCCATGGTACATCTCATAGGTGTTCCGGAAGGGGAATGAGGAGGAGCAGGAGTTGTAGATAGAAGAGCTGAGAATTCTCCACAGCTGACGAAAGGCAGGAGACCCAGGTTAAAAGTGTTTTCCGTATTCCTAGTAGGATAAGTAAAAAGAAACTCACACCTGTCCACGTTGTCCTACCTGCATAACATCAAGGTAGCTGCCTAAGGAAAGAGACCTGCCCAGAAAGGAGGCCTTGGACTGAACCAGGAGACCTTGACCTGGTCAAGGGAGGACCGGAAGGCAGAGGGTTATCATCTACTTGGCACCCAGGAAAGAATACTTCAGAGTGTTAGACTCCCTACAGGCACGGCTGTGCAAGGACACAGGGAAGGTTTACTGTGCAAATGGAAGGTGAAACAGAAGTTAAGCATCACAGTGAGGAAAAAGGATATTTTATCACAGTAAAAGGAATCATTCACCAGGCCAGGCACGGTGGCTCACGCCTGTAATCCTGGCACTTTGGGAGGCCGAGGCAGGTGGGTCACCTGAGGTCAGGAGACCGAGACCAGCCTGGCCAACATGGCGAAACCCCATCTCTACTAAAAATACATAAAATTACCCAGGCGTGGTGGCGGGCGCCTGTAGTCCCAGGTACTCGGGAGGCTGAGGCAAGAGAATTGCTTAAACCTGGGAGGCAGAGGTTGCAGTGAGCCAACATTTTGCTACTGCACTCCCGCCTGGGGGGCAGAGTGAGACTATCTCAAAAAAGAAAAACAATACCCAAAAATAAATAAGTAGAATGATTCACCAAAAAGATACAGCAACTAATGAGCTTGAATGTACCTAACACCAAATTATGTAAAGAAAAAAAAAGTAAAGCAAAAACTAACAGCATTTTAAGGAGAAATTGATGAACACGCCATCAAAGGTGGATATTTTTACACAGCTCTTATTATACTGTTTCCAGACAAAAATGAAAAACTAAGGAAAAAAAATTGGGGCCAGGCGTAGTGACTCACGCCTGTAATCCCACCACTTTGGGAGGCCAAGGTAGGTGGATCGTATTAGTCCAAGAGTTCAAGACTAGCCTGAGCAACAAAGTGAAACCCCATCTCGAAAAGAAATTTAAAAATTAGTTGTGTATGGTAGCATACGCCTATGGTCCCAGCTACTCAGGAGGCTGAGGCAGGAGACTTACTTGAGCTCAGGAGGCTGAGGCTGCAATGAGCTGTGATTGCACCACTGCACTCCGACCTGTCTTAAAAAAAAAAAAAGAAAAGAAACCCTGAAAATTGGAAGAGTGAAATGAACAAGCCAAGCCAGGTCTAATAGCTAGATAGAATCTTCCCTACAAATAGCTGAGTTCACACGGAAGGGTTATAAAAGTTCTACCAGGACAAAGGAAGTCTCGGGAGCTTTCCAAACTTCAGTCTCAAGCCATATTTTTTAAATCATTATACAATTAAATTTTAAATCAACAGTAGAAACGAAGTGGAAGAATGTTTTCAACTTTCAATTCACTGCTGAGTAGCTCATGCATTAAACATGTAACAAGAATAGAAATCACAAAGTACTCAGAAGCTAACACAATCGAGAATGTCCTGTCAAGCCTTATGCAATGCAGCTGAAACAGTGCCGTCTGTAGATTCAGATGAATTTGTTGTACAACAAGAAAGAGGGCCATAAAAGAAGCCTAAAGACATAGGAAGGATGGGAATAAGAGACCTCAGTCCCCAGGAGTCAAGGGAAGGCTGAGGCACTCATGGCCTTGGGTGTCTTCCCCTGTCCCCCTTCCTCCCCGCTGCAGCCCCCAGATCTCTGTTGCCAGGAGGCAGGAGGGCTCGGAAGTCAGCTTGCTCCTGGTGACACCTACACGCCACTTCTCCATCCTAGAATGGAAAATAATTGAGGTAGAAACTGAAGAAGAAATAAAGCAGATGAACAAAATCCAAACCTACTTTGAAAAGAGATATTAGGGCCGGATGCGCTGGCTCATGCCTGTAATCCCAGCACTTTGGGAGGCCGAGGCAGGCAGATCATGAGGTCAGGAGTTCAAGACCAGCCTGACCAACATAGTGAAACCCCGTCTCTACTAAAAATACAAAAATTAGCCGGCCGTGGTGGCACATGCCTGTAGTCCCAGCCACTCGGGAGGCCGAGGCAGGAGAATCGCTTGAACCTGGGAGGCAGAGGTTGCAGTGAGCCGAGACTGCGCCATTGTGCTCCAGCCTGGGTGGCAAAGCAAGACTCCATCTCAAAAAAAAAAAAAAAAAATTGCAAAGAAGGGAACACACTGGAGATTCTTTTTTGTATGTATATTTAAAATGTGTACAACTAGAAAACATTCATCAGGGACCTTGCTAAATGCTGGAGCAGGGCTTGTGGGGTGGGGGTTTGCTGCTGGCGTGGCCATGCCTGCATCTTGGCTGACTTTTTGGTCCATGCTTGTGACCTTGTAATTAAACCATTGAATGGTTATATGTACCGCCCCTGGCCTCTGGGACAGTCTCTGATGGAGCCGCCCTGCTCTCTCAGGTGCTGGGCGCAAGCTACCGGCAAAGCACAGGCACTCCTGACAGCGTTCAGAGCCTCCCAGCGCCTCTGCCTGGAGCGCCGGTGTGCTTGTGCTTGGATGATGGCTTGTCCGCAGCCAGTCACCTGGTTTAGCTTTAGATGTGTACGTTGGTGACAGTTTCCATCTTGACCTCAAATCAAAATAGCACCAACAGTATCGAGGGACTCTTAAGGCATCAGAGGCACGTTCTGCAGTGAAAAGACTGCATTTAACTCATGGGCCTTCATGAGAGTTGGCGGAAAATAACCCCAGCCCACATGGAACATTAATTCATTTAACCTGGTGGTCAGCAGTTGTTAAATTTTATGTAACACTATCCTACCGAGGACCTGTATTAGCCAATTTAAAAACTTCAAAATAGGGCACCCTGGCCAGCGGGCGGCGCGGCTGCCTGGCCCGCCTGCTTGGCTCTGCCGGTCCCTGGCCGTGTCTAACGAGATGCCTGTGTTGCCGAAGGTTGGGAAAAGTGGAAACATTCCAGCAGGCACGACTGTGGACACGAAAATCACCCACCCCACCGAGTTCGACTTCTACCTGTGTAGTCACGCTGGCATCCAGGTAAGGCCGGGAGTCCCCTTCGGACAGAGTCTTGGCCGTCTGCCGTGTCATCCCCACATTCAGCAAACACTTGCACTCTGGCTGGCACGTGGGATGTGGTGTGAGGGGCCCACACAGGCAGTACCAGGGAACCGGGGAGCCCAGGCTGTGCCAGGCGCTGGGGTGGGGAGAGGGGCCTGGGGGGTGGGTCAGCATGAGCCTCCCAGAAAAAGGAAGTCCCATTTGGTAGGGCTGAGGAGCAGGGAGCACCAAGGGCCTTGGGGAGCCAGGGGTGTGGTGTGGCTGGAGCTTGGTGAGGTCTGAGCAGGATTGAGGCGCTGGGGCTGCCATGGGGTGGAAGCTGGAAGGCCACTGGGCAGCTGCTGCAGGGGCCGCATGGGGCAGACTTGGCGTCGATTCACGAGCACTTGGCGCAGTCAGCCTTGCCGTCCCCTCGCGCAATCACTGGCCAGGGCCAGGCTCCAGCCAAGGACTGGGTGCTCAGAGAAGGTGGCCATGGTGTTGGTTACCACCTTGAGGCTCTCCTGGGTTCCTTCATGAGGGGACCCCCATCTGACCCAAGGCGATTCTTGGGAGCACTGACAGGAGCAGGAGCACCACGTCCGTGGTAGGAGCTGCCCCTCCCCAGCTCTGCAGAGCCTCGCCCGGGGGACAGGAGGAACCTTAGTCACGTGCCGTCCCTGCCTGCAGAGAGCTTGATCAGAGGGGCTTTTGGTTTTTCAAAGTATAAGTAAGGACTTGAATATCCCTTCCTAAAGGATTTGAACCCTAGAGTTTGAGGATTTGCTATGAACTTTGTACGTACCTTTAATATTCCATTGGAAATATTTTAAAATGTCACATTGTTCACATGCCTGACAGAGAAGGAATGGGGGCTAGGGAACCGTGGCCTGTGGGCCGGGTCCAGCCTGCAGCCCGGGAGCTGAGAGTGGGTTTTGCTGTTTGAAGGGTTGTTGAGAAGCAGGCGATGGAGTGCGTGCAGGGTTTGTGGCACTTCCTGGTGCAAAGTGCCTGTCCCAGTGTTGGCTTGCTTTGCCAGGGCTGGTGAGATGGGCCTGGGGCCATGCCCTGCCTGCGTGTGCCCTCTGTTCAGTCTTCCCTTCTAGTCGGGGAGCCTCACCCACCAGGGCCTCCTGGGCATGTTTCCTGGGCAAACTCTTCTCCCTGAACTTTCTACCCAAAATCTTTCTAACGGGGGATGCTTCTCTGGTGAGCTATTTATGGCCCAAGGCTGCCACTGCTGCTGTGTCCTTAGCAGTCCCATGGAGACAGATGCCCTCACTCCCCTGGGCCCCTGTGACAGCCACCAGTCACACGCCAGGAAAGGGGTGCCGGAGCATGTGCGGTGGAGCATCAGGGACGAACGTTCCGCTGCCCACCAGCACCAGGGGCCTCGGCACAGGGCTAGACACAGAGCAGGTGGCAGGGACTGTGCTGGACAGGTTGTTGTCAGAAGGGCCTGCGAGGCTGGCAGGTGGAGCAGGCAGTGAGGCGGGCAGGCAGGCAGAGGTGGCAGAGAGGCCTGCAGTCAGCAGCTGGTGCTGCTTTCATTTCAAAGGATCTCCAACCGCAGGAGGTGTGTAAAATGGTACTCACGTTCACACTCTCACTTCTACAATGTTACTGCTAATGTGTAATTTTTTGTTGTTGTTTTTTTTTTTTAGACGGAGTCTCACTCTGTCGCCCAGGCTGGAGTGCAGTGGCGTGTACTCAGCTCACTGCAGCCTCTGCCTCCCGGGTTCCAGCGATTCTCATGCCTCAGCCTCCTGGGTAGCTGGGATTACAGGCGTACGCAACCACACATGGCTAATTTTTGTACTTTTAGTAGAGATGGTGTTTTGCCATGTTGGCCAGGCTGGTCTCAAACTCCTGACCTCAGGTGTTCTGCCCGCCTCGGCCTCCCAAAATGCTGGGATTACAGGCATGATCCACTGCACCTGGCCTAATGTGTAACTTTTATTAGAGGTCTTTTTCTTGCCATTATAAATCAATTATATAAAATGTAAGATACACAAATGGCACTGTCCTTGTTACGTCCACTTTCAATATTGCTTTATATCTTTTTTTTTTTTTTTTTTGGAGACGGAGTCTCACTCTGTCCCCTAGGCTGGAGTGCAGTGGCACAATCTCGGCTCACTGCAAGCTCTGCCTCCCAGGTTCATGCCATTCTCTGGCCTCAGCCTCCCAAGTAGCTGGGACTACAGATGCCCGCCACCACGCCTGGCTAATTTTTTGTATTTTTAGTAGAGACAGGGTTTCACCGTGTTAGCCAGGATGGTCTCGATCTCCTGACCTTGTGATCTGCCCGCCTCGGCCTCCCAAAGTGCTGGGATTACAGGTGTGAGCCACCGGGCCCAGCCTGCTTTATATCTTTGATATGATTTTTCTGTGTGTAAATAAATGTATACAGTTTTACAAATATGGGGCCATTTACTATATGTAGTTATGATGCTTTTTTTTTTTTTTTGAGACAGAGGAGTCTCTCTCTGTTGCCCAGGCTGGAGTGCAGTGGCGTGATCTCGGCTCACCGCAACCTCTACCTCACGGGTTCAAGTGATTCTCCTGCCTCAGTCTCCCAAGTAGCTGGGACTACAGGCGCATGCCACAATTGTCTAGCTAATTTTTTTGTATTTTTAGTAGAGATGGGGTTTCACTATGTTGGCCAGGCTGGACTCGAACTCCTGACCGCGTGATCTGCCCGCCTTGGCCTCCCAAAGTGCTGGGATTACAGGCGTGAGCCTCCGTGTCCAGACTATGATGCATTTTTAATAATACAAATATAAATCTTCTCCACAGTATCCTTTTAAAGATTTTATGCGAGTCCAACTGTCTAATCTTCTGATCTGCTTTAGGGGACAAGCAGGCCTTCGCACTATCACGTCCTCTGGGACGACAATCGTTTCTCCTCTGATGAGCTGCAGATCCTAACCTACCAGCTGTGTCACACCTACGTGCGCTGCACACGCTCCGTGTCCATCCCAGCGCCAGCATACTACGCTCACCTGGTGGCCTTCCGGGCCAGGTACCACCTGGTGGATAAGGAACATGACAGGTGAGTGGCATGCCTGGCTGGAGGTCACAGCAGGGGTGGTTTTTGCCACGGGTATTGGCAGCTGCTTTTCTGGAAGGGGAAGGGGCAGGGCCCCAGCGGCTGGAGCCGGCACCCCAGAAGGCCTGTTAATGGCACGGCCGTCAGCGTGGGACTCTTCCCTCTCCCAGGTTCCCGCCATGCCATCCCGACTTAGTGATCGACGCACTGCCTCATCGTGCATTAAGGCTGCACATTCTCATTCTCTCTCTCTCTCATCCCTGCAGTGCTGAAGGAAGCCATACCTCTGGGCAGAGTAACGGGCGAGACCACCAAGCACTGGCCAAGGCGGTCCAGGTTCACCAAGACACTCTGCGCACCATGTACTTTGCTTGACATGTTTTAGTGTTTAGCGATTGTGTACCGAGTGGGATTCACGAGACCAGCTACACTCAGACCAACAGATGGCCAGCCCTTCCGTGACAGCCAGCATCGAACATGAGACGTCATTGATTTTATTAGATTCTCCGTTTTCCAGAATGCCTTCCGTCCCAGATTTCAAACTTGGATTTTGAACTGCAGACCTGTATGAGAACCCAATGTCATAGGAAATATGGTTTGCTAAAATCTATAAGCTGCTTATTAAAACAGAGTCCCGTGTGTCCTAAAAATCTCCTAAAACCAGTCTATGAACTCAGGGCTTTAAAACATTTTTAATTTATTTGGTCATTCAATTTACTTGTTTTTAATACATGATTCTCTATGAAATTGATGGGCTCAAACTAGCTGTGAATCTTCTGAGAGTGAAAGCAACACAAAACACAAGTGTGGTTTTAAAGCCTTGAACATTCTGATGTTGTCACTAAAGTTGATTTCCAGGCGATGCTCGTGTGCCCCTGGCGTGGCTCACCCAAGTTCCTCGACTGAGGGCCGGTGGCCATGCAGAGGCGTCCGCAGGTGCCGTGTTCTGCCAGCACCGCCCTTCACCCGGCCTGAACTAAGGAGCAGTGGCAGAAGGTGGGCCCCGTGTGTTTACAGCATTTCCAGGTCCAGAGAGGTTGGCAGACAAGTGCCATTTTAATAAAAAATGTATTTAAAAAAAGAAAAAAGACAATATACTGACAGTCTAATCATCAGATTTGTCCTATAGGACTGTGACATTTATTTTCCAAAGTTTTTAAAGAATACGGGTCTGTGGTGATAAATACAGTACAATCCTTTTTCACTGTTATGTCTTTAATGTAAGAGAAGAATATATATATCTGGTTTGCAGTATTAATGTGATAGATAGATGCTGTTTTTTCATTTTATTGACTATGGGGTGCTTCTGTGATCTGTTTGGCATATCAAGAGTGTTTTGGAGCCTGGAGATGGGACCGCCTCTCAGTTCTTAGTGCTTAAGGACAGGAATATGCAATTGACTTAATGTGACAGCAACCCGCTTCCCCCGTGGAGACTGTGCAGCGTGTACCCATGGGAGGGACGGATGTGCCCTCCGCGCCGCTCGCCACCCTCCCTGCCGCCTCATCCCCGTGTGTCACTCACTCAGCTGATGAAGCACAAGTGGAAATTATTTATTCTTGCATTGCTGGGAAACATTGATGTGTGGGGACTCACTCCTCTCCGTGTGCTCTTTTGTCAGATGACTTCCATAGATCTATGCACTGAGATTCGTAGAAAGCTGTTGGTGGTGGCTCTGCTGGGCGTGAGGCCGTCGGTCACAGCGAAGGAGCTTGCCTGGCCCTGGGAGGCCCAAGGATAGCAGGGCCAGCAGAGGGCATGGGCCGTTCTTCTGGGGTTTGCATTTGGGGCCCCAGACTTGGGTTTGCCAATCTAGAAACTGTTGCACTAAGAGTGACACCACGGACGATTTTGAAGGCTAACAACAGACAACTCTGTTTGTGCTGAGTGGGCTTTTTGTCTCTGTACACAGTTTTAGTAAGACTCAAATCCATGTTCCGTGTAGAGGCGTCAGGAAGGAGGCGAGCCTCCCCTAGTGCTGCTGTGCGCTCCGTAGGTCCCCTCTTCCTGCTGCTGTTCCCTCCCCGGCCCTGCGCGACACTTACCTCGGCACTGTGGTGGGGTGGGGTGCCAAAGGAGCTGCCTCCTGCTCAGCGGCACCCCCCCCCCCACCTTTGTGCTCAGCTGCTTTGGAGGCAGCAGGAGGGGCAGCAAGCCGCAGGTCGGGGGTCTCCCGATACCTCGCCTGGATATTGGCGGCAATGACAAAGGGATGACTATTATTTGTGAAGATGTGTACTCAGAGTGGTGTGTGTGTGTGTGCATGCGTGTGTCCCTGTGTGTGAGTGTCTTATTAATGGCATTAGTCTCTTCTGGCTGTATTTTTTTTTAATCTTTTTAAATGACAGAAGCTCCCACTCTAAGAAATGGCAGTTCCTTTTGTTTTAGTGGCAAGTGGCACTTTCTCCTGTTTTCAGAAGGATACAGACATGCTCGTAGCTTAAATTAATGGATGCATTCAAGCTAAGGAGGGAATCTTGTGACTAATAACTTTTCAAATCTGAAATTAGATTAGTTTCCAGCCATTTTTACAATCATCTGGAACCATGTGTCTCAAAGGTGTGTTTCTTCCACCTGCGTCAGGCTGTCTGGGGGATGGCGGTTCTTGTTTAACATGCAGATTTGTGGGCCTGCTGCCACCTCCTGCGTGCGGTACTTCAGGGATGGCCAGGGCATCTGTGTCTAAGCGATGGCCTGCAGCCCTGGGCTCCCTGGGGTCTGAGGACCCAGCTCTGGTGGCACCCAGCAGGGAGGAGGTGCTTCCTGAGCAGATGCCTGAGACAGACTGGGCTGGCAGAAAAGTAGGACTACAATTTTTGTTTTTTTTAATCATTTTGAAGGAAAACTTTCATTTTTAGTGGGCCAGAGTACTTCGAAAAGGGTACTTTTTTATAGCCCTATGCTTGTTTTATAAAACTTTTAATACTAAAAACATTAATAGACCAAACATCTCCAGCTGGGTCAGCTGCACACCTTTGTACATGTCTGATGATTCAGAGTTTAAATGGCTGTAGTTACAATTTCTCAGGTAAACAATTGTTTTCTCAAATTTTTACCAATCCCTGCATTATTAGGATAAATTTTGAGACAGTGTAAAAACCTCAAAGTACAGTAGGGTAAGTCCCAGCCCTGTTCACGTGAAAGCCAGAGGTGGCCCTTCCCCGGCATCTGATCGTCTGATCATGTGGGTGCCTGGGGCCTTGCCACCCTTCCCTGTCCACTGCTGCCCCCCTGGGCCTGTCAAGATTTGAGGGGTGCCCACTCGCTGGCTTTGTCCCCATCCCACTGTTAAGTAAGGTGTGCCTTGCTTTAAGCAAACTGAATGTGAAAATTATGTGTAGAAGTCTGGGTTTGTTTAAAAGAAAAACTGGGATTTTATCTCATCTCTTTAAAAGAGGTCTCCCAATTCGATTTCTGTACTGGGACTCTTCCTGGTGTGTTTTTACATGTTCACTTTTTAAAAACATTGATGTACTCCCATCCTTTTACCACTACCCTATCACATTTGACAAGTTCTTGCTGTAATGACGACGCAATTAACGAACACCAGGGGAGCGGTGGAAAGCTGCCCTCGTGTGTGAGCCCTTCGGTGACGCAAAGCCACCGTCCTGTTGTTTTGTGTGTCCTAAGCTCAGATTTTCCTGGTTTGGATAAATTTTGTAAAACTGGGCATAGCTGTACTTTTAGAAAGGGATCGTTTTCCTTAAGTTTTGGTTTTCTCTGGTTCAAGCAGTCTTTACATGCAGCCTTTTGATTGCACATCAGGGTCTCCCTTTTCTTTTCCAGATGATGTTGCTTTTCGGTGGTGGTCTCACACTCCTTTGAATGAATGTTTGCACTCTAGAACCACAAACGATGCGTGACCATTGTACAGCTTGCCCAAGAGGGAACTGTTGGAAGCAGGCAGTGACCTCCACGCTGTTTGTTTGAGGCTGACCTAAACTGCTATCACTAATGTTTACCCCCGTGACGGAGTGCCCATTAGAACAGATCATGTCAGTTCAGTTCCTGTAGTGGGGTTAGTAGGTGGGGGGTTTTATTGTTGTTGTTATTTGTTACTTTTATTGCTGTTAAATGCAAATATTGCTATTTATTTTTTCCTTTCTGCTCTGGTTTGGTTTGGCCGACACAGATATTCCAGTGCATGTGGTACCTAATGGATATGATAGAAATTATTTCCCCAACTTTTATAAATTGCCTAATGTTTACCTTCAAGTTTGCTGGATGATTTATTTTTGAAAGCCACAAATGTGATTTTTCTGGATGAATTGTTTTTCTTATATATGCAGCAATGTAATTTTACATTGATCTGCGGGGTGGTTTAAATTTTATTTTTACAAGGCAGTTTTTCAGTCAAATTATATATTTGATACAATACGCTAGGATAGACCGGCCACACGTCAGGCAGCCGGGACACCGGAGTGTCCCCAGGAGGCCTTTGGGGCTGGGGTGGCCCGTGGCTTGTTCCCTGCGCCTCTGGGAACTGGATGAGTCCTTCGGCGGGACTGTGACCCGCTGGACAGTTAAAAGGATTTTTCATGGGCATTTTCCTACACATAAGGCAGTTCCATTAGGAGGAGCTTTAGAAGTCGACATAATCCAGACAGTGGACAATCCCAGTGGCCCAGACAAGCCATACGACATTTTCCTGTGACCTCTCTCTGACCCATCTCTCACGCTCATGAGAAAAGGAATGTACAATAAATAGAAACAGAAACTTCCTCAGTGCTCATGCGCCTCACTTGCAGAACGTGAGTATTTCATTTATGTTTGAAGCCCTTCCCCAAAGTGACCGAGGAGTTGCACTCTAGCTGCCGTGCCAGCAGTCTCGTCTGCTGTGACGCTTCTCGGTGCGGATGCAGTGCACCTGTGACTTTGTCATGGGGGTGCCCCTGTTACACACACACACGCTGACTCTTTTTTATGAGGAAAATCTTCGACTCAAAATAATTGCACTGATTTTTTGACAACTTCTTTTTACGATGTCCCACTTCGCATCTGCTGTACTTGTTTGAGATGATTGTAAATAGATTTGTGGTAGGAGAAGTGACATGAATGCAACACGTGGCTCTGTTGTGGAGACACTGCCTCGTATTCAGTATTATGTGTTAAAGTTGTGTGGACTTAACTCTGTTCCGCCCTTTAGCTTCGTGTCTGTTGACCATTTATGAAGGACAAGTTCGCCTCATTTTCTTTTTCTTCTGAAGGGAAGTTCTAGATCGGTTACTAGGAGAACATGGTCTCTTGGTGCCTGATGATTTAGTCCTAAGCAGACTCGTTGCAGTCTTGTGAACACTGTTGTGGTCTGTTTGATTCCTCGTCGCTTACCGTGGCTCTCCAAAGCATGGTCTTTGAGTTCCACCCAGCCTGGGACAGTCCAGACGGGAGGCATCTGCTCCGCCTGCTACTAGGACGCAAGGGCCTCCTTGCATCTCTGTGGTCAGAGTCATCTTAAAGCCATGAGGTTACTGTCGTGTCAAAGCTGTCATTTGTGCCCGTTATTTTGCTGGAGTAGCAGCGTGTGCTGTAGCCCCCGTGTGTCACTCTGTGGTCAGGCTACCCTGTGTCACACCCAGCAAGAAGTTTTTCAGCCCCAGACCAGTCTGTGTGTGTGTCCGAGTCACACCAGTGCCATTACGGTGCCCTCGCTTATGCTTCTTTCAGTATGTTTTGCCATGTTATTGTCTAAAGTGAATGTATTGGCTTAGCCAAATCACTACAGAAGGTGGTTCCTAAATACCTTTTAGTTTAAAAAAAAATGCAGATAAAGGCTACCTCTGAATTCTCAATAGATTCATCATGTTTGCTCTTAAGTGTAGCTGTCCACACTGAAAACAGCCAATATGTTGCCTGAATAAACTGAATTGTGAACATCTATCTGTTCAGTTCTGGCTTGAAAATGTGTGTGCCATACTGTGACCCACGGGCAGCCCCTCCTCCTCTACTGTGTCAGGTGGACCAGGGTCACCTCTGTTCTGCGCAGCTTTGAGATTCTAGGATTCTACGGCCGGCACGAATGGCATGGGAGGGTTCTCTGCACGGGACGGCATAACGGCATGCCATCCTTCAGGCTGGCAGGAGCCTGCGCAGGTGTGGCAAAATCTTGAAACAGCCTGTGTCCTGCCTGGCTTTTCACTTTCCTATTTAATATAAGAAAGCACTTTTTTTTCTGCTTTACCTACAAATGGGTTGAAAATGGCCTCCTCTGTCCTCTCCTCTCTTTTATACACTCTGTAAAATCACAAAGGTGCTTCAACACCGACTGTCATGCAAATAATACATTTAAAATAGTTGCATGGTTTCAAAGACAATGCAGACGTAATTGGCCTTTGACTTTGGGACCTCGGGTTACTCTCACTCCCTACTGCAAAACAAACTAAGGGTTGAAAGCAAAGCATTCTGTTCAAATCCAGGGCCCTTTGTTTGAAAAGAACACAGGGCCCACAGCTGGTGTTTTGAAGTAGAAGTTCCCACTAGTGGCGCAGTGGACCGTCTGATGCAGACTTGCAGGAAGTCGGTCCTGGGAGGCTCTGAACACCCCTCCCTGTGATTAACCACTTTGCTGTCAGAAATGTCATTTTCCCATACACTGTGCTGTGGGCCCGGGGCCTCCTTCGCTTCTTTCTTTGGGTTCCATATGTTGCCCGATCTTGAGGTTAGCGCTCGCCCCAATTTCTCCATGAGTTTACTCTGAGTTGACAGGCGATGATCTGACAGTTGGAGGTGTCTGGGTGTTTGGAGGTGGCCCCGTTCTCATGTTGGCTGCTCATCAGACATTGAGTTTGGCCCCGGCGGTTCTACTACGTCACTACCTGGAAGCAATTGCCTTTAACACTCTGCTGTTTGGGGTTTCGATGCTTTTTATGCTGCGTTGCGTGCTTTCATTCCGGAAGAGCTAAGTGTCCTTTGCAGTCTCTCTGAGAATGTTTTGTAATTCTGCCGCCACGCTGTTCTGTGCGGACCGACCTCAAGAGGCTTGGGCCCCCGTGGGTGTCCCACTGCCTGCCGGCCCAGGGTACAGGCTGCTTGGGTCCGCTGGGCTGGCCTTGGGCTGTCAGAATCTGGTCCAGGGTGTTTCGAGGGGACACTGCACAGCCGCTCGCCCCTCGACTCAGTCATGGGAGCTGCAGCACGCAGATCCACCGCAAGCTTCCTGCACGCGCATCTCCGGAATGCTGCGCTGGGCCCTCCCACCATCTTCGCGTTTGTGAGAATTTACTCAGAAGTGAGAGAACTGAAGATTCCTGGTGCTTTTGTTAACACGTTTCTATCTTATTGGTTGGTGTGGAAATGTTAGATGTGTTGTTAGGTTTTTAAATGCTGTGGGTGGTATGATTAAAGGGTTAAGTCCTCACCTCAGCCCCCAGCCCCCTTTTGGGGGGTAGGAAGAGGCTGAGTTATCTCCTATTTAAAACCTCCTTGGATTTAAGTAGTTCAGAGTTAAAGCTAAAACACCAAATATTAACTCTTTCCCCCAAGTGTCTCCAGGAACTGGACGTTGGGGCCATTCTTATTCAGTTCTTTCTGTAGCTCCAAGGTCCTTAAAATGAGTGAGTTGATCCCAAGAACACCCCACAGCACCAACCAGCAGGGCACAGTGCAAGCGACTTCATAGATCGGGGTGCTCGTGTAGGGGTCCGGGGCTCCTTTGAACTCTGGGAGTTGTGTGCGCAGTCTTGGGTGGGAGACGGCAGGTCCCTCTGTCCCAAGAAGCTGGTGGTGCCAAGGCCTTCCTCTGTCTCCATCAGTGCCAGCCTGATCGCGTTCTGGAAGACCCAGTCTCAGACTCTGTGCCTTTAAAGTCCGGTCCTCAGTGTCCTTTCAGAATCATGTTGGGGCTGCGTTTCTCTGGGGAACTAAGCCTGTGCCATTCCACAAGGCAGGCGTGGACCTCCAGCCTTGGAAGCTTTCTTTCCGCTCCTCAGCCCCTGACTTGTAAACTGTGATGCCATGCAGTCTGGAGCCGCGGGGGACGCACTCGGTCTCATTGCGGAAAACACTTGGTTCCAGTCGTGTGGTTTCTCCCATACCCTGACCAAGTCCACCTCTGCCAGGATTGCAGGAGATTGGTGCAAGACCCATCTCTTATGCATTGACCATGACCATCAGCAAAGCCTGGTGGTCTTGTTCTCATAGTCACTCGAGAAGAATATTTATTGTAATGGAAGTAGATTTTTTAAAAAAGGAATTGGAATCATGTCTTTGTAGAATGTGTGTGTGTGAAGTCCTCAGCTGTAAGGTGCTATTCAGTCCTGTGACCCTTATTTTGGAATGCTCTTCATTACTGTTGCTCTGTTTTGTGACTTCCTGGGAAACCGCTTACTTTGGTGTGGTGTCACCTTGAGCTGTGCACATAGGACACCAGTTTTGACTTAACCTAACAGGCAGTTTTTATCTCTAGCTTTTTCAAGCCAGGTATTGAGCAGTTTCTTGGCCAATGGCCTGAGAAACCACCTGTCCCTGTCAAGGGGTGATTTTATTGGTTTTAAGTGGGGAAGTAATCCCATGTACTTATTTCTTAAATACCTAGGAAGTTCTTCTTGGTGGCTCCTCTTGGCCCTCCCCTCTTTCTCCCCCAACCCACCATCCTGCAAGGCAAGGAATGGCCTCTCCCTCCACAGAGGCAACGGCTGCAGAGGGAGCACTGTGGCTGCCATCCCAGTTCCTCTTCAAAGCCAAACAGACACGCGTGACTCAAATCCTACAGTATGGAGGGTGGCGTTGCATTGAAATTCCAGGCCTGAGTTTGATAGTGGATTTTAATGTAGTTGTTAAAGGTATGAATTCATGTTTTATAACTGTAGAGGCAAGCAAGTTTTTATTTTTTAAAAAGTTTTGAGAGAATAATTTATAAGTTTCTGTGCAGCAAAGTGGCTAATTACTCATTAAATACAGGAAAAGAATGTAGTATCTAAATCCAGCTTTTTCTTACCTCTGGTACACTTCAGATTACTTACCTAATACATATTGAGGGCTTTTAACCCTTAGTTTTATCAATTTTTCTAGTTTTATTTTATTTTTATAAAATAATTGAAAAAGAACCAAAAATGAATTCAGAAGTTCCATAGATGGATTTTTGCCCCTTCTTAATTTTCTCCCACAATGAAAACATTTTAGAAGACATTTTGAATCAAAATGTATTATGACCATTGAAAGTTCTCTATTTTCTAAGAAGCTGAGCAGCTCCAAGGGCCTCGTTTCAGGTGGTACTCTATGTATTGTCTGTGGGCTTGTTTCTACCTGTACAGTGGAACCATGTGACCATGTCTTGTGCTTGCAATATAGAAACCATGCAGTGCTGTTTTGTGAATTGGCAGTTTCTGTATAAACTCTTATTTATATACATTGGCCTCTCTGTATGATTTTCCATTTGCTACATGAATTGTAAAATTAATTATAAAATTATAGTACCTGCTAAATACAATTCTGAGGCTTCATGTCATTGTCTTTAGTTGAATACCATGCTGTGTGTCTTGAAGATGTCCACGCTTGCATGATGCTAGGTGGCAATGCCACTTTAAATTAAGCCTTAATCAGATGTTAAATTTGTGAGTTTCAGAGTATGCAAAAATATTAGGCAGAGTGAGTGTAAACTGTTCAGATCAAGATGCTGTATCATAATTCAAGTTATTTTTTTCTGGAGTTAAAGGGAAGCATTCAGTGATACACCTCTCTCTCTCTCTCTCTCTCTCCCCCTCTCCCCCCTCCCCCTCCCTCTCTCTGTCTCTGTCTCTGTCTCTCTCTCTCTCTCTTGTCTAGCTTGGCTATGGCCATAGCTTGATGAAAATGGACCATTGTGCATTTCTGTGACAGTCAAAAAGACCTGTTCTAAAAGTCTTGCGACTTTTTCAGGGTTTTTTTTTTTTTTCATGTTTCTTTTTTTTTTTCCCCTCCAGTCTGAGATTTCTGTGTGGCTGATGGAGAGTGTGATTTGGGCGTAGGTCTTATTTGCAAACCTGCTCATGTTCTAAGCTTTCTTCAGGTAGTACCACCTGTCATCGCTTCTGCATATGATTTAAATGGATTTTTGTTTTTATAAAAGTATCATAAATTTAGAGATAAAATGGAGGGGACCCAGCTTTCTTTACAATGTGGATCTACCTCAGTTAAACAGTTGGGTGCTATTACTAAGTCTGTCAAATTAAATTGGAAAAAGTAACCAAACAGTGAGATACAACTCCACATGAAACTTGAAATTGTAATTTCCGTTTATTTAATGATATTTTTATTTATTTGTGCCTTTTATGTTGAACCCCAATGCATTGAAAAAATTCAGTATGAAACAGTACATATTTTATTTATATTACAGGTGGGAGAAAAGTCCAATTGGTCATGGAATTTGATAGACTTTTCCCCAGCCAACTGCTACAGTGTATTATAATCCCGACTGCCCCCCTGTGAAAAGAAAAAAAAAAATGTCCAAGAGCAAATTTAACATTTTACAAACAATAAAGTCCAAACTCCTCTATGCACATATTTATAGCTTATCACTTCATTTTCTGTGCCAGTGAAGGGGTGGCCAGAAAAAAAATCCCAAGTACCCTCATCATTGCTTTTCTAGCCATTCATGCCCCCTCTTCCTCTGGCACATTTTCTAAGAGTTTATTTCATAAGCAGCAAACGGACTGTTGTCGATTTCATCTCTCCTGACCTACCTGGTGGAGGTGCTAATGGCCATGGACAGAAAGGGGCGAGCCAGAGCTCGTGGCTTTGTGGAGGCAGAGGCCTGCATTCAGCAGCGGCCCTGTGTGCCTGTAAGTTAGGAAGGCTTTCTGACAGGTAAGAAAATGAGATAGGTTGATGACTTACCATGCTTTTATATTTGGCAGTTTACAATTCTAGACTTTTCCTACTATGGCGATCTTTTTTTACTTAATTCTTTGGAGGTAACAATATTTTGGAGTCTTAAGAATTTGATTTTATACCAATAAGAAATAAAAATTAGGGATCTTTCCTGTAGTATATAGTTTTACTATTTTAAAGAGATCTCTGAATTTTACAAGAGAACCAACATTCCTTAATGGCAGAACTTTGAAAGTTGATTTGGGAGGCTTTTTGCTGCAGGATCTCAAAAATAGAGAGAGAGATGATTCTACTTAAATGTTTTTAATTTTCTAACTTCCATCAGGTTGATACTTAAGCTCTATTTTGTAAAGAGTAAATCATCCTTTAGTATGCTGCATAAGATGATCAGCATTCTTGCACTTTCTCAGTAATAAGACGTGCCGGGCAATTGGCTCCCCAGGACGCATTGTGTTTTTAACCTAACGAGAGGACTTTGGGGCAGGTGATTAAATTTATATAGGTACCTCAAGAAAAAGAACCTGAATATGCTGCATTTTCTTTCTTTAGCTTTTACATGTAGCATTTTGTTTTGCTTTTGTTATTTTTGTTTTGATATATGCTTTTTGGACCCCAATAGACTGTTGAAAGAAATTTAAAAATTACTCTTGTAGGGATATAGTATCCTTAAAAAATAAAAATTTAAAAAAATTTAAAAAAATTGCTGCAATATCTGGCTCGAAGGTTGCCCTATATTAGAATAATACTTTAGCCAAATACACCTGAGGAGGCAGACACTGTGTTTATAAGCAGACAATAATGTTCTGAATCCTTCCTGTTCATGCTGCTTTCTTAATTCATTTCTCCATGTCATCAAGAGGTTGGATAACTTATTTCTAAGCTCAAGGTTAAAAATCATGTCACCTTTTTTTTTTTCCCCCAACACAGACCTCAGAAAAATTGCGATTGAGGAAGTAGCATGATCCTAAATGTGTTGCTGAAATCAGGCAGCCCGAGCCTCTGGTCTCTCCAGAGAGCCCGTCTTCACATTTCTCTATTCCTCAGCACTCACCCGAAACTGAACAGATGGGGAGTGGTCTTGATTGTCAAGATAAAACTGGTGAAGAAAGCTAAATGCTGAGAAACTGAGCATCTATTGTCGTGTTTAAGCTTAGCTGGGTCCTTTCTAGTTTGTTTTTACAGCTTACTAGGTGAAGTAGTTTGCACTATTTTTGCAATAAATTCATGGAAAACCTAACAGTTACTTGTTTTGTTTCTTACTGTGTGTATATAAACTAATACTAAAAGTTTGGCATAGTGTTTTTTCACCTCCTTACATAACCCCTAACATGCACAGAATGCTGTAAATCTGATAAAATATGATGTGAATGATATTTTATAAAGTTATTTTGTATGGTGTCAATTTTGTTTTGCCTCATAGTATGTCAGCAAAAAATTAAATAAAAGTCCTCCTATTTACAGCTGCCTCTTCCAAAAATCTTCAATTCCTCACCTACTTCTTTAGGCACTTCCTTCTGCACAGGTTATGATTCCAGCTCCCGAGGCAGAAGCGTGCCTTCAGGGATGGAAGTCCAGAGCCCTGTTCCACAAACAGAGGGCTGTTCCTTGAAGAATGTACTTGGCAGAGCTGGGCATTACCCGAGGATTTGGGTTTGGGGGATGAGAACCACAGGCATGAGTTGGACTAGTGGGAGCAGCCATGGTGTGTCGGATAGTTGGCTCTTTCTGCTCCTGCAGCATGAGAAAGGATCAAGAAGCCATTCAGCTAAGCCCGTCACAAGCAAAGTCCTGAGTTCCGTGTTGAGTGTGGGAACCTGAGCTGGCACCGTCCTGGTTCGCGGCCTGGCCAGCCACTTTGCTACTCTGTCCCGGCTAGGTTTACGCACATTGGCTACTCTCAAATCCCTGGTGGCCTCACCCTGACTGGGCTGTTTTTGACTTCTGCTGTCTATACTGAGATGACGACGTGCTGGGAAAGGAAAAGGGGGCTTTTCCTTTTTTTTTTTCTTTTTTGAGATGGAGTCTCACTTTGTCACCCAGGCTGGAGTACAGTGGTGCAATCTCAGCTTACTGCAACCTCTGCCTCCTGGGTTCAAGCGATTCTCCCACCTAAGCCTCCCGAGTAGCTGGGACTACGGGCCTGCACCACCACCATGCCCGGCTAACTTTTGTATTTTACTAGAGACAGGGTTTCATCATGTTGGCCAGGCTGATCTTGAACTCCTGACCTCAGGTGATCTGCCCCCCCTCGGCCTCCCAAAGTGCTGGGATGACAGGCGTGAGCCACCGTGCCCGGCCAGGCTTTTCCTTTTCTTAAGAAAGCCCCCAAATGGCAGCAGATCCCTAGGCTGTACATCACTGCTGAGGCAGGCCAAGATTTTGTCCTTATTTCAGGTTTCCAAATTTTAAGAACAATGTTACAGAAAAATGTGAAAATTCAGATAAAGAGCTATCTCTAGTCACGACACATAGGTAATTAACCTTAACATTCTGATCTATCTTGTTCCGCAGTCTTATTTTTTTAAACAAAAATCAAGATTTACTTTTTTCTTAATGTATCTAGAACCCTTTACTACTTCTTAGTATACAAAGCACCTCTGTGCCCACTGGCCCTGGGACATGGTAGTCAAAACCGGAAGAATACACAGAAACTCATCTACAGCAATATACTCACTTGATATGGCCTTTGTTATATTCTCGCTATTTCACCATCATTTACTGAATGGCCAGAAGCAGTAATGGTTTAACACTTGCAAGCGAGAGCAAAAGATTCATCTTCATAAAATCATTTTGATAATCTGACAGCAGTATGCAAGGTGGAAAGAGGAAAGGCTGTAGGCACTGTGAGGAAACCACTTAGGAAGCTACTGTAACAACCTGGCACCCGGTTCAAGGAGGAACTGAAAGGGTGAGTGTTCCCTGAATGATCGGATCTCAAACACTTATGGTGCCTTAAGAATGCTTCAGGCTGGGTGCAGTGATTCATGCCTGTAATCCCAGCACTTTCAGAGGCCGAGGTGGGTGGATCACTTGAGGTCAGGAGTTCAAGACGAGCCTGGCCAGCAAGGTAAAACCCCATCTCTACTAAGAATACAAAAATTAGCCGGGCATGGTGGCACACACCTGTAATCCCAGCTACTCGAGAGGCTGAGGCAGGAGAATCACTTGAACCTGGGAGGTGGAGGTTGCAGTGAGCCGAGATCGTGCCATTGCACTCCAGCCTGGGTGACAGAGCAAGACTCAGTCTCGAAAAAAAAAAAAAAAGATGCTATTAAGAGAATGAAAAGTGACTGGGAGAAAATGTTTGCAAATCTCCTATCAGGCAAATAACTTGTATTAAGAATATATAAATCTCTCAAAACTCAACAAAAACTGACATGAATTTTTGTAGGAGCTGCAGAGCCACTGGAACTCACTACTGGTGGGACTGCAAAATGGCACAGCCACTTTGGAAAACAGTTTGGCAGTTTCTTCTTATAAACGTCTGTATCGCATTCCACTCATAAGCATATACCCAAGTAAAATGAAATCCCGTGTTCACACAAAACCTGTACACAGGCCATGCACAGTGGCTCACACCTGTAATCCCAGCGCTTTGGGAGGCTGAGGTGGGCGGGTCACTTGGTTGAGCTCAGGAGTTCGAAACCAGCCTGGCCAACATGGCAAAAATCCATCTCCACTAAAAATACAAAAATTTGCCAGGTGTGGTGGTGGGCGCCTGTAATCCTAGCTACTCAGGAGGCTGAGGCAGGAGGATGGCTTGAACCTAGATAGGAGAAGTTGCAGTGAGCCAAGACTGCGCCACTGCACACCGCCCTGGGCAGCAGAGTTTGCGAGACTCCATCTCAAAAAACACAAACAAAAACCCTGTACACAAATACTTATAGGGCTTTATTAATTATAGTCATCAAGGCCAGGTGTGGTGGCTTATGCCTATAATCCCATCACTGGGAGGCCGAGGTGGGCGGATCATTTGATGTCGGGAGTTCGAGACCAGCCTGGCCAACATGGTGAAACCCCATCTCTACTAAAAGTACAAAAAAATGAGCCAAGTGTGGTGACGCCGTGCCCGTAATCCCAGCTACTCAGGAGGCTGAGACCCAAGAATCGCTTGAACCCAGGAGGCGGAAGTTGCAGTAAGCCATGATCATGCCACTGCACTCCAGCCTGGGTGACAGAGTGAGACCCTGTCAAAAAAAAAAAAAAAAAAAATTACAATCATCAAAACTAGAAACAATCTAAATGGGTAATTATCCATATACCTGGAAAATGGATAAACAGATACATCCATACAATGGAATCCTACTCAGCAATATAAAGGAATGGACTGCTGATACCTGTGACAACACGGATGAATCTCAAATGCATTCTGCTAAACAGAACAACTGCAGACTCAAATGCTACATACTGAATGATTCCATTTATATGACATTCTGGAAAAGACAGGCCACCAAACTGGTCTGTAAGCCAAATCAAGTCATTTTTTAATGGCACATAAGCTAGCAAGTATTTACATTATTAAATGGTTGGAGAAAACAGTATTTCATGACACATGAAAATTACACAAAACTCAAGTTTCAGTTTGCAGAAATAAAGCTCTATTGAAACACAGCCACCTGCATTCCTTCATCTAGTAATTACCTGGCTGCTTTCGTGCTACAACAGCTGAGTTCAGCAGCAGCAACAGAGACTATAAAAGCCCACAAAGCTTGAACTATTTACTGCATGGCCCTTTCCAGAAAAAAATTTGATGACACCTGGTATAGGGACAGAGAATAGCTTGACGGTTGCCACGGTAAAAGGTGGGGAAGGAGCTGACCACAGGGAATTTACTGGAGGGTGATATAGCTGTTAATTGTGGTGGTGGTAGTGACTTGACTGCATTTGCCAAAACTCAGAACTGTACACCAAAAAGTAGATTTTAAAATATTTTATTTTAAAATAAATGTCAATGAACAAGAGGGACAGAAAACACCAGTGGTTGCTAGGGGGCAGGAGAAGAGAGGAACAGAGGAACAGAGGGGAATGTCCTGGGTGGCAGAACTGTCCTATCGATTGGTTACAAAACCATGCATTTGTCAAAATTCACAGACTAGACACTAAAAAGGGTGATTTTACTGAATGTAAATTATAAACTTTTTCATTTTTAAAAAAGAGATAATGAAGGCCAGGCATGGTGGCTCACGCCTGTAATCCCGGCGGCACTTTGGGAGGCTGAGGCAGGTGGATCAGTTGAGGTTAGGAGTTTGAGACAAGCCTGGCCAACATGGTGAACCCCGTCTCTACTAAAAAATACAAAAATAGGTTGGGCATGGTGGCACACGCCTGTAATCCCAGCTACTCAGGAGGATGAGGCAGGAGAATCACTTGAACCTGGGAGGCGGAGGTTGCAGTGAGCTGAGACAGCGCCACCGCAATCCAGCCTGGGCAACTGAGTGAGAATCTGTCTTTAAAAAAAAAAAAAAAAAGATAATGAAATGAGAGGAGCCAAACATTTACCCTAAGTGGAAAAAAAAAATTGGGCTTATGATAGGTTTTCTCTTATAGACAGTAAAAAGAAGTGCCAGGAATTTAAAGCAAAGAACAGTAAGATGAGAGAGATCTCCAATATACAAAATGTTTCAAAATTTTTTTTTAGTACAACATGCTTATACAAGAGGTAAGACTTATTTTTGTATTTGATTTGATAATTTGACTTGGAATTTTTCTGTGGGAATAAAAGTGTTAGAATGCTTATTTTTAAATTTCTCAAAATTTGCAGGCAGTAAGCAAGGCCTTAAAGCCATAGAGGGCTCTAAAACTAGTTCCATAAAGCATTTTACTGTAAAAATATGTACAGATCTTTAATAGAAAAGTATATTTCTTTACAGTAGAAAAATATCTGAACAGTCAACTTTTCTTAAGACAAAAATTCAAATGTAACATACTACCTAAACTATAAATTTAGCTAAAACTGAATCGAGCTGTTTATAAGAACTGATTCCAAAATATACATATATGAATTTACATAACCGATATGTAGAAGCTCTTCAAAATCGACTGTAAATTGAAAAGTTAAAATTGGCCTTGCCTCTGCAGTTTGGAGCTGCAATGGCTGCCAGTATCGGCTGTTTTCTTGGTGCCTGAGCTGCAGGGTGGGCCTGTCGAGGAGGGGCTGCTGTCTGGGTCGCTTTCCCTCTGGCTGTCTGTGGCGTAGGTACATGAGGTGCTCAATCTCGGCCTGGAAAGAATACCTCGAAAGAATACCACACACTGGAACTCTGTGAAGAAGTGAAGACGCTAAAAGCGGGCAGTGCTGTGTTTACTTAGAGACAGTGGAGTGGGTCCAGGGCTGTCCTCGCCAGGCTGGTTTTTAAAGCACTTTTGGTTTAGGAGTCAGCTTCATCATGGTCACTTTCATTATCATTGTCATTCTCCTCATCTTCTTCCCTCTTTTCCTCTTTAAGCATTTTCAGGTATTTACTAGCTAAAATCTTCTTTGGTAATATATCTTAAAAACATAAAGCGTACATCAGCAATTGGTTATGGTAGACTATGAACACAGCAATGCACATTTCAAAATGTACTAGTTCCTGCTTTGACCTCTATAAGAGGTTCCAAAACAAGATGAAATTCAGGCTGCATTTCTGGGTAAAATATCAAAGAAACTAGCATTGTCTCCTAACGAACGCTATAGGCCTCTTTCCAGTCCAATGAGTACAAACCATGGTGTCTCTATGAGCTGCTTTTATGAGCAACCCTGCCCGACTACCTGAGATAGCCTAGGCTAGCCCCAGGGTAGACTTAAGCTCTAACTACGGCCATGTAGACCCACCCTGAGTTTTCCCTTCAGTGGCAGGCAGGGTCCCTGTAGAGAGTAAAGGACTGCCCAGCATACGCGGCCAACCAACATCTTGTGAATGTTGTTGGCTTCACTATTGTTCTAGGTGGACCACATGACAAACACATTCAAACAGAGAAGACTAAAAGTATCTTCCTGTGACAACTCATAGTACTTTGCGGCTTGGAAAAAGTAGCAAAAAGTCTAATTTTCCGTGAGAGCAGAAGGGAGGCAAGGGGTGGGGAAAGAGCTATTGATTACTAATCATTTTTTAACCAGAATGTTTCAAAGACTAAGTACCTGCAAGAAACTGAAAAGTTTCTGATTGCTGTGCAGTGTTTGCTAAATCACTGTAAGTCAGTACTTTCTTTTCCTTTCCACTGCCGTGTCTGTAGGAATAGGTGGCTAGGCATTGAACAAAGAGCTCCTAGAACAAAATGAAAAATGCAAATGAAAGGTGTGCTTTGAAAATGTACCACAGAAATTAATTTTTAAAATTACATTGTTGATTCCTTAATTAGGCTTAAAAGTATATTAAGACTTCAGATTCTCTTGGTTTCTCAAATTAAATTACAAGAAATCACTGGGGAGGCCAGGCGTGGTGGCTCACGCTGGTAATACTAACACTTTGGGAGGCTGAGGCAGGCGGCTCACTTGAGGTCAGGAGTTTGAGACCAGACTGGCCAACATAGTGAAACCCCATCTCTATTAAAAATACAAAAATTAGCTGGGCATGGTGGCGGGTGCCTGTAATCCCAGCCAGCGGGAGGCTGAGGCAGGCGAATCGCCTGAACCTGGGAGGTGGAGGTTGGAGATTGCAGCACTCTGGCCTGGGTGATCAAGCAAGACTCCGTCTCAAAAAAAAAAAAAAAAAAAAAAAAAGAAATCACTGGGGAAAAGAAAAACATGAGGTCAGAAAGAAAGCAAAGCCAGTATCAAAATTGGCGGAGAAGCAGGCATTTTCCAGAGGCTTATTTTAGATGTCTAACTTACGAAAAAGATGAATCGTAACTGTTTAATGACCAACCTCTAGAGTAAAAGAAAGAAGCGGCCGGGAGCTGTGGCTCAGGCCTGTAATCCCAGCACTTTGGGAGGCCAAGGACGGCGGACCAAGGATGGTCAGGAGATCGAGACCATCCTGGCTAACACGGTGAAACCCCGTCTCTACTAAAAATAAAATAAAAAAAAAAAACAAAATTAGCCGGGCATGGTGGCGGCTGTAGTCCCAGCTACTCGGGAGGCTGAGGCAGGAGAATGGCGTAAGCCCGGGAGGCGGAGCTTGCAGTGAGCCGAGATCGCGCCACTGCACTCCAGCCTGGGCGACAGAGCGAGACTCCGTCTCAAAAAAAAAGAAAAAAAAATAGAAAGTAGCAAAAAGCCATTCAAAAATTCTATTTGGCTCAGGAATACCTTTTTAGTCTTCTATTTGCATACACTGTTTCTAAGGTGGTTCACCTACAACTATAGTGACCACAGCTTACATTTTGCCAAAACTTTTCTATTCTAGGAACTGACATACAACCCTCAGACCTAATGAAACAACCGGAACTGATCTTCTCCCTCCTGCATCCCAGTTCTTATAGCAGGGCCAAGTCTTCATTTTTACAGAGGCTGAACTGAGCCTCTTTCTCAAGGTTTTGACTTTAATGCATCTAGTTCAGTTAATAAGGGATGAGAAAGACGGGCGTGATGGTTCACGCCTGTAATCCCAGCACTTTGGGAGGCTGAGGCAGACGGATCACCTGAGGTCAGGAGTTCAAGACCAACTTGGGCAACATGGTGAAACCCTGTCTCTACCAAAAAATACAAAAATTAGCCGAGTGTGATGGCAGGCACCTGTAATCCCAGCTACTCAGGAGGCTGAGGCAGGAGAATCATCTGAACCCGCGAGGCAGAGGTTGCAGTGAGCAAGACAGTGCCACCGCACTCCAGCCTGGGAAACTCCATCTCAAAAAATAAAATAACGGGTCAGAAGTGCCTGCATAAATCCTCATTCCTTAATACCAATAGAATGAAATTGTATAGGAAAATACAAATGTCCCCAGATGAAATGCTGAATATGCAATTATTTCCCTGGGCTCTAGGAAAACATGGCTCTGACATAAAGCGGGCAAGAAACCTGTAATTTCCCACTTCCCTTAGTTCTAGTCCAACACTGCAGGGACATCATATACTTAACTACAAGTAGGGACTGGAAAATAGAATCCAAGACAAGCTAAAGCATTTAACTGTGTAGCTGAAACATGGCCCAGTGTCAGAACAGGAAAACATCTGGCCTAACACTATCGAGACGCAATTTTTTTAAAAAAAGACAAAATTATCTATTTTGCACCCAGGAGGATGCTAAGCAGGCTGTAAAACTTAAGTTCCCCGGACTTCCTTAAATTCTGGTTGGGGAATGTGCTGCCTCTTAGACGAGGGGCCCCAGCTGTGGCGGGCGGGAGGGCTCGAAAGCCTCGGACCGCTGGAGCTGGCACCGCACGCGCGGGAAAAGAGCCTCGAGTCGCGGGTGAAGCGCCCGGCTGCCCCTCCCACGGGACACTGGAGGAGTTAGGGCCCTCAAAGCACGAAGCAGTCCAGTGACAAGAAAAAGGCAGGCCGGGAGTAGGGAGTCGCGGGTGAAAGAGCCCCCAAAGAACCCAAATGAGAAGAGCGCCACTAGGCGCCGACGCCCACGGGTAGGGCCGGAAACTGAGCGCCGCACGCGAGGGAGGACGTGAGCGCACAGGTGGGAGGGACGAAAGGCGCGCAGAGGAACGCGGGAGCTTACGGGTTTGCCGAATGGAAGCGCGAGAGAAACGGCGGGAGGACAGTGGGGTGGGCGGGGCGAAGGTGCGCACGGAAGGAAGGGGCGGGCGGAGCGAAGGAAGGCGACAAAGGGCGGGAGAGGCGCGCGGTAGGCGAGGCGAAGAAACTGGAGAACGTGAGGGAGCGGCGAGGGGTGGGCGGGGCGAAGACGCGCGAGAAAGTGTGGGGGCGCGCGGGCACCGAAGCGCGCGCCGGCGTGGGACGGGGACAGCGGGGCGCGCGCGAGCCCGGCAAGAGCAGCCGGCGGCGCGCGGGCCTAAGGGGACTGGGCAGTGCCCAGAGCCCGGCGGGGCGGGGCGCGAGGGGTAAGGGCGGCCCACACCCCCGCCCTGCCCCCTCACCGTGGCCTTGGCCGTGAGCACCAACGCCTCCTGGTTGATGCTGGACACCTCGGGGGAGCTCTTCATGATGACCCGGATGCGGGATAGAGGCAGCGAGATGAGCCGCTGCTCCCCGCCCTTGTCTTTACCCACGACCACGTCCGCCATCTTCCCGCCCGTCGCGCGGGTGCCCGCAGCCGGCGGGCCCGACCGCGAAGTGGCTGCCCTGCCCGGCCAGCTGGTGGGTACGGGGAGCCGCGCCCGCTGCCCCGTGGGAGTTGTAGTGTGGGGAGGCGAGGCCGCGAGGCCGGGAGCGGCCCGTCCGGGAAACTACGAGCTCCGTGAGGCCTCGCGCCCCCGATCTGCGCATGCGCCGACGCTCGGACACCGCCCCCGAGTGCGAGGCCCGGCGCGGAACCGGCAGCCGAGAGCCTGGCGGGGGCGGGGCGCACCGCGCCGCTCCCGGGAGTCTCCGGGCTGCGGTCGCGGAATACGACTTTGATCCGCGGGTGAGGGCTCTGTGAATGGGCAAGCAAAGCCCTCTGACTCCGGGCCTCGTGGCTGGGTGCTGTGTGTTAAGCGCCTGCGCTGTACTAGGACCGGGCGTGCCGCCGTCGGCAAAAAGTGACGCTTTCTTGAAGCACAAAGTCCAGGGGGGACGACCAAGCGGACAGCGGATGCGTCCTGCGCCGGTAGCCAGGCGACCGGTGGAAGAGCAGAGTCCAGCGCGGGCGATGCGGCGGGGCCAGGCTTGCTGCGCCGCGGGGTGATTGGGAGAAGAGCCTTCCTGCGGGGTGGAGGACGAAGAGCTGCCCTGAGGAGGTCCCGGAGTCTGGTGGGAACGGCCTCTTCGGGACTGCTCCGAGAGACGGTGTGCAGAGCCTGGCGTGCTCGCCGAGGTCTGACAGGCAGCCCGGGGCTAGGTCCTGTTGGATTTTTTTTTCTAAGGAAAATGGGAAGTGGTGGTAGGGTTTGAGCAGTGGAGTCCCGGGCAGTTTTAAAAGGATCCCTGCAGCTGCCGGCTGGGAGGGCGTGGGTGCGCGTAAGGCCGGAATCACAGAGACCAGGTAGAAGATGATTACGAGAACCCAGGAACGTGGCCCTCAGGAGGCCGGCAGTACCAAGGGGACAGCAGCTGGGAGGAGAGAGGCAGGAGATGGTCAGGGGCCAGACCAGGGAAGGCCGCGGAGACCGCAGAATTCGCTCTGAATGAGTGGGGAGGCCCTTGGAAGAGTAAGGGGTCCAACTTAACTTTTTTTTTTTTTTTTTTTTTTGACACAGAGTCTCGCTCTGTCGCCAGGCTGGAGTGCAGTGCGATCTCGGCTCACTGCAACCTCCAACACCCCGATTCAAGCAATTCTCCTGCCTCAGCCTCCTGAGTAGCTGGGATTATAGGCACGCGCCACCCAGCTAATTTTTTGTATTTTTAGTAGAGACGGGTTTTCACCATGTTGGCCAGGATGGTCTCGATCTCCTGACCTCGTGATCCGCCCGCCTCGGCCTACCAGAGTGCTGCGATTACAGGCGTAAGCCACCGCGCCTGGCCACCAACTTAACTTCTGCCAGGATCATGGGAAGTGGTAGGGTTTGGGGTCTGATTTCAAGAGGGAGCTGCTGTGGAGTATCAGCACAGCTTACTGAGATATCAGAAAGGCCTTGGTAAAGAGCCCTTTACTGAGACAGGGAGCACATTTTGGCAGAGGTTTGAATTGGAGCGTGTTAAGTGTAGTGTCTTCTTCACCACTGTGACGTGAGGTCCTGGCGCAAATAATTGAGCACAGAAATACATGTCAGGCATTGCTAGGCACAAGGGTACAGCCAGTGAGCAGGGCTGCCATGGTCCCTGCCCTCTTAGAGCTGACCTTCAGGTCTGAGGGAGACTGAAAAATAAGTAAGAATACCTCCAGCCGGGCGCTTTGGCTCACGCCTGTAATCCCAGCACTTTGGGAGGCCAAGGTGGGTGGATCACCTGAGGTCAAGAGTTCGAGACCAGCCCAACCAATATAGTCAAACCCCATCTCTACTGAAATTATTAAAATTAGCTGGGCGTGGTGGTGGGCACCTGTAATGCCAGCTACTCGGGAGGCTGAGGCAGGAGAATCGCTGGAACCCAGGAGGCAGAGGTTACAGTGATCCGGGATCGCGCCACTGCACTCCAGCAGCCTGGGCGACAGAGGGAGACTCCATCTCAAAAAAAAAAAAAAAAAAAAAATACACCTCCAATGCTGAAAGCTACGAAGGAAACAAAACCATGTGCGAGTGATAGGGCAGCCCCTCTGGGAAGTGACATTTGTGCCCAGATCTGAAGAAAGAAAAGGAGCCACTCATACAGAAAGACTGAGACAAGATGAGCTTTCGGGACAAGTCAGGCTCTAGGGAGAACACCTGACGAGGAAAATGCCTGGGCAGTTTGAGGAACTGAAAAGCCAGTGTGTCTGGAGCTTAGTGAGGGAGGCAGAGAGCACGGGAGGTGTGGTTACCAAGGTAGGTGGGACCGGCTCTGGCCCTGGGTAAAAAGTTTGACTTTCATTCCAAGAGTAATGGAAAATAATGAAGAATTTTGAACTCGAGGTGGTGCATGCCTGTAATCCCAGCACTTTGGGAGGCTGAAGCAGGCAGATCGCTTGAGCCCAGGAGTTTGAGATTAGCCCGGGCAGCATAACAGGGCAGCATCTCTACAAAAATTTTATTTTTGGCCGGGCGCGGTGGCTCACACCTGTAATCCCAGCACTTTGGGAGGCCGAGGGGGGGCAGATCTCCTGAGGTCAGGAGTTCGAGACCAGCCTGACCAACATGGCGAAACCCCGTCTCTACTAAAAATACAAAAAATTAGCCGGGCATGGTGGCACGCGCCTGTAATCCCAGCTACTTAGGAGGCTGAGGCAGGAGAATCGCTTGAACCCGGGAGGCGGAGGTTGCAGTGAGCCAAGATCACGCCACTTGCACTCCAGCCTGGGCAACAAGAGAGAAACTCCATCTCAAAAACAAACAAATCCAGACCAGCCTGGCTAACATGGCAAAACCCCCTCTCTACTAAAAATAGAAAAATTGGCTGGGCATGGTGGTAAGCACCTGTAATCTCAGCTGCATTGGCGGCTGAGGCAGGAGAATCACTTGAACTCAGAAGGTGGAGGTTGCAGTGAGCACAGATCACACCACTGCACTCCAGCCTGGGCAACAGAGCAAGACTCTCAAAAAAAAAAAGTTTTGAAGGGAGCAGATCCACTTTAAAAGCTCACACTGGTTCTTGAGTGATGACCAAATGGCACTGTGCCTTATGCAGAGCCGACTCCTGGCAGTTTGCACAGGCTGGAGGTGGAGCTGCAGACTCCCTCTCCCTCTCGGCCTTGCCTCTGTAAATGGGAAAGCCGTTGACATTCACAAAAGAGGGGCAGGGAACTGCTACACAAGAGCAGCTACACAAGAGGGTCCTTTGGTCCACACAGGAAACAAGCCATAGTGATGACATATTTTGAAGCTGTTAGATGTTTTGTTTCCCTAGCTGGCTATTATTTTTGTATGGCTTGTCTTTCTCTTTTGAGTATGTGTGAGAACAGGATGGGTTAACATTAGGGAAGAGCACAGAAGAGGAAGGAAGGAAAGAAGGAAGGGAGGGAGGGAAAGGAGAGAGAATAGGGATGAGAAGCTCAGCTTGTAGAATTGGCAGGTGATGTTTGCAGTCATTAATCATTTGAGAAGTAGAGAGAGAAGCCAAGCAGGAAATCTTCATACTGGAAAAGAAGTGCTCACCATTAAAAAAAAAAAAAAAAAAAATCCAGTGTGGTTCACAGCTGTAATCCCATCACTTGGAGGCTGAGGCAGGAGAAATACGTGAAGCCAGGAGTTTGAGACCAGCCTGGGCAATATAACAAGACCCACATCTCTACAAAGAGAAAAAAAATGTAAAAAAAAGAAGCTTTAAACCTAAGACGGCAGAATTCAAGACTGTTGTCCTTGAGAACTTCCTGGCTCTGGAAAAAGCTCAGTGAGTTAGTCTCATCCTGTCGTTAGCTCTGTTTTTTAGGGGCTCACTTTGTCTTCACGACAGTACCTTGCACCATTCTCATGGGTATCCCAGGGTGGTGCAAGGCAGTTTTCTGCACTTCCCAGAATGCCCTGTCAGCTGGCTTCTGGGTAGGTTCTGCAAATTGGAGGCCCCTGTGAAAGATCGCTGTGGGGTGGGAGGAAGAAGCTTTATCTGCCTGCTGGCTGCAGGGTAGAGGACTGCAGTGGGGTTATAGGGATCACCACCTGCACATGTGGAGCTTTGAGCGGCTTCACTCTAAGTTTCTGCTCAACAGTGGCAGCCCTGGAGTCCTTCGGGGGCGAGTGTGGGCTCCTGGGCTCCAGGCCAGGGGCAGTCCCAGCTTCCTGATCTCGAGGTAGCGTCTCCTCCCTTTTGCTCCATAGCACCTCGCCCTTCTCAGTGACGTGCCTCCTTCTCAGTCATGCGCCTCCAGCTCTAACAATGTCCTTGAAAACAATTCTTGACCATGCGCCGTGGCTCACGCCTGTAATCCCAACACTTTGGGAGTCTGAGGCAGGCGGATCACTTGAGGTCAGGAGTTTGAGACCAGCCTGGCCAACATGTAATCCCAGCTACTCCCTCCACTTGATTTGTGTTCCTTGAAGAAATTTGCATAATCCCTGTATCTGGTTGGCAGATAGCAGAGATGTAGCCTCAGTCTTTCCTTTAAAAATTTTGCTTTAGGCAGGGCGCGGTGGCTCACACCTATAATCCCAGCACGTTGGGAGGCCAAGGTGGGCAGATCATGAGAGCAGGAATTTGAGATCGGCCTAGCCAATATGGTGAAACCCCGTCTCTACTAAAAATATAAAAATTAGCTGGGCGTGGTGGCACAAGCCTGTAATCCCAGCTATTTGGGAGGCTGAGGCAGGAGAATCGCTTGAATCCAGGAGGCAGAGGTTGAGATGAGCCGAGATCACGCTATTGCACTCCAGCCTGGGCAACAGAGGGATACTCCATCTCAAAAAAAATTTTTTGCTTTAGGGCCAATCGTGGTGACACACGCTTGTAATTCTGGCACTTTGAGAGGCCGAGGCAGGTGGATAATTTGAGGTCAGGGGTTCGAGAGCAGACTGGCCATGATGGTGAAATCCCATCTCTACTAAAAATACAAAAAAAGCCAGGTATGGTGGCATACGCCTGTAATCCCAGCTACTCGGGAGGCTGAAGCAGGAGAATCACTTGAACCCGGGAGGTTTAGGTGGCATTGAGCCGAGATTGCACCACTGCACTCCAGCCTGGGTGACAGAGCGAGACTCCATCTCAAAAAAAAAAAAAAGGGCCGGACGCGGTGGCTCACGCCTTTAATCCCAGCACTTTGGAAGGCCGAGGCGGGTGGATCACCTGAGGTCAGGAGTTCAAGACCAGCCTGGTCAACATGGTGAAACCCCGTCTCTACTAAAAACATTAAAAAATTAGCCGGGCATGGTAGTGGGCGCCTGTAATACCAGCTACTGAGGAGGCTGAGGCAGGAGAATTGCTTGAACCCAGGAGACAGAGGTTGCAGTGACCTGAGATTGTGCCACTACACTCCAGCCTGGGCAACAAAGCAAGACTCTGTCTTAAACAAACAAAAAGCCCAGTGTGGTGGTGTATATTTGTGGTCCTAGCTACTTTGAAGGCTGAGGTGGGAGGATTGCTTGAGTACAACATGTAGAGGCTGCAGTGAGCTGTGATTGTGCCACTGCACCCCAGTGTGGGTGACAGAGCAAGACCCTGTCTCAAAATAATAAAATTAACATTCATTAACAATAATGTTAATATATATGTTAATGTATATGTTAATCGTAATGTTTATATTTTACCATGATAAAAACATTTTAAAATCATATATCAACTCTTGCCGTTCTCCTGTTGAAAACTCTCCAATGACTTCCCACTCCATCATCCTGTGGGATGGGTCCACCATGCTGGACCACAAGGCTCTGCACAATGCGGCTCCCACCAGCCTCTCCCCTTGGCCCAGATTGCTTCCTCCTACCCCTTTCTCTAGCTGCCAGGCCCCCCAACCCCCGCATGGAGCCCTTCAGCAGCTCTGTGAGCTCCCTGCCTGTTGGCAGCCATCACAGCAACGGGCTCTGGTGTGCCCCTTGTTATCCCTGTATTCAGGCCATTATCTGTAATGACAGCCTGGCATAATTTTATTTTCACAATTTGTATAATTATATTCTATTGAGCTAAATGATCATTATAATCATTATTAAATATTTATTAAGCACTTCTAGCTGTGCAAACATAATAAGATGTGGCCTCAGCTCTTAAAATCTTTCTTCCTAATTCCAACCCAAATTCATTTCAACTTAACCAATCTTCCTTCTTGGAGAAGGAGGGAACTTCGGCGTTTTGTCTGGGTTTCCATGCCCGAGCTTATAGGAGCTTCTTAGCAATGCTGTGGAGCAGATGCTATTGACTTCAGTTTACAGATAAGGAAACAATCAGACTGAGGAAGCTAGTATTAATAAGTAGCAGAGATTAAGATTTGCCTGTGGTTCTTTTTTACACAAAGCCTCTCCCACTCCTTTCATGCACTGTTAGCCAAGTTTACTAGAATAGGCAACTTCCTTTTTAAAAAATCCTGTTTACATTTTAGGTGCCAAACACTGTGCTAATCCAGTGGGGGAAACATATGCTCAAAAAGATCACTCTGAGACCAGGCATGGTGGCTCATGCCTGTAATCCCAAGCCTTTGGGAGGATGAGGTCTGAGGACTGCTTGAGGCCAGGAGTTTGAGATGAGCCTGGGCAACATAGTAAGGCCCCTTCTGTACAAAAAATTTAAAAACTAGCCAGGCCTGGTGGCATGTGACTACAGGCTGCAGTAAGCTATGATCGTGCCACTGCACTCCAGCCTGGGTGACAGAATGAGACCCTGTCTCTAAAAACAAAACAAAACTCAAGCAGTATCCTAAGTCAGGGTCCAAGCAGTAATGGAAATGGGTGAAGCTGACAGGCGAGTGATAGAGAATGGAGGGGTCTGTAGCAAACGTGACGACTCTGGCTTACCTAAGAGGGCAGCCAATTTTGCCATGAGGCAATGTGGGATCAGTGAGTGCTGTTCCAGTCTTCAATTTCGATTTATAAGTAAAATCTCCAATATTTTATATGTTGGCAACTTTGGCATTCCTTTCCTTAAACCTCACTGCCACCCCGCACCCCAATTCATTTCAGTAGGGATCAGATAGCCAACATCCTTATAAAATCAAAAGTATACAGGCCGGGTGCAGTGGCTCACACCTATAATCCCAGCACTTTGGGAGGCCGAGGCAGGCGGATCACGAGGTCAGGAGATCGAGACCATCCTGGCTAACATGGTGAAACCCCGTCTCTACTAAAAATACAAAAAAAAAATTAGCCGGGCGTGGTGGCAGGCGCCTGTAGTCTTAGCTACTTGGGAGGCTGAGGCAGGAGAATGTTGTGAACCCGGGAGGCGGAGCTTGCAGTGAGCTGAGATCACGCCACTGCACTCCAGCCTGGGTGACAGAGCGAGACTCCATATCCCAAAAGAAAAAAAAAAAAAAGATACAAATCTTAATTGGCATAAACCAGTCCTAGTAATATCATGCCCTTTGGCCAGTCGTTGGTCACAGGGTGAGCTAATGACCCAACTCTGACAAATTACATGTAAGAGGAATACTGCTAAAAAGATATTTTCGGCCAGGCGTGGGGGCTCACACCTGTAATCCCAGTACTTTGGGAGGCCGAGGCGGGCAGATCACTTGAGGTCAGGAGTTTGAGACCAGCCTTGGCAACATGGTGAAACCCCATTTCTACTAAAAATACAAAAATTAGCCGGGCATGCTGGTGGGTACCTGTAATCTCAGCTACTCGGGAGGCTGAGGCACAAGAGTCACTTGAACCCAAGAGGCACAGGTTGCAGTGAACCAAGATCATGCCACGGCACTCCAGCCTGGGCGATACAGTGAGACTCAGTCTCAAAAAAAAAAAAAAAAAAAAGAGTATCTTTTCTTCAGTAAAAAGACAAAGCTGTTTGGGTGCAGTGGCTCACACCTGTAAGGAGAATTGCTTGAACCCAGGAGGTAGAGGTTGTAGTGAGCTGAAATCATACCACTGCACTCCAGCCTGGGCGACAGAGCAAGACACTGTCTCAAAAAAAAAAAAAAAAAAAAAAGACAAAGCCTTGAGGGCTGAGGAAGAAATGTGGAAACTGCCCTTTCCCTTTGTTCTTGTCTAATGCAGTCACAAAGTCTGGAGCAGTAGCAGCCATTTTTCAACCATGAGGCAGTAAGCATGAAGCCTAAAACCAGCATGCCAAGAAGGACAAAGCAGAAAGACTGAAATCTCTAAGGCCCTTGCAGACACCCTTACTGCATCAGTTCCAGACTTGGCTCCCATAGCTCCAGATGTGGCCATGGCCACTGTATATGTAAGCTTGATGGAATAAGCACTAATGCGGCACCTTAGAGCTGCTGGAAAAGAGACCAATGGACATGTACGAATGGGGGATCCTGCCATTTGCCGAGTAAAGGCCTCCTGTGTAGAAGGTGTCCTTTGATAAGCATTCACATGGAATACAAATCTCCACTCATCTCTCCCCAATCCAAAAGGTTCATCCACACCCCCTCTCCAGACCTTCTTGTCTTTCTGTCTCCAAACATGTTCTTTCCAAGTTTCTGAACCTTCAAAGTGTTAGTGACTGTCCGTGAACTGGAGTAGACCCAACCCTTCTGGCTTTCTTGCTTGCTTTTTTTTTTTTTTTTTTTTTGAGATGGAGTTTTGTTCTTGTTGCTCAGGCTGGAGTGCAATGGCGCGATCTCGGCTCACCACAACCTCCGCCTCCCGAGTTCAAGCAATTCTCCTGCCTCAGCCTCCTGAATAGCTGGGATCACAGGCGTGCGCCACCACGCCCGGCTAATTTTGTATTTTTAGTAGAGACGGGGTTTCTCCATGTTGGTCAGGCTGGTCTCAAACTCCTGACCTCAGGTGATCCACCTGCCTCGGCCTCCCAAAGTGCTGGGATTACAGGTGTGAGCCACCGCACCCAGCCCACTTCCCTGTTGATTCTGTCTCTCTGGAAGAACCCTCACTAATAAACTTTACTTGACCTTCAAAATAATAATGCTCAAAAGACACCCTCATTTGGGGTGCCAGAGTCTGGCATTTGTTCTCTACCAGTGCCTGGTAGCAAATCTGAAGCTGTGTAATGCTTAAATGGAGAATAGTCATTTTCAGAGGAGGGTATATCTTTGCTCTAAACCCCTTGGAGTCTGTGCTGTGACTTTTATTTTTTATTTTTTTTTTTGAGACAGAGTCTTGCTCTTGTTGCCCAGGCTGGAGTGCAATGGCGTGATCTCGGCTCACTGCAACCTCCGCCTCTTGGGTTCAAGTGGTTCTCCTGCCCCAGCCTCCTGAGTAGCTGGGATTATAGGCACCCACCACCACACGCAGCTAATTTTTTGTATTTTTTAGTAAAGACTTTAAAGACATTTCAATTTCACCATGCTGGCCAGGCTGGTCTTCAACTCCTGACCTTAGGTGATCCACCGCACCTTGGCCTCCCAAAGTGCTGGGATTACAGGAGTGAGCCACTGCACCCAGCCTGTGCTGTGACTCTTATACTGGTCCCTGCCAGAACTTACAGGAGCATGACCTGTCACGGACAACCTGAGCACCACTGGATCTGCAGGGTTATCTGTCAAATGGGTCGGAGCAGCATACTCAAATGTGGTCGCTATTATCTCTAAAAGTCAAGGAAAGCCAGCAGTGCAGGACACTCAAATCCAGACGTCATTCCACTAGCTAAGCTAAGCAAACAGTTGGAGCTATCCCAGCTGTCGAAGCTAACACGCTGCATTTAGACTCTCTTGCAAGTCAGCTGTGTTGGTAACTAGAGGCTCTGGATTGACACATTAGAATCCACTCCCATACATTCCCCAGGTTTTGGCTGGTAAAAATTGATTGATATCCCATAATTCCTTCAGCATGTGAACTTCTCCCAAATCAGGTGTTTTGTTTTGTTTTGTTTTGTTTTGTTTTGTTTTGTTTTGTTTTGTTTTGTTTGGAGACAGAGTCTCACTCAGTAGCCCAGGCTGGAGTACAGTGACATGATCTCAGCTCACTGCAAACTCTGCCTCCCAGGTTCAAGTGATTCTTATGCCTCAGCCTCCCGAGTAGCTGGGATTACAGGCATGTGCCACCACGCCCAGCTAATTTTTATAATTTTAGTAGAGACGGGGTTTTGCCATGTTGGCCAGGCTGGTCTTGACATCCTGGCCTCAAAAGATCCACCCACCTCGGTCTCCCAGAGTTCTGGGATTACAGGCGTGAGCCACCACGCGTGGCCTATAGTAAGTTTTGAAATCAGGAAGTGTGATTCCTCCAGCTTTGTTCTTTTTCAAGATAGTTTTAGCTATTTGGGGTCCCTTGAATTTTAGGATGGATTTTTCTATTTCTGTAGAAAACACTGTTGGCTGATATATTATTTTAACTTAGGGTGTAGTAATCATGCTGGCTGTGGTGGCTCACGCCTGTAATCTCAGCACTGTGGGAGGCTGAAGCAGGCGGATCATCAGAGGCCAGGAGTTCGAGACCAGCCTGGTCAACATGGTGAAACCCCTTCTCTACTAAAAAAAAAAAAAAATATATATATATATATATATACACAGACACACACACACACACACAAATTAGCGGGGCGTGGTGGCATGCGCCTGTAATCCCAGCTTCTGGGGAGGCTGAGGCAGGAGAATCGCTCGAACCCAGGAGGTAGAGGTTACAGCGAGCTGAGATCGCACCATTGCACTTCAGCCTGGGTGACAAGAGCAAAACTCCATCTCAAAAACAAAAAAAGAATGACGCCTTAGTTTGGGGTTAGAGCAAATGGTGCTGCCTATTTCTGGGATGGGGAAGACAAGAAGGAATAGAGTTGGGGACAGAGGTATCAAGAGTTATTTGAGGGCACAGAAGTCCAAGATGGCTATAAGACAGTCAGGTGGGAAGGTCAGTGGAGGCTCAGGGGGGACATGCAGGCTGGGATAGAAATGTGAGCATCCCCAGATAGGTGGCCTGTAGGGCCATGAGCCTGGTAGGGTGACTGAGCGAGGAGAATAGCCGGAGAAGGGGAGGTCCAAGGACCCAGACCCACCTGGTTATTTCACATTTGGGGCCAGACTGGCTTTGTTTACCATTGATCTGAGCATGAAAATCAAGTGAAAATCAAAAGGAAGCCAGGAGCCACGCCTCCTCCGTGACTGCGGATCCTGGGCCAATGTTTCGCTGCTGCAGTGAGACCCCTGACTTTGTGTGGGCAGTGGGACCAACTGGGCATGTGCAGTGATCAGTTGCTAAATATTGGCACTCTCATTAGCCTTGGGATCTGGAAACCTCCATCCACCAGACACAGCCCATTTCCAGCTCACCCGCTCTCCACACTAGGACTCTGAACACCCTTTCTTCATGCCTCTTCTCCTTCCTAACTGCCTGCCTGCTCCAGCAGGCCTCAGGCCACTTCTTTTTTGTGTGCCACCACACCCAGTGGTGTATTTAAAATAACAAAAGCTGGAGGAACATGGTGGCACCTACCTATAATCCCAACACTTTGGGAGTCTGAGGCAGGAGGATCACTTAAGCCCAGAAGTTCAAGACCAGCCTGGGAAACATGTTGAGACCTCAACTCTAAAAAGTTTTTAAAATTAGCCAGATGTGGCCAGCATCATCCTGATACCAAAGCCGGGCAGAGACACAACCAAACAAGAGAACTTTAGACCAATATCCTTGATGAACATTGATGCAAAAATCCTCAATAAAATACTGGCAAACAGAATCCAGCAGCACATCAAAAGCTTATCCACTATGATCAAGTGGGCTTCATCCCTGGGATGCAAGGCTGGTTCAATATATGCAAATCAATAAATGTAATCCAGAATATAAACAGAACCAAAGACAAAAACCACATGATTATCTCAATAGATGCAGAAAAGGCCTTTGACAAAATTCAACAACCCTTCATGCTAAAAACTCTCAATAAATTAGGTATTGATGGGACGTATCTCAAAATAATAAGAGCTATCTATGACAAACCCACAGCCAATATCATACTGAATGGGCAAAAACTGGAAGCATTCCCTTTGAAAACTGGCACAAGACAGGGATGCCCTCTCTCACCACTCCTATTCAACATAGTGTTGGAAGTTCTGGCCAGGGCAATTAGGCAGGAGAAGGAAATAAAGGGTATTCAATTAGGAAAAGAGGAAGCCAAATTGTCCCTGTTTGCAGAAGACATGATTGTATATCTAGAAAACCCCATTGTCTCAGCCCAAAATCTCCTTAAGCTGATAAGCAACTTCAGCAAAGTCTCAGGATACAAAATCAATGTACAAAAATCACAAGCATTCTTATACACCAATAACAGACAAACAGAGAGCCAAATCATGTGTGAACTCCCATTCACAATTGCTTCAAAGAGAATAAAATACCTAGGAATCCAACTTACAAGGGACGTGAAGGACCTCTTCAAGGAGAGCTACAAACCACTGCTCAATGAAATAAAAGAGGATACAAACAAATGGAAGAACATTCCATGCTCATGGGTAGGAAGAATCAATATCGTGAAAATGGCCATACTGCCCAAGGTAATTTATAGATTCAATGCCATCCCCATCAAGCTACCAATGACTTTCTTCACAGAATTGGAGAAAACTACTTTAAAGTTCATATGGAACCAAAAAAGAGCCCGCATCGCCAAGTCAATCCTAAGCCAAAAGAACAAAGCTGGAGGCATCACGCTACCTGACTTCAAACTATACTACAAGGCTACAGTAACCAAAACAGCATGGTACTGGTACCAAAACAGAGATATAGATCAATGGAACAGAACAGAGCCCTCAGAAATAATGCCGCATATCTACAACTATCTGATCTTTGACAAACCTGAGAAAAACAAGCAATGCGGAAAGGACTGCCTATTTAATAAATGGTGCTGGGAAAACTGGCTAGCCATATGTAGAAAGCTGAAACAGGATCCCTTCCTTATACCTTATACAAAAATCAATTCAAGATGGATTAAAGACTTAAACGTTAGACCTAAAACCATAAAAACCCTAGAAGAAAACCTAGGCATTACCATTCAGGACATAGGCATGGGCAAGGACTTCATGACTAAAACACCAAAAGCAATGGCAACAAAAGCCAAAATTGACAAATGGGATCTAATTAAACCAAAGAGCTTCTGCACAGCCAAAGAAACTACCATCAGAGTGAACAGGCAACCTACAGAATGGGAGAAAATTTTCGCAATCTACTCATCTGACAAAGGGCTAATATCCAGAATCTACAATGAACTCAAACAAATTTACAAGAAAAAAACAACCCCATCAAAAAGTGGGCAAAGGACATGAACAGACACTTCTCAAAAGAAGACATTTATGCAGCCAAAAGACACATGAAAAAATGCTCACCATCACTGGCCATCAGAGAAATGCAAATCAAAACCACAATGAGATACCATCTCACACCAGTTAGAATGGCGATCATTAAAAAGTCAGGAAACATCAGGTGCTGGAGAGGATGTGGAGAATAGGAACACTTTTACACTGTTGGTGAGACTGTAAACTAGTTCAACCATTGTGGAAGTCAGTGTGGTGATTCCTCAGGGATCTAGAACTAGAAATACCATTTGACCCAGCCATCCCATTACTGGGTATATACCCAAAGGACTATAAATCATGCTGCTATAAAGACACATGCACACATATGTTTATTGCAGCACTATTCACAATAGCAAAGACTTGGAACCAACCCAAATGTCCAACAATGATAGACTGGATTAAGAAAATGTGGCACATATACACCATGGAATACTATGCAGCCATAAAAAATGATGAGTTCATGTCCTTTGTAGGGACATGGATGAAATTGCAAATCATCATTCTCAGTAAACTGTCGCAAGAACAAAAAAACCAAACACCGCATATTCTCACTCATAGGTGGGAATTGAACAATGAGAACACATGGACACAGGAAGGGGAACATCACACTCTGGGGACTGTTGTGGGGTTGGGGGAGGGAGGAGGGATAGCATTAGGAGATATACCTAATGCTAAATGACAAGTTAATGGGTGCAGCACACCAGCATGGCACATGTATACATACGTAACTAACCGGCACATTGTGCACATGTACCCTAAAACTTAAAGTATAATAAAAAACAAACAAACAAAAAAAACACTGAAAAAAAAATTAGCCAGATATGGTGCTGGGCACCTATAATCCCAACTACTTGGGAGGCTAGGGTGGGAGGATCACTTGAGCCAGGAGTCTGAGGCTGCAGTGAGCTGTGATTGCACCCCTGAACTCTAGCCTGGGTGACAGAGCAAGACCCTGTCTCTAAAAAACAAACAAACAAAACAAAACAAAACAAAAAGGCTGGTCTCAGTGGCTCACACCTGTAATCTCAGCACTTTGGGAGGCCGAGGCAGGTGGATCACCTGAGGTCAGGAGTTCGAGACCAGCCTGGCCAACATGGTGAAACCCTGTCTCTTAAAAATACAAAAATTAGCCAGGCGTGGTGGCAGGCGCCTGTAATCCCAGCTATTCGGGAGGCTGAGGCAGGAGAATCACTTGAACCTGGGAGATGGATGTTGCAGTGAGCCGAGATGGCGCCATTGCACTCCAGCCTGGGCAACAAGAATGAGACTCCGTCTCAAAAAAAAATAGAATGGGCACCCACAGTGGCCAGCACTGGGCCAGGAGCCAGGATGTACGCTCTACAAGACTCATGATGCAGTGGTACCCCATGTTAGAGAGTGAGGTGTGGCCCCAACTGCTGCCCTCACACACTGCTGGTGGCAATGCTATATGTTCCAAACACTTTGGAAAATAGGTTACAGTTCTTAAAAAGCTAAACATCCTCTTACCATGGGAGCCAGCTTACTCCCATAAATTACTTTATTTACATAAAGTAAATAACTTTACTTCTGTTATTTACCCAAAGAAACAAACAGGTATGTCCACACAAGATTGTCCCTGAATGTTCATTTCAGCTTTATTCATGATAACTATGGGTGGAAACAACTCAAACACCCATGAGCAGAGAGACTGTTCACAAACCATGGCACATCCCTGCATGGAACACCAACAGTGGGAGAAGCAACGGGTACACACAGTCGCCTGGATGACTCAGAAGCACTGTGCCGAGGCAAGCCAGACAGAAGCGCACTTCCTGCAGGACCGCGTTACATGAAATTCTAGATCAGGCTGAGCACGTTCACAGTGACAGGAAACAGACCCCCGGTTGCCTGCCAGGGTGGGGATGGGGCTGACTGCCAAGGGGCAGGGTGGAAATGTCTCTATTTTGATTGTGAAAGTGGTTATAAGGGTGTATACACTTGTCAAAACTCATTACATTGTACACTTAAAAGGGATGCCTTTTACTCTATGAAATTATGTCATAATGAAGTTGATTTAAAAGAAAAGGCCCTGTTGGCCGGGCGCGGTGGCTCACGCCTGTAATCCCAGCACTTTGGGAGGCTGAGGCGGGTGGATCATGAGGTCAGGAGATCGAGACCATCCTGGCTAACATGGTGAAACCCCATCTCTACTAAAAATACAAAAAATTAGCCGGGTGTGGTGGCGGGCCCCTATAGTCCCAGCTACTCGAGAGGCTGAGGCAGGAGAATTGCCTGAACCTGGGAGGCAGAGGTTGCAGTGAGACGAGGTTGCACCACTGCATTCCAGCCTGGGCGACAGAGCAAGACTCCATCTCAAAAAAAAAAAGAAAAAAGAAAAAAGAAAGGCCCTGTCACTGCTCTCATGGAGCCAGGGGTGGGGGACAGGGGTGAGGGGTGTAATTCAAGTTATGACAGAAATGCACATGGAGTCACAACCTGTGATGAAGCCGCAGGGACTCTGAAGACACCACAGTGTGAGCTGGCGGCGTTTGGTTGGCAATGGGGCAGGGGGCTGGGGCCGGAGGGAGAGCCCCAGGGTGGGAGAATGGCTTGTGCAGATGCTGTGCATAAAAAACAAGGACTTGTAAAAAAGAAAATTTAGGCCTGGTGCGGTGGCTCACGCCTGTAATCCCAGCCCTTTGGGAGGCCGAGGCGGGGTATCACCTGAGGTTGGGAGTTTGAGACCAGCCTGACCAACGTGGAGAAAACCCACCTCTACTAAAAATACAAAATCAGCCGGGTGTGGTGGCGCATTCCTGTAATCCCAGCTACTCGGGAGGCTGAGGGCAGGAGAATAGCTTGAACCAGGAGGCAGAGGTTGCAGTGAGCCAAGATTGCGCCATTGCACTCCAGCCTGGGCAACGAGGGCAAAACTCCGCCTCAAAGAAAAAAAAAAGAAAGAAAGAAAAGGAAAAATTAGCTGGGCGTAGCGGCGTGTGTCTGCAGTTCCAGCTACTTGGGAGGCTGAGGCAGGAGGATCGCTTGAGCCCAGGAGTTCCAGGCTGCAGTGAGCTATGATTGCTTCACTGCACTCCAGTTTGGGTGACAAAGTGAAACCCCATCTATAAAACAACAACAACAAAACAACAAAAATAAGGACCCGATGCAGGAGCCCCAAGAAGCCAGCCTGCTGAGGGGAGGGGTGGGAAAGGCAGGGAGGGGAGTTTCATGACTGAGATGGGGTCTGACCCGGGACAGATCGTTAGGCTCGTCGCTAGCATCATGATCATCACTACGGTCTTCTTATCACCAAAGCTACACCTCTCCAGTATAGAAAAAGAAAAGCAGATAGGCAAAAAGAAGGAAAAGAGTCTGGGCACAGTGGCTTATGCCTGTAATCCCAGCACTTTGGGAGGCCGAGGGAGGCGGATCACTTAAAGTCAGGAGTTCGAGACCAGCCTGGGCATCAGGGCAAAACCACCTCTCTACTAAAATTACAAAAATTAGCTGGGTGTGGTGGCACATGCCTGTAATCCCAGCTACTCAGGAGGCTGAGGCAGGAGAATCGCTTGAACCTGGGAGGCAGAGGTTGCAGTGAGCCGAGATCGCACCGCTGTACTCCAGCCTGAGCGACAGAGCAAGACTCCGTCTCAAAAAAAAAAAAAAAAAAGAAAAAAAGAAAGAAAAACCTCATGCTTCCACCCACAATCCTGCCTCACTCAGATTTCTGGTGTGTGCCCCTCCAGACCTTTCCTATTGATTTAGGCCTTGAAGGACAAGGAGGAGCTCACCAGAGACGGAAGGTGCTTGGGCCTGAGGAGCAGCCTGGAGGAAGGTGAGCGGCGGAGTGAGCTCCATGCAGAGGATCCTGCTAGGAATCCCGCTCCTCCACGCCGTGTGAGTTCCCCAGGGCCAGGGAGAGAAGGCCAGGCCACAATCCCAGCTGCAGTTAGGGTGCAGAGTGACTGGGAGGAGGGAGAGGGGGAAGGGTTCCAGGATTCGGGCTTTGATGTAGGAAGGTGCCACTGTCCCCCTGGAGTCATGCCCTTGGCCTTACTTGCTCTTGACTTGCAAACCACAAAACAATTTTTTTTTTGAGATGGAGTCTCCCTCTATTGCCCAGGCTGGAGTGCAGTGGTGCGATCTCGGCTCACTGCAGCCTCCACCTCTTGGGTTCAGGAGATCATCCTGCCTCAGCCTCCCGAGTAGCTGGGACTACAGGCATGCACCACCACACCCGGCTAGTTTTTGCATTTTTTAGTAGAGTTGGGGTTTCACCATATTGGCCAGGCTGGTCTCAAACTCCTGACCTCGTGATCCGCCCACCTCAGCCTCCCAAAGTGCTGGGATTACAGGGATGAGCCACTGCACCCGGCATCAAACCACAAAACTCTTAACCCTATCCAGCAGTGAGTAGGCTTAGACATCTTTCGGGAATCAGCCCTCACCCTGGGCACTCATGTGTCTTCCACATGGCCAGGTTCGACACCCCTATTGTCCTTCCCTCTGCTGGTCGCCATCACAGTAAAAACCTGTGTTTCTAATCAGTGCCTTGGCGCTTTCTTGGCCAGCTGGAAACCAAGAGCAGCAGCAACCTGAGGGGCCTGGAGGCAAGAACCTGGTTTGGGTCCCACTCTGCTGCTGACCTGTCAAGAGACCTGGGGGACAGCTGCCTCTTGGCACCCCGGGTTCTCCTCCACTGTGGTACTGTCAAGGAGAACTAAAGGCTGTGGCATGCTTTCACTTGGCAAAGACACTTCATGCACTGATCAACCTCCCACCCCAGCACTGGGGGACTGAACTCAGCCCAGCTGGGGGGCATGTGCAAAGCCCTCCCCCTCAGACCCAGTAACCCACTCAGGTGTGGATGCCTTTCAACACAGGCCCCTCGGCGACTCTTCAGGGCCTTCATCCAGCCCTGCCTTCCAACAGGCCCCCGCCCCCCAAACCCCTCCCCACTACCCGAAGGCTTTTTGTTGCAGTTGCTGATTTGGCTGCTCAGTTTCATTCTTTCCATCTGGGGTTTTGGAAGAACAGGTTATCCGGTGGTGCTTGTTAGAGCACAGTAAGGCAGATTTGTTCAGGCCCCTTGTGATAGGTGCAGGGACCACTGCAACCACGACTTGCAGTTGGGGAGAGAGTGGGCTCAACTCCGAATACAGCACGGGCAAGTGAGGATTTACATACAGCCAAGGAGCAGGGTGGGGAACAGCAGATGCAAAATTACTAAGAGAAAGCATTGGGAGTAAGGGGATGCGGGCTAAACCAGCCTAGCAGGATGCTTGCTGAAGACAGGCCAGGGTGCTTAGACACCACCTGCAGGGCAGAGAGAATAAGTAACCTAATTGGATATCGAGGGTGGGGTAAACTGACTTAGAAGAGTTCTTTGCTAAAACTCAGCCAGGCGCAGTGGCTCATGCCTGTAATTCCAACACTTTGGGAGGCTGAGGCAAATGGATCACTTGAGGTGAGGAGTTTGAGACCAGCCTGGCCAACATGGTGAAACTCCATTGCTACTAAAGATACAAAAATAAGCCGGGCGTGGTGGCAGGCACCTGAAATCCCAGCTAGTTGGGGTGGCTGAGGCAGGAGAATCCCTTGAACCAGGGAGGCGGAGGTTGCAGTGAGCTGAGATCGCGCCACCGCACTCCAGCCTGGGTGACAGAGTGAGACCGTCTCAAAAAAAGAGGAGTTCTTTGCTAAAATTGGATTTTACAAGGAAGTACCCAGGTGGGCCTTGGAGAAGTTTCTGAAGTTGACTAAAGATTGGCCAAGCAAAGAATCTTTGTCCATTTTCCTGGTCTGGTGGCATTAGGCAGTTGCTTTAGCTCTCTGGGCTCCTCCTTCCCCAGCCATAAAAGAAGAACAGAACCCACCTGCAGGGCAGAGTGAGAACGGAGCCAGCCAGTGTGAAGAGGGACTCTCCAGAGCTTGGCGCAGAGCTCACAGCAGGTGAATGTCTGTCCATCCATCCATTCATTAATTTTGCCCATGTATGAACAGCTGTGTGTCTGAAGTTTGCCAGGAAAGTCACTTTAAACCAGCATAATTACTAACAGATTTCCCTTTCACTCTCAGAAATGTTCTGGCTTGAATGACAAATGGTATTGTTACCCTATTGCCAATGAATCACCTCAATCCTTTCTTTCTTTTTTTTTTTTTTCAGACAGGGTCTCGCTCTGTTACCCAGGCTGCACGGGCGTGATCTCGGCTCACTATAACCTCCACCTCCTGGGTTCAAGCAATTCTCATGCTTCAGCCTCTCAAGTAGCTGGGATTACAGGCATGCGCGACCATGCCTGGCTAATTTTTGTATTTTTAGTAGATACAGGGTTTCACCATGTTGGCCAGGCTGGTCTCGAACTCCTGACCTCAAGCGATCCGCCTGCCTGGGCCTCCCAAAGTGCTGGGATTACAGGCATGAGCCACCGTGCCTGGCCCCCTTTCTCACTTTGGAAGGAACTATTTATGTAAGTGCTTGTTTTATGTCACTTTACAGATTGGCAACCTGAAGGCGGGAGTGAGTCAGCATCCCTCAGTAACAGAGTGAGTGGGAGCGGGGAAGGAGCCATGCAGATTCCAGACGCACCTCAGGTCCTGGTCGGTGTGCTTAGAATTCATCCCAATTATGTTTACATGTCATTCATTCATTCACTCATTTTTACTTTGATTTTTTTCCTCTGTTTTCATACACCATTTATGGCACCATATTTTTATTTTTAATTGAGACAGTGTCTTGCTCTATTGCTCAGCCTGGAGGGCAGTGGTGCAGTCTCAACTCACTGCAGCCTTGACCTCCTGGGCTCAAGCAATCCTCCCACCTCAGCCTTCTGAATAGCTGGGACTACTGGTGCATGCCACCATGCCCAACTAATTTTTTTGTTTTTTTAAAGATAGGGTCTCATGGCCGGGCGCGGTGGCTCACGCCTGCAATCCCAGCACTTTGGGAGGCTGATGTTGGCAGATCACAAGGTCACGAGATCGAGATCATCCTGGCTAACACGGTGAAACCCTGTCTCTACTAAAAATACAAAAAAATTAGCCGGGCGTGGTAGCAGGCACCTGTAGTCCCAGCTACTTGGAAGGCAGAGGCGGGAGAATGGCGTGAACCCGGGAGGCGGAGCTTGCAGTGAGCAGAGGTTGCACCACTGTATTCCAACCTGGGCGACAGAGCAAGACTCCATCTCAAAAAAAAAAAAAAAAAAAAAAAAAGAGATAGTGAGAGGTGACAGTGTGCTGGCAGTCCTCACAGCCCTCGGTCGCTCTCGGCGCCTCCTCTGCCTGGGATCCCACTTTGGCAGCACCTGAGGAGCCCTTCAGCCCACCGCTGCACTGTGGGAGCCCCTTTCTGGGCTGGCCAAGGCCAGAGCCCACTCCCTCAGCTTGCAGGGAGGTGTGGAGGGAGAGGCGCGAGCGGGAACCGGGGCTGCGCGCGGCGCTTACGAGCCAGCTGGAGTTCCGGGTGGGCGTGGGCTTGGCGGGCCCCACACTCGGAGCAGCCGGCCGGCCCTGCTGGCCCCGGGCAATGAGGGACTTAGCACCCGGGCCAGCGGCTGCGGAGGGTGTACTGGGTCCCCCAGCAGTGCCAGCCCACCGGCGCTGCGCTCGATTTCTCGCCGGGCCTTAGCTGCCTTCCCGCGGGGCAGGCCTCGGGACTGCAGCCCGCCATGCCTGAGCCTTCCCCGGCCTCCGTGGGTTCCTGTGCAGCCCGAGCCTCCCCGACGACTGCCGCCCCCTGCTCCACGGCGCCCAGTCCCATTGACCGCCCAAGGGCTGAGGATGCAGGCTCAGGGCACAGGACTGGCAGGCAGCTCCGCCTGCAGCCCCAGTGTGGGATCCACTGGGTGAAGCCAACTGGGCTCCTGAGTCTGGTGGGGACGTGGAGAGTCTTTATGTCTAGCTCAGGGTTTGTGAGTGCACCAATCGACACTCTGTATCTAGCTGCTCTGGTGGGGCCTTGGAGAACCTTTATGTCTAGCTCAGGGATTGTAAATACACCAATCGGCACTCTGTATCTAGCTCAAGGTTTGTAAACACACCAATCAGCACCCTGTGTTTAGCTCAAGGTTTGTGAGTGCACCAATCGACACTCTTATCTAGCTGCTCTGGTGGGGCCTTGGAGAACCTTTGTGTTGATACTCTGTATCTAACTAATCTGATGGGGATGTGGAGAACCTTTGTATCTAGCTCAGGGATTGTAAATGCACCAATCAGCACCCTGTCAAAACAGACCCCCTCGGCTCTACCAATCAGCAGGATGTGGGTGGGGCCAGATAAGAGAATAAAAGCAGGCTGCCTCAGCCAGCAGTGGCAACCCGCTCTGGTCCTCTTCCACACTGTGGAGGCTTTGTTTTTTTTGTTTGCAATAAATCTTGCTACTGCTCACTCTTTGGGTCCACAGTGCTTTTATGAGCTATAACACTTACCGCGAAGATCTGCAGCTTCACTCCTGAAGCTAGTGAGACCACGAGCCCACCGGGAGGAACGAACAACTCCAGATGCGCTGCCTTAAGAGCTGTAACACTCACTGCGAAGGTTTGCAGCTTCACTCCTGAGCCAGCGAGACCACGAACCCACCAGAAGGAAGAAACTCTGAACACATCCGAACATCATAAGGAACAAACTCCAGATGCGCCACCTTAAGAGCTGTAACACTCACCACGAGGGTCCGCGGCTTCATTCTTGAAGTCAGTGAGACCAAGAACCCACCAACTCTGGACACAATAGGGTTTCACTATGTTGCCCAGGCTGGTCTTGAACTTGTGGGTTCAAGTGATCCTTTCACCTTGGCCTCCCAAAGTGCTGGGACTGCAGATGTAAGCCATGGCACCAAGCCTTAAGTTTACATTTATTAAATGACAAGATGTTTAGCCCTTTAGTGGATCCTTCCTTTTTTTTTTTTTTTTTTTTTTTGCAAGAAGTCTTTTGAGCATTATTATTTTGAAGGTCAAGTAAGGTGTATTAGTGAGGTTCTTCCACAGAGACAGAATCAACAGGGAAGTGGGCTGGGTGCGGTGGCTCACACCTATAATCCCAGCACTTTGGGAGGCCGAGGCGGGTGGATCACTTGAGGTCAGGAGTTCGAGACCAGCCTGGCCAACATGGTAAAATCCTGTCTCTACTAAAAATACAAAAAATTAGCCAGGTAGGGTAGCAGTCGCCTGTAATCCCACCTACTCGGGAAGCGGAGGCAGGAGAATCACTTTAACCTGGGAGGTGGAGGTTGCCATGAGCCGAGACCGTGCCCCTGAATTCCCACCTGGGTAACAAGGGCAAAACTCCGTCTCAAAAAAAAAAAAAAAATCTGGGTGCGGTGGCTCACGCCTATAATCCCAACACTTTGGGATGCCGAGGTGGGCGAAATCACCTGAGGTCGGGAGTTCGAGACCAGCCTGACCAACATGGAGAAACCCTGTCTCTACTAAAAATACAAAATTAGCCAGGCATGGTGGCACATGCCTGTAATCCCAGCTACTCGGGAGACTGAGGCAGGAGAATCGCTTGAACCCAGGAGGTAGATGTTGCAGTGAGCTTAGATTGTGTCATTGCACTCCAGCCAGGGCAATAAGAGCGAAACTCCATATCAAAAAAACAAAACAAAACAAAAACCACACAATGGGGAATTGGTTCTTATGATCACAGAGGCGAAGTCTCATGATAAACCGCCTGCAAGCTGGAGAAATGGAGAAGCTGGGAGCCTGGCTCAGTGCAGGTCTGGCAGCCTCAGAACCAGGGAAGCTGATGGTACAGGCCCCAGTCTGAGGCTAAAGGCCTGAGAGCCCCCGGGAGGCCACTGGTGCAACAGAGTCCACATCTAGAGTCTGAAAACCAGAGACCCTGTCTGAGGACAGCAGGAGAAAAGGTGTCCTGGCCGGGCATGGTGGCTCATTTCTGTAATCCCAGCACTTTGGGAGGCCGAGGCGGGGGGATCACAAGGTCAAGAGATCAAGACCAGCCTGGCCAACATGGCAAAACCCTGTCTCTACTAAAAATACAAAAATTAGCTGGGCGTGGTGGTGCATGCCTGTAGTCCCAGCTACTCAGGAGGCTGAGGCAGGAGAATCGCTTGAACCCGGGAGGCGGAGGTTTCAGTGAGCCGAGATCATGCCAGTGCACTCCAGCCTGGCAACAGAGTGAGACTCCATCTCAAAAAAAAAAAAAAAAGAAAAAGAAAAGGTGTCCTGCTCCAGAAGGGAGGTAGAGCAGAGAGGGCCAGTGCCCCCACTTTCACCTGTTCATCCCAACTGGGCCCCCAACTAGTTAGACCTTCATTAAGAATGGGCCTCCCTCCCGCAGGCCACTGACTCACCCACTAATCTTCCTTGGAAACATCCTCACAGACACTCAGAAATAATGCTCCACCAACTAGCGGCCATCCCTCCATCCAGTCAAGTTGACACCTGAAACTAACCATCGTCCAAGTCTCTTGGGACTTCTTCTTTGCCTTGATTTCAAGCAACAAGCAACAGTTCAAATAACTACAACTAACAAAGTGAGCACATTCAGGAAAAGCTAGTCAAAAGAGAAGGGCTGGGCGCAATGGCTCATACCTGTAATCCCAGCACTTTGGAAGGCGGAGGCAGGTGGATCACTTGAGGCCAAGACCAGCCTGGCAAATGTGGCAAAACCTTGTCTCTATTAAAAATACAAAAATTAGCCGGGCATGGTGGCATGCGTCTGTAATCCCAGCTACTCAGGAGGTTGAGGTGGGAGGATTGCTTGAACCCTAGGTAGAGGTTGCGGTGAGCCGAGATGGCGCCACTGCACTCCAGCCTGGGCAATAGAGCGAGGCTCTGTCTCAAACAAACAAACAAACAAACAAACAAAAAGCAGAGAAGTAGGCCTAGCACAGTGGCTCATGCCTGTAATCCCAGTGCTTTGGGAGACCGAGGAGGGTGGATCACTTGAGGTCAGGAGTTCGAGACCAGCCTAACCAACATGGTGAAACTCTGTCTCTACTAAAAATACAAAAATCAGCCGGTCACAGTTGTGCATGCCTGTAATCCCAGCTACTCGGGAGGCTGAGGCAGGAGAATTGCTTGAACCTTGGAGGCAGAGGTTGCAGAGACCCAAGATCACGCCACTGCACTCCAGCCTGGGCATCAGAGAGAGACTGTCTCAAAAACAAACAAATGAAAACAAGAGAAGAGAAGGCGCTGTCACTCCCTCATAAGTGGGGAAGGGCCATCTCAGTGTGTCTGAGGCCTCTGTCATCAGGTTTCTCCCTCTTCCCGCGTGGCCTGGAAGAAGCTTCAGTCCCAGTGCTGGGAGCTTGCAACACTGTGACAGTGCCCCTACTTTGGCCTGGAATCACGTCAGCTCAATGTGGCCACCCCGGTGGGAGACCCCGCTGATAAGAAGCTCTTTGGCTGTTTTTGATGTGCTTAATTAATAATGTGGGTGAGAAGACAATGCAATGATTTCTTAATGTTTGTGGCATATAGGGCAGGGCTCTTATTCATACCCTGCTTGGGCTGTGCAAGTTGTACTGACTTACTGGAAAGATATAGGCTGGGTGCGGTGGCTCACGTCTGTAATCCCAGCACAATATAGGCTAGGTGCAGTGGCTCACGCCTGTAATCCCAGCACTTTAGGAAGCCGAGGCAGGCGGATCACCTGAGGTCAGGAGGAGTTCGAGACCAGCCTGACCAACACGAAGAAACCCCATCTCTACTAAAAATAGAAAAAAATTAGCCGGGTGTGGTGGCAGGTGCCTGTAATCCCAGCTACTCAGGAGGCTGAGGCAGGAGAATCACTTGAACCCGGGAGGCGGAGGCTGCGGTAAGCCAAGATTGAGCCATTGCACTCCAGCCTGGGCAACAAGAGCGAAACTCTGTCTAAAAAAAAAAAAAAAAAAAAGATATTTGACAGTATGTAGCTAAGGCATTAAAAGTGGGCTTAGCCCTTGATTCAGGAAGTCTGCCTCTGGGCCTGTCTCTGAGGAAATAATCAGAAGTTTGCAAAAAGCAATATACACAAAGATATTCATAGCAGTGTTAATAGTCTGATTGGAATCAAACACTTTACATAAACGCTTTTTTTTTTTTTTTTTTTTGAGACAGAGTCTTGCCCTGTCACCCAGGCTGGAGTGCAGTGAGTGCACAATCTCAGCTTACCACAACCTCCACCTCCCGGGTTCAAGCCATTCTCCTGCCTCAGCCTCCCGAGTAGCTGGGATTACAGGCGCCTGCCACCATGCCTAGCTAATATTTTGTATTTTTAGTAGAGACAGGGTTTCATCGTGTTGGCCAAGCTGGTCTGGAACTCCTGACCTCAGGTGATCTGCCTGCCTCGGCCTCCCAAAGTGCTGGGATTACAGGTGTGAGCCACCACATCCAGCCCATAAAGGCTTTATTTTTTATTTTATTTTATTTTATTTTTGATATGGCGTCTCCCTCTGTTGTCCAGGCTGGAGTGCGGTGGCATGATCTCAGCTCACTACAAGCTCTGCCTCCCGGGTTCATGCCATTCTCCTGGCTCAGCCTCCAGAGTAGCTGGGATTACAGGCGCCCGCCACCGTGCCCTGCTAATTTTTTTTTTTTTTTTTTTGTATTTTTAGTAGAGACGAGGTTTCACCGTGTTAGCCAGGATGGTCTCGATCTCCTGACCTCATGGGCCGCCTGCCTTGGCCTTCCAAAGTGCTGGGATTGCAGGCGTGAGCCACCGCACCTGGCCCATAAAGGCTTTTAAAATGATGTTTGTAGATAACTTTGAACAGCATGAAAAACACTTTAATTAAATGTAAAAGAACCTTCTTGGTTCTTAGCATGACAGAGGCGAAGTCCCACGATAAGGATCTGCAAGCTGGAGAGATGGAGAAGCTAGGAGCCTGGCAACCCATCTTATGGGATGAAGTTATATACATACCATGATTATAACCATTTTAACTGGAAATGTGGGCTAGAAAATGTCTGAAAAGATTTTTGGGACAATTCTGTGTGGGTCTCAAGGTTCTTTCTTTTCTTTTCTTTTTTTTTTTATTTCCATAGGTTTTTGGGGAATAGGTTACATGAGTTAGTTACACGAGTAAGTTCTTTAGTGGTGATTTGTGAGATTTGGTGCCCCCATCACCTGAGCAGTATATACTGAACCCAATTTGTAGTCTTTCTCTTACCCCCTTTCCACCCTTTCCCCCCGTATCCCCAAAGTCCATTGTATTCTTCTTGAACCTTTGCATCTTCATAGCTTAGCTCCCACTTATGAGTGAGAACATATGATGTTTGGTTTTCTATTCCTGAGTTACTTCACTTAGAATAATAGTCTCCAGTTCCATCCAGCTTGTTGCGTATGCCACTAATTCATTCCTTTTTATGGCTAAGTAGTATTCTATCATATATATATATACCACAGTTTTTTTATCCACTCATTGACTGATGGACATTTGGGCTGGTTCCACATTTTTGCAATTGTGAATTGTGCTGCTGTAAACATATGTGCCAGTATCTTTTTCGAATAATGACTTCTTTTCCTGTGGGTAGATACCCAGTAGTGGGATTGCTGGATCAAATGGTAGTTCTGCTTTTAGTTCTTTAAGTAAGCTCCACACTGTTTTCCATAGTGGTTGTACTAGTTTACATTCCCACCAGCAGTGTAGAAGTGTTCCCTTTTCACCACATTCATGCCAACATCTCTAATTTTTTTATTTTTTGATAATGGCCATTCTTGCAGGAAGAAGGTGGTACTGCATTGTGTTGTATTTTGTTTTGTTTTTTTGAGACAGAGTTTTGCTCTCATTGCCCAGGCTGGAGTGCAATGGTGCATTCTCAGCTTACTGCAACCTCCACCTCCCAGGTTCAAGTGGTTCTCCTCCGTCAGCCTCCCAAGTACCTGGGACTACAGGTGTGCACCACCACACCTAGCTAATTATTTATATTTTTAGTAGAGATGAGTTTTCACCATGTTGACCAGGCTGGTCTCAAACTCCTGACCTCAGTTGATCAGCCAGCCTCGGCCTCCCAAAGTGCTGTGATTACAGGCATGAGCCACCGCACCCGACCTGGTTCTATATGAATTTTAGGATTGTTTTTTCTAGTTCTGTGAAGAACGGTGATGGTATTTTGATGGGAATTGCATTGAATTTGTAGATTGCTTTTGCCAGTCTGGTCATTTTCACAATATTGATTCTACCCATCCATAAGCATGGGATATGTTTCCATTTGTTTGTGTTGTCTATGATTTCTTTCAGCAGTGTTTTGTAGTTTTCCTTGTAGAAGTCTTTCACATCCTTTGTTAGGTATATTCCTAAGTTGGTTTTTTTTTTATTTTTTTGTTTTTTTTTTTGTTTTTTGCAGCTATTGTAAAAGGGGTTGAGTTCTTGATTTCCCATGGGGATGATGTGGAAGTGATCCAGGAGCATGCCACACACTCAGTAGGTTTGCATCATAGCTGAGGAATCCCGAGCTAAGGAAGCCCTAAACTTTTATAATGGGCTGCAAGCAAACCTGCTGTGTGAGTCCGTTTCACACATTGCTATAAAGAACTACCTGAGGCTGGGCACGGTGGCTCATACCTGTAATCCCAGCACTTTGGGAGGCCAAGGTGGGTGGATCATGAGGTCAGGAGTTCAAGATCAGCCTGTCCAAGATGGTGAAACTCCATCTCTACTAAAAATACAAAAAAATTAGCTGGGCGTGGTTTCGGATGCCTGTAATCCCAGCTACTAGGGAGGCTGAGGCAGAGAATTGCTTGAACCTGGGAGGCGGAGGTTGCAGTGAGCTGAGATTGCGCCACTGCACTCCAGCCTGGGTGACAGAGTGAAACTCTGGCTCAAAAAAAAAAAAAAAAAAAAAAAAAAAAAAAAGAACTACCTGAGACTGGGTAATTTATAAAGAAAGGAGGTTTAATTGACTCACAGTTTCACAGGCTGTATAGGAAGCATGGCTGGGGAGGCCTCAGGAAACTTACCACCATATGTTTCAGGTGGGGGTGACCCCTCCAACACCAGTAGCTGACCAGTCAGAACAGTCCAGCCTACTGCTTATAGCGATTTTTTTTTTTTTTTTAGTAAAGACAGGATTTCACCATGTTGGCCAGGCTGGTCTTGAACTCCTGACCTCAAGTGATCTGCCTGCCTTGGCCTCCCAAAGTGTTGGGATTATAAGTGTCAACCGCTGCATCCAGCCTCTCTTCCATCTTTAAGGATCTTTGTGATTACATTGGCTTCACCCAAATAATCTAGAACAAATGAGCAATCTCCTATTTGAACTTCAGTTTAGTAGCAACCCTAATTTAATCTGCAGCCTTAATTCTGTTTACCACATAACCTAATATGTTCACAGGTTCCTGAGGTTAGGGCATGGGGAGGAACCCCACAGGTATCTCGGCAACCACATGCACTCCTGAAGCAGCAGGGGCTGCAGCCTCCATGAGTTTGGGTCCAGGTGAATTTACACTCTTCTTTTTTCACTCCTGAAATAAATCTGCTTTAGTCAATAGCTTCAATATAAATTCAGGAGAGAACACTCAAAAAGGGATTGGACCCCTATCTTCAGCCTCCTTAAACAAAACAATTATCAGCCAAGAATTTTGTATCCAGCAAAACTAAGTTTCATAAATGAAGGAAAGATAGTGTTTTTCAGACAACTTATAGGCAGAAGAACACTGGGCTCTGACTTAGCTATGAATTTTCCATGGAAATACAGTTGTCCCTCAGGATTGGTTCCAGGACCCCCGGCAGAAACCAAAATCTACAATGCTCAAATCCCTGATATAACATGATTATATTTGCATATAACCTCCTGTATATGTTAAATCATCTCTAGGTTACTCATAACGCTTAACACAATGTAAATGCTATGTAAATAGTTGTTCAACTATGGCTGGGCAAGGTGGCTCATGCCTGTAATCCCAACACTTTGGGAGTCTGAAACTAGTGGATTGCTTGAGCCCAGGAGTTCAAGACAGCCTGGGCAACAGGGCAAAACCCCATCTCTACAAATAAATACAAAAATTAGCCAGGCATGGTAGCACATGGCTGTAAGTCTCAGCTACTTAAGAGGCTGAGGTGGAGGATTGATTGAGCCCAGGGGTGGAGGCTACAGTGAGCGGTGATCGTGTCACTGCCCTCCAGCCTGGGCAACAGAAGGAGACCCCGCCTCAAAAAGAAAAAAAAAAAAAGTTGTTATACTGTATTGTTTGGGGAATAATAACAAGATTTAGAAGTCAGGACTGGGTGTGGTGGCTCATGCTTGTAATCCCAGCACTTGGGGAGGCTGAGACAGGTTTATCACTTGAGGTCAGGAATTCGACACCAGCCTGGCCAACATGGTGAAATCCCATCTCTACTAAAAATACAAAAAATTAGCTGGGCGTGGTGGTGCAAGATTTTGCGCCCAGCTACTCGGGAGGCTGAAGCAGGAGAACTGCTTGAACCTAAGAGGCGGAGGTTGCAGTGAGCCAAGATGGTGCCATTGCACTCCAGCCTGGATGACAGAGTGAGACTTCATCTCAAAAAATAAAAAATAAAAAACAAAGTCAGTACGTGTTCAGTACAGATGCAGTCATCCATTTTCACTCTGAATATTTGCAGTCCACACTTGGATGAATCCATGGATGAGGAACCTACAGATGTGGAGGGATGAACCATACACTTTTTCAGTGTTCTCTGCCTTCTAGCTTGTAGGGTTTCTGCTGAGAAATCTGCTGTGAATCTGATAGGTTTTCCCTTATAGGTTACCTGGTTTGTTTGTTTGTTTGTTTGTTTGTTTGAGACGGAGTCTCACTCTGTCACCCAGGCTGGAGTGCAATGGTGCCATCTCGGCTCACTGCAAGCTCCGCCTCCCAGGTTCACACCATTCTCCTGCCTCAGCCTCCCAAGTAGCTGGGACTACAGGCGCCCGCCACCACGCCCGGCTAATTTTTTTGTATTTTTAGTAGAGACGGGGTTTCACCAGCCAGGATGGTCTCGATCTCCTGACCTCGTGATCTGCCCACCTCGGCCTCCCAAGGCCGTGCTGGGATTACAGGCGTGAGCCACCGCGCCCGGCCAGGTTACCTGGTGCTTTTGCCTCACAGCTCTTAAGATTCTTCCCATCATCCTGACTTTAGATAACCTGACAACAATGTGCCTAAGTGATGATGTTTTTTCGATGAATCTCCCAGGTGTTCTTTGAGCATCTTGTATTTGTTTTTGTTGTTGCTGTTTGAGAAGAAGTCTCGCTCTGTCACCCAGGCTAGAGTGCAGTGGTGCAATCTCGGCTCTCTGCAGCCTCCCAGGTTCAAGCGATTCTCCTGTCTCAGCCTCCTGAGTAGCTGGGATTATAGGTGCCTGCCACCATGCCTGGCTGATTTTTGTATTTTTGATAGAGACAGGGTTTCACCATGTTGGCCGGGCTGGTCTCAAACTCCTGACTTCAGGTGATCCACCTGCCTCAGCCTCCCAAAGTGTTGAGATTACAGGCATGAGCCACTTTGCCTGGCCTGAAATCCACCTTGAGCACGTCGCTTGCTACCTCGGAGCGCAATCCCCCTTAGGTGTCAGTGGAGTTCTGGGCCCACAGCAAGGCGGGGAGGTGCGGAGGAACTGGGTACAAACCAGGCCAGGCTCCCTAGACAATAGCCCCAGCTTGGCCACTGAGTCTGTTCCTCTCCCAGGCTGGGGTCAGCCCATCTGACTTGGGCGAAGGTCTACACATCTCTGCTTCCTCGCTGTGATCTCCCAGATAACCGCCCGTGAAGAAGTCTGTGCCCTCGGCCCTAAGCTGTGAACCTGCTGCCTTCCATGGCAAAAGGGACTGTGGAGGTGTGAGTCAGTTCATGACCTTGACTGGGGAGGTGATCCTGGGTTACTTAGGTGGCCCAGCGGAATGGCATGAACCCCAGAAGAGGAGGACAAAGGCAGAAGAGCCCGTCTGAGAGAAGTGACGGCAGAGGAGGAGGCAGGGAGGTGCCGTGTGCTCATCAGCCATCATCGGCTTTGCAAGCTGGTAGGGGGCTGCCCGTAGACGCTGAGACTGGTCCCCACTGACCCCAGCAAGGTGACAACACCTCAGTCCCATACTGCAAGGATCTGCATTCTGCAGACAATGCAAATGAGCACAGAAAAGGGATTCTCCACTGGCCCCCATTACGGAACTGCAGGGTTATACATTGTGCCGTTGTCAGCCTCTAACTTTGTAGAAGTTTGTGATGGCAGCAAAGAAAACAAATGGACTCTGCGAACTCCCTTTCCCTGGGGAGGAGGGGCTGGTCCTCATCCGGTCCTGGGGTGGCCCCGGGCCCCGCTCTCCTGAATGGATGTGCAAGGCCATTTCTCTGTGGTCTCTGTCTGGAACGTGGGCGCAGACGGGAGCTTGGGAAGTCCAAGCTTACTTGGCTTTGTGCCCAAACCAAGCTCTGGATATGAGTGCACTTGTTTAAAAAAAAAAAAAAAAAAAAAGGCAAGCACTGACCCACTTTTTCCTGACTGCTCTGGCTCAGACACTTCCCTCTAAAAGGACATTTATTTCAAGAACACGCTGTTCCCAGGGCTGACATCCCCCACCTCCACTGGAAGCAGAAGCACTAACAAGAGACTGCAAGATCTGGCGTCCGGTATCTGATAATGGAGCAAATGTTCCACCGAAAGCTGGGCCTGATGGCTGCATCCGCCTGGCGCTGGAGGGGCTGGGAGTTTGGCCTGAGCAAACTCAGTTGCTTAAAACAACACAAATTTATTTATTTTTTTAATTTTATCTTTTTAAGTCCCAGGCTACATACGCAGGCTGTGCAGGTTTGTTGCATAGGTAAATGTGTGTCACGGTGGTTTGCTGCACCTATCAACCCATCATCTAGGTTTAAGCACAGCATGCCTTAGCTGTTTTTTCTAATGTTCTGCCCCCACCCCCCACCAGGACCCCAGTGTGTGTGGTTCTCCTCCCTGAGCCCACGTGTTCTCGTTGTTCAGCTCCCACTTATAAGTGAGAACATGCAGTGTTTAGTTTTCTGTTCCTGTGTTAGTTTGCTGAGGATAATGGCTTCTAGCTCCATCCATGTCCCTGAAAAGACATGATCTTGTTCCTTTTTCTTTTTTTTGAGACAGTTTCCCTCTCGTTGCCCAGGCTGGAGTGCAATGGCCCGATCTCAGCTCACTGCCTCCCAGGTTCAAGCGATTCTCCTGCCTCAGTCTCCTGTGTAGCTGGGATAACAGGCATGCACCACCACACCCAGCTAATTTTGTATTTTTAGTAGAGGTGGAGTTTCACCGTGTTAATCGGGCTGGTCCCGAACTCCTGATCTCAGGTGATCCACCCACCTCTGCCTCCTGAAGTGCTGGGATTATAGGCATGAGCCACCACGCTTGGCCTTATTCCTTTTTATGGCTGCATATTATTCCACAGTGTATGATATGGTTTGACTCTGTGTCCCCACCCAAACCTCATCTAGAATTGTACTCCCATAATTCCCACATGTTGTAGGAGGAAACTGGTGGGAGAGAATTTGAATCATGGGTGCGGTTCCCCCATATTGTTCTTATGATAGTTAATAAGTCTCATGAGATCTGATGGTTTTATCAGGGGTTTCCGCTTTTGCATCTTCCTCATCTTCTCTTGCCACCACTATGTAAGAAGTGCCTTTCACCTCCTGCCATGATTCTGAGGCCTCCCCAGCCATGTGGAACTGTAACTCCAATTAAACCTCTTTTTCTTCCCAGTCTCGGGTATGTCTTTATTAGCAGCGTGAAAACCCACTAGTACAGTAAATTGGTACCAGCAGAGTGGGGCGTTGCTGAAAAGATACCTGAAAATGTAGAAGCAACTTTGGAACTGGGTGACAGGCAGAGGTTAGAACAGTCTGGAGGGCAAAGAAGAAGACAGGAAAATGTGGGAAAAGTTTGGAACTTCCTAGAGACTTGTTGAATGGCTTTGCCCAAAATGCTGATAGCAATGTGGACAATAAGGTCCAGGCTGAGGTGATCTAAGATGGAGATGAGAAACTTGGGAACTAGAGCAAAGGTGACTCTTGTTATGTTTTAGCCAAGAGACTGGCAGCATTTTGCCCCTGCCCTAGGGATTTGTGGAACTTTGAACTTGAGAGGGATGATTTAGGGTGTCTGGTGGAGGAAATTTCTAAGCAGCAAAGCATTCGAGAGCTGACTTGGGTGTTGTTAAAAGCATTCAGGTTTTTTTTTTGTTTTTTTTTAGCGGAGTCTTGCTCTGTTGCCCAGGCTGGAGTGCAGTGGTGCGACCTTGGCTCACTGCAACCTCTGCCTCCTGGGTTCAAGCAATTCTCCTCCCTCAGCCTCCAGAGTAGCTGGGACTACAGACGTGCGACACCACACCCGGCTAATTTTTGTATTTTTAGTAGAGATGTGGTTTCACCATGTCAGCCAGGCTGGTCTGGAACTCCTGACCTCAGGCAATCCACCCACCTCAGCCTCCCAAAGTGCTGAGATTACAGGTGTGGGCCACCATGCCCAGCCTAAAAGCATTCAGTTTGAAAAGGGAAACAGAGTACTAAAGTTTGAAAAATTTGCAGCCTGACAATGCAATAGAAAAGAAAATCCCATTTTCTGAGGAGAAATTCAAGCCAGCTATAGTAATTTGCATAAGTAACAAGGAGCCAAATGTTAATGCCCAAGACAATGGGGAAAATGTCTCCAGGGCATGTCAGAGGACTTCACTGCAGCTCCTCCATCACAGGCCCAGAGGCCTAGGAGGAAAAAGTGGTTTCATGGGCTGGGCTCAGGGTCCCCGAGTTGTGTGCAGCCTAGGGATTTGGTGCCCTTCATCCCAGCCACTCTGGCTGTGGCTGAAAGGGGCCAACATAGAGCTTGGGCCGTGGCTTCCGAGGGTGCAAGCCCCAATCCTTAACAGCTTCCATGTGGTGTTGAGCCTGCAGGTGTCCAGAAGTCAAGAATTGAGGTTTGGGAACCTCCACCTAGATTTCAGAAGATGTATGGAAATGCCTGGATGCCCAGGCAGAAGTTTGCTGCAGGGTGGGACTCTCATGGAGAGCCTCTGCTAGGGTAGTGCAGAAGGGAAACGTGGGGTCAGAGCCCCCACACAGAGTTCCTACTGGGGCACTACCTAGTGGAGCTGTGAGAAGAGGGCGCCTGTCGTCCAGACCCCAGAATGGTAGATCCGCTGACAGCTTGCACCATGTGCCTGGAAAAGGCACAGACACTGAACGCCAGCCAGGGAAAGCAGCCAGGAGGGAGGCTGTACCCTGCAAAGCCACAAGGGCAGAGCTGCCCAAGACCATGGGAACCCACCTCTTGCGTCAGCATGACCTGGATGTGAGATCTGGAGTCAAAGGAGATCATTTTGGAGTTTTAAGATTTGACTGCCCTGCTGGATTTCGGACTTCCATGGGCCCTGTAACCCCTTTGCTTTGACCAATTTCTCCCATTTGGAATAGCTGTATTTTCCCAATAACCTGTGCCCCCACTGTATCTAGGAAGTAACTAGCTCGCTTTTGATTTTACAGGTTCATAGGCAGAAGGGACTTGCCTTGTCTCAGATGAGACTTTGGACTGTGGACTTTTGAGTTAATGCTGTGGACTTTTGAGTTAATGCTGAAATGAGTTAAGACTTTGGGGGACTGTTGGGAAGGCATGTTTGGTTTTGAAATGTGAGGACATGAGATTTGGAGGGGCCAGAGGTGTAATGATATGGTTTGACTCTGTCCCCACCCAAATCTCATCTCGAATTGTACTCCCATAATTCCAACATGTTGTGGGAGGAAGCCAGTGGGAGATAATTTGAATCATGGGGGCAGTTCCCCCATACTGTTCTTGTGGTAGTGAGTAAGTCTTATGAGATCTGATGGTTTTATCAGGGGTTTCTGCTTTTGTATCTTCCTCATTTTTCCCCTGCCACCGCCATGTAAGAAGTCCTTTCACCTCCTGCCATGATTCTGAGGCCTCCTCAGTCATGTGGAACTGTAAGTCCAAATAAACCTCTTTTTCTTCCCAGTCTCAGGCATGTCTTTATCAGCAGCATGAAAATGGACTAATACAGTGTATATGGACCACATTTTCTTCATCCAGTCTATCACTGATGGGCATTTGGGTCGGTTCCATGTCTTTGCTATTGTGAATAGTGCTGCAATGAACACATGCATGCAAGTATCTTTATAATAGAATTTATATTCCTTTGGGTATATACCCAGTAATGGGATTGCTGGGTCAAATGGTATTTCTGGTTCTAAATCTTTGAGGAATTGCAATGCTGTCTTCCACAATTGTTGAACTAGTTTACATTCTCAACAACAATGTAAAAGCGTTCCTGTTTCTCTGCAACCTCATCAGCATCTGTTGTTCTTGACTTTTTAATAATCGCCATTCTGACTGGCATGAGATGGTGTCTCATTGTGGTTTTTATTTGCATTTCTCTATGATCAGTGATGTTGAGCTTGTTTTTGGAACAAACTAGAGAACTCAGAAATATAACCACATATCTACAACCATCTGATCTTTGACAAACCTAACAAAAATAAGCAATGGGGAATGGATTTCCTATTTAATAAATGGTGCTGGGAGAACTGGCTAGCCATATGCAGAAAATTGAAACTGGACCCCTTCCTTACATCTTATACAAAAATTAACTCGAGATGGATTAAAGACTTAAATGTAAAACCCAAAACTATAAAAACCTTAGAAGAAAATCTAGGCAATACCATTCCAGACATACGCATAGGCAAAGATTTTATAATGAAATCACCAAAAGCAATTGCAACAAAAGCAAAAATTTGGCCGGGTACAGTGGCTCATGCCTGTAATCCCAGCACTTTGGGAGGCTGAGGTGGGTGGATCACGAGGTCAGGAGTTCGAGACCAGCCTGGCCAACATGGTGAAGCCCCATCTCTACTAAAAATACAAAAATTAGCCAGGCGTGGTGGCACACGCCTGTAATCCTAGCTACTCAGGAGGCTGAGGCAGAAGAATTGCTTGAACCTGGGAGGCAGAGATTGCAGTGAGCTGAGATCACACCACTGCACTCCAGCCTGGGGGACACAGCAAGACTCCGTCTCAGAAAAAAAAGAAAAAAAAAGCAAAACTTGACAAATGAGATCTAATTAAACTAAAGAGCTTCTGCACAGCAAAAGAAACTATCATCAGAGTGAACAGACAACCTACAGAATGGAAGAAAATTTTTGCAATCTATCCATCTGGCAAAGGTCTTATATCCAGAATCTACAAGGAACTTAAGCAAATTGACAAGAAAAAAACCAAACAACCCCATTAAAAAGTGGGCAAAGGACTTTTTACTTTAAAGGACTGTTCACTTTAAGTGAACAGACACTTAAAGATATACATGTGGCCAGCAGAAGTTTATTATCTTAACTTTCTGGAGGTCAAAGTCCTGAGATCAGAATGTCACCAGGGCTGCCTTCCTGGTGGATGCTGCAGAGGAGACGCCAGCTTCCTGTTCTTTCCAGCTTCCAGAGGGGCCTGCGTTCATTGCCTCCAGCCCCCTCCTCCATCTTATGTTATTTTAATTTAACTTTCTGAGATGGAGTCTTACTTTGTTGCCCAGGCTGGATTGCAGTGGCACACTCCCAGCTCACTGCAGCCTCTGCCTCCCAGGTTCGAGTGATTCTCCTGCGTCAGCCTCCCGAGTAGCTGGGATAACATGCATGCACCACCATACCCGGTTAATTTTTTTTTTTTTTTTGTAGAGACGGGTTTCACCATGTTCGCCAGGCTGGTCTTGAACTCCTGACCTCAAGTGATCCACCCGCCTCAGCCCCTCAAAGCGCTGGGATTTCAGGTGTCAGCCACCGCCTCCTCCATCTTAAAGCCAGCAGCATAGCATCCTCAGAGCTCCTTCTCTGACCCCGGCTTCTGTCATCTCATCCCCTTCTCTGACTCTTCTCTCCTGCCTCCATTTTCAAAGGACCTTTGTGATTACATTGGGCCCATGAGGATCCTCCAGGGTCATCTCTCATTGCAGCATCCCGAACTGAATCTCATCTGGATGGATGACAAAGTACTTATCCATGATCAAGGCGTCGGCAGGGCTGGTTTCTCCTGAGGCCTCACTCCTTGGCATGTAGACAGTCACCTTCTTCCTGTGTCTTCACATGGTTTTGGTCTTGCCACTGTGTATGCCTGTATCCTAATCTTTTTTTCTTTTTCAGAAACAGGGTCTTGCTCTGTCACCCAGGCTGGAGTGCATTGGCATGATCATAGCTCAATGCAGCCCTAAGCTCCAGGCTCAAGTGACCCTCCCACCTCAATCTCCCACATAGCTGGGATTATAGGCATGTGCCACCACACTTGGCTAATTATTTTTATTTTTATAGAGACAGCGTCTCTGTATGTTGCCCAGGCTGATCTCAAGCAATCCATTCACCTCAGCCTCCCAAAGGGCTGGGATTACAGGTGTGAGCCCTAGTCTGCTCCTTTCCTAATGACACCAGGCATATTTGCCTAGTGCCCACCCTAACAACCCCATCTTAATTAATCACCACTTTAAAGGCCATATCTCCAAACACAATAACATTCAGAGGGACTGGGGGTTAGGGCTTCAGCGTATGAATTTAGAGAGGACAGAATTCCGTTTATAACACATGGATGAGTCCTGTGAACACCCTTTGTTTTATTGTTTCCCTGAAAAGGCTGCAGGGCTCCCCGCAGTGGGGACTGTGTCCACCTGACTCACTGTTGGGTACCCAGCTGGGACCCAGGGCCTGACACGACTTTCCCAGGGACTGAGTGGACAAGCTAACCCCTGCACTCATCCTTTTTAGGAAATGGGAACTCTCTTTATCAGAATGGGCCTGCCCTGGCTGTGCTGATCTCTTGGGGAAGCTGACTGAGACGGATGCATTTCCAGGGGAACCAAGAAGGAGACCTATGGGGTCAGGTATCTGATTTTTTGCACCTTGGATGAGTTTTGTCTGTTCTTGTACTTTGCGTAAACAGACCCACATGGCATGAACTCCACGGTTTGCAGCTTTCTTTGCTCAGCTTCCCTTGGGGAGAGTCATCCATGCCATTGCGCGTATCAGTGGTTTATGTTTATTGCTTAGTAGTATTGTTCTGAGGATAAATACAATGTATATAGGAATATACAACAGTTTATTTATCAGTCTTCTCATTGACAGACAACTTGAGTTATGTCCAATTTTTGGCAATTTTATTTTTTAATTAATTATTTATTTATTTTGTTTATTTATTTATTTATTTTTGAGAAGGAGTCTTGCTGTGTCACCCAGGCCGGAGTGCAATGGTGCGATCTCAGCTCACTGCAACCTCTGTTTCCTGGGTTCAAGCCATTCTCCTGCCTCAGCCTCCCAGAGTGCTGGGACTACAGGCAGTTGCCACCACACCTGGCTAATTTTTTTTTTTTTTTTTTGAGACAGAGTGTCACTCTGTCGCCCAGGCTGGAGTGCAGTGGTGTGATCTTGGCTCACTGCAAGCTCCACCTCCCGGGTTCATGCCATTCTCCTGCCTCAGCCTCCCAAGTAGCTGGGACTACAGGCACCTGCCACCACGCCTGGCTAGTTTTCTGTATTTTTTAGTAGAGATGGGGTTTCACCCTGTTAGCCAGGATGGTCTCGATCTCCTGACCTCGTGATCCGCCTGCCTCGGCCTCCCAAAGTGCTGGGATTACAGGCCTGAGCCACCGCGCCTGGCAGCAATTTTAAATAAAGCTGCTGTCATCATTCTTGGACAAGTATTTTGGTGAACATATGGTTGTTTTGATTTATTTTGGATAAATACCTAGACACTGAATGGCTGGGGCAAAAAGTAAGCATATGTTTAATTTTATAAAAAATCGCCAGACCTTGTTCCAAAGTACTTGTACATCTTACATTCCCACCAGCAATGCATGAGAATTCCAGTGTCTCCCTAACACTTGGTGTCATGAGTCTTTGAATTTTAGCTTTTTTTTTTTTTTTTTTTTTTTGATAGGGTCTCACTCTGTTACCCAGGCTGGAGGAGTACAGTCACACAATCATAGCTCACTTGCAGCCTCGACCTCCCAAGCCAGAGAGCCTCCTACCTCAGCCTCCTGAGTAGCTGGAACTATGGGCATGCTTTATCACACCTGGCTAATTTGTTGATTTTTTGTAGAGACGGGGTCTCACCACACTGCTCAGGCTGGTCTGAAACTCCTGGGCTCAAGTGATTCTCCTGTCTTGGCCTCCCAGAGTGCTGGGATTACAGGTGTAAGCCACCCTGCCAGGCCTAATTTCAGCCATTCTGATCCATGTGTGCACATCTCAGCGGTGAGCCCAGTAGCTCATACACAACTTTTTGGGTTACCTCTCCCTAGCTCCTTTCTGTCCATTCTCTGTCTCCTCAACTGGGTGACACTGGTGGCCTTTGTTTGAGTTCCCGCCCTCTGTACCATGGATCAGATATAGACTCCAGGCAGAAAGCCCAGTGAGCACAAAGCTCCACTTGTTTATTTCTCATTTGTTTGTTTCTCAGGGAACAGTCCTGAGCTGCCTGTTGTCGAGTCTGAAAACAGTTCCCTTTTCTGCCCCCTACCCCCGGTTTTCTATTTGTTTACGGTGAAAACATGTCTAGATGCTACAATCCCCTCTATATTTGTTTTTCACTTTTTAAAAATTGGCTTTGGCCAGGCGCGGTGGCTCACGCCTGTAATCCCAGCACTTTGGGAGGCCAAGGTGGGCGGATCACCTGAGGTCAGGAGTTTGAGACCAGCCTGGCCAACATGGGGAAACCCCGTCTCTACTAAAAATACAAAAATACAAAAACATTAGCCAGGCATGGTGGCATATGCCTGCAATCCCAGCTACTTGGGAGGCTGAGGCAGAAGAGTCGCTTGAACCCAGGAGGCAGAGGCTGCAGTGAGCCGAGATTGTGCCACTGCATTCCAGCCTGGGCGACAGAGCAAGATTCTTTTTTTTTTTTTTTTTTTTTGAGACGGAGTCTCGCTCTGTCGCCCAGGCTGGAGTGCAGTGGCGCGATCTCGGCTCACTGCAAGCTCCACCTCCCAGGTTCACGCCATTCTCCTGCCTCAGCCTCCCGAGTAGCTGGGACTACAGGTGCCCGCCACCACGCCCGGCTAATTTTTTGTATTTTTAGTAGAGACGGGGTTTCACCATGTTAGCCAGGATGGTCTCAATCTCCTGACCTCGTGATTCGCCTGCCTCGGCCTCCCAAAGTGTTGGGAATACAGGCGTGAGCCACCACACCCAGCGCAAGATTCTGTCTCAAAAAAAAAAAAAAGTTTGAGAGCAAGTGAAAAAAAAAGGTTTGAGAGCAAGTAAATGAGGATGGGACGGAAGAGTGACATCCAGAAAACAAGTAGTTTAGCAAGGCTGAACCATGGTATGAGGTTGGGAACTGCAGCCAGTGAGGATGGACTGGTAGGCAGGAAGCGCTTTGTTTTGAACAGGTTTATTGAGATAGAAGACACCTGTTAGAAAATTCACCCATTTAGAGTATGATTCATTGGCTTTTAGTATGTTCAGAGTGTTGCATCCCACCATCAGGAAGCCTTATAAGGTCCTATTGAGGTTTGCCTTCCTGGGGCCCCTGAACTGGCTTATGGGGATATGTGGGTGCATAAAGACTGATGGCAAAGCTGGAGCAGGGTGGGTCCAGGCAGAAAAGAGGAAAGGCAGTACTCTTTGTCCCGAGCTAGGCAGAGCTGGAGCAGGTTTCCTGTGGATTGTGAGGGATGGGGAGGAGGCCCCTCAAGTCCACTCCCCACCACAGGCCACAACTCCTATGTATTTTTTTTTGAGACAGAGTCTCGCTCTGTTGCTCAGGCTGGAGTGTAGTGGCATGATCTCAACCCACTGCAGCCTCTGCCTCCTGAGTTCAAGCAATTCCCCTGCCTCAGCCTCCTGAGTAGCTGGGGTTACAGTTGCCCGCCACCACGCTTGGCTAATTTTTGTGTTTAGTAGAGACAGGGTTTCACCATGTTGGCTAGGCTGGTCTTGAACTCCTGACCTAAGGTGATCCACCCGCCTCGGCCTCCCAAAGAGCTGGGATTACAGGCATGGGCCACCGCACCAGGTCAGGACTGTGTCTTAATAGTCAAAGCAAAGGGGACCATAAAGCACCAGGAATGTGGGGCTGGACCGACTGAGGCTCTCAGAAGCTTCTCATTTGCCAGGCACCCCAGAGCTTCCTTGGGGAGTGCTCTGAGAGGAACACTTCTAAAGAGGATCTCAGTTTTCTTAGTTGAGAGTGGTACTTTTTGAAGTGGGAGGGAGAAGGCCTGCAGCTTATTGACAGGAATGGGAAACAATGCCTCAGCCGGGCACGGTGGCTCATGCCTGTAATCCCAGCACTTTGGGAGGCCAAGGTGGGTGGATCATCTGAGGTCAGGAGTTCGAGATCAGCCTGGGTAACATAGTAAAACCCTGTCTCTACTAAAAATACAAAAAATTAGCCTGACGTGGTGGCAGGCGCCTATAATCCCAGCTACTTGGGAGGCCAAGGCAGGAGGATCACTTGAACCCGGGAGGCAGAGGTTGCAGTGAGCCAAGATAGCGCCATTGCACTCCAGCCTAGGCAACAAGAGCGAAACTCCATCTCAAAAAAACAACACAAAACAAAAAACCTCAGAGATCAGCGGAGGCAGAATTGAACCAGGCAACTTGTGTGGAACGAATTCTCGTAGCTGCTGGATGGTGATGTGGATGAAAGGAGGATGAGAGGAACCGGTCTGTGTGCACAGGCTGTGCTTCCCTCTCCCAGCCCGTGGGGAGTAGCTGCTTTCCAGACCCGGCTGTGCTTTGGAAAACACACATCTCAAGGCCACGCCCCCAGTGTTTTCATTCAGTAGTTCTGAGTCAGGCCAGGAAAATCATGGGGTATTTTTAACGGCTTGGACTTTCTCTGGAATCCTCTTTTTAATAATTTCTGAAACGACTTCAAACTTAAGTCGCAAGTACAGTACAAATAACTCATTTTCTTGAATTGGTTTAGAGTAAGTAGCTGAGGGATACCCCAGCGCCCCTGGAGAGCTGACTGTGTCTTTTCCACAAACAAGGATATTCTGCATAACCACAACACAGCCCTCAAGGTCAGGACAGTAACATCCATACGTGGCTGCCACAGGATCCTCAGGCTCTATTCAAGTTTCACCAGTTGTTCCAATTATATATAATATAAACATATAATATAAGGCAGCCACTTATATTTGTTCTATTAGCATATCTATGTTATATATATATATATATATATATATATATTTTTTTTTTTTTTTTTTTTTTTTTGAGACAGAGTCTCACTCACTCTGTTGCCCAGGCTGAAGTGCAGTGGTGAAATCTCAGCTCACTGCAACCTCTGCCTCCCGGGTTCAAGTGATTCTCCTGCCTCAGTCTCCCAAGTAGCTGGGATTATAGGCACCTGCCACAATGCCCGGCTAATTTTTTTTTTTTGTATTTTTAGTACAGATGGGGTTTTGCCATGTTGGCCAGGCTGGTCTTGAACTCCTGACCTAAGGTGATCCACCTGCCTCTGCCTCCCAAAGTTCTAGGATTACAGGCAAGAACCACCACACCTGGCCACAATAGTATATTTTTGTAGCAAAATGATCCAGTTCAGAATCACGCATAATACTTAGTTGTCACGTCTCTTTAGTCTTCTTTAACCTGGAAAGGTTTCTCAGGCTTTCCTTGATTTTCATGACCTCAGTGCTTTTGAAGGTCACAGGCTAGTGGTCGTGCAGAATGTCCCCATTTTGGTTTGTCTGTGGTTTCATCAAGATTAGACGCAGGGCATGCGTCCTTGGCGGGAACACCACAGGCATGTTGCTGGGCTCTCCTAGTTCCATCCTGTCAGGATATTTCCAGCCACTTATATTTGTCCTATTCGCACTGATGTTCAGTTTGATCTGAATCCTCTTTACCTGGTTCAGAAAAAGAAGGAAAGGGGCTGGGCATGGTGACTCCTGCCTATGATCCCAGTACTTTGGGAGGCTGAGGCCAGAGGATTGCTTGAGCCCAGGAGTTTGAGACTAGCCTGGGCAACATGGCAAAACCCTGTCTCTACCAAACAAAAATTAGCCGTGCCACGTGATGGCATGTGCTTGTAGTCCCAGCTACTTGATGTGATGAGGTTGGAGGATTGCCTGAACTTGGGAGTTGAGGCTGCAGTGAGCTGAGATTGCACCACTGCCCTCCGGGTGACAGATCAAGATTCTATCTAAAAAAAAAAAAAAAAAAAAAAAGAAGAAGAAGAAGAAATTGCAAAGGTATGGGTAATTGTGATTTTAAAAACTCCCAAACCCTCCATTTGATTTGTGTTCTTTGAAAAAATTTGCATAATCCCTGTAGCCTCAGTCTTTCCTTTAAAACTTTTGCTTTAACTCTGTTGTATTTAGGACATACAAAAGGTATAAAGAGGCCAGGCATAGTGACTTACGCCTGTAATCCCAACACTTTGGGAAGCAGGGGCGGGTGGATCACCTGAGGTCAGGAGTTCGAGACCAGCCTGACCAACATGGTGAAAATCCATCTCTACTAAAAAACAAAATACAAAAATTAGCCGGGTGTGGTGGCAGATGCCTGTAATCCCAGCTACTTGGGAGACTGAGGCAGGAGAATCCCTTGAACCATGGGGTCAGGGGTTGCAGTGAGCCGAGATCGTACAAAAACCAAAAGGTATAAAACCACGCATCAAAACCAAAAGGTATAAAGAATAAGGCAACTTGAATTATAATACAATAACTTGATATGTAATATACAACATATATTTCCAGTTGGATTACTAGATATTGTCTGTAACATATAAAATATATAATACAATATGATGTAATATATAATAACTTGAATTCTTAAGTAACCCAGTTCGAGAATAAGCCACTGCCAATTTAGTTAAATCTCGCTTGTGAATTCCCCCCCAGCTTCAGCCTACTCTCGATTTGCCCAGAACTCACTGACCTAAGCTCCACTGACAAAGTGACAGAAAAAATCCTGGGTTTCAGAAGCAATTTGAGGCAATTAGATGCAAATTCAGCCCAGATGAGGACGTTTGTTTTTCTAGTGTGGCTACCTAGCTTGTTCCGGCACCTGGTGGTCACACATGGAACTGCAGCTTCTCATACGTGATCCTTTTCGAATTTTTTTCCTTTCGAATCCTTTCTTTTCTTGAACTTTATTTTGTAACGTAAAATCTGATTTGCTTAAGTTGGACTTATCATAATTTTCTTTTAAAAGCTTTCTGGTTCTAACAGTGACTGCCCTGCATCGGTGAAAACACTTGGTTAAGCATTAACTGCTCAATTATCACAATTAATCTTTTGATATAATTTCTTGGTGTGTATGTGTGTTTGTGTACATAATTTTCCATTATTAATTCAAAAATGAATTGCTAATATATACTAGGTACTGAGGCAGATGCTGGTACAAAGTAAGAATAATCAGGATGGCTAATTAAAGTAATGCTTCTAATTATACCCCATGAAACAAGAAACTTCATTTATCTACAAAGGAAGGAAACCTGTCAGTAAATACTATTTATTGATCACCTATTATGTATCAGGTAACATGTTCCTTCCCAGAATATGTCACAGAGCACGTGCACTGTTTGAAATGTATTAAATGGTAAATGACAGTCATTAGTAGGCTGCTTTTGATGATCATTCTTGAGGCGTCTTTGGATGTTAAATTCATTGATGAAAGTTTGATGAACAGTCTACTTTGTTATCTCAAAGTATCATACAAATTACTTATTAATTACAGAGAAAAAAATAGGAACTTTACAGTGGAGAAGCTTGGCACCCTTCACCTTAACCAAGCAACCAATGTTACCATTACAAACAATGGGACAAACCCACATCATTTGCCTCCTGATATAATGCACCAAGGATGCCGCACCAAGGATGCCATCACTTCTGAGGTATTTTTGCAAAACATACATAACCTGAATCTAATCATGAGAAAGCATCATACAAACTCAAATTGAGGAACATTCTACAAAGTAGCTGGCCTGTATTCTTCCAACATATTAGAGTTGCTAACCTAAAAAAGACATCAGAGAAAGATGTCTCCTAATATAATTAATTTATTCAGGAGCAGGCAAAAAGGATGGTGCACCTGGCTATATGGCTATGGCAAGCCACAGGTGCACCTGAATAGGGCAGGGGTAAGTGGGAGCTCTTATTGGCCAAAAGTAGAAGTTCACATAAGCTGTCTGGAAACAGGTTTCTTTGGTTCTGGAGGCTCAAAGCCGGAGCGGCATCAATTTATTTTTGGAGATGCCGCTACTAGGCAAGTGTTCTTTGGAGAGCATCTTATTTGAATTGCTGTCGTCCGAAAGAATGCCTAGTGCTAAGCCTGGTCACAGAAATAACAGGGTGGCGCATGCCTGGAGTCCCAGCTACTCTAGAGGCTGAGGCAGGAGGACCGATTGAGCCCAGGAATTTGAGTCCGGTCTGGGCAGCACAGCAAGATCCCTGCCTCTAAATCAATAAATGTGTGCACATGTGCAAAACGTAGGTGGAGAAACGCATGAGACTTGTGACGTACATGAGGAATTCCTTGTGTGGTTATTATAGAAAGTCCTTGAGACAGTTCTTATCTCAAACATCAGCCGTCCTTTGTGCATTCCTGGCTTGGTGTGCTTGGGTCTGAGTAGAGTTGTCTCATCCTGGTAGCTGCAAGTTTCACAAAGACATGAAAGAGGAAGAAAGACTGAGACCCTGTTCTAGATAAAAGGATACTAAAAAAAGATTTGACAACTAATTGAAACAGTATGATTCTGGACAGAGGGGAAATAGCTATAAAGGACATAATTGGCACAGAGAGAGAGAGGAAGAATGTGAAAATGAGGCAAAAATGTAAAAATTGGTGATTATGGATAAAGGATATAATCACGATTCTTATTACAATGCGTGTCAATTTTGTGAATTTAAAAGTATACATATAAAGTACATATATAGTAATACATATAAATATAAACACCCCAAAAAGTGTTCCCGAAAGTAACAAGCTCTTTGAGAATAACTGATCTCTTTAAAAATGATTTATGTTTCATTATAAAATCAATGTATGTATGCTTAAAGAAAAAAAATGAGACAATATAGAAAAGTAAAAAGAAAACTCATCAGTCTCTGACACATGTCACAGCCCACAGCTACCTGGGAAGGCTGAAGAGTGCAATTTCAGCAGAATGTCAGGGGAGGAGCAGGATTGTACTAGGTGGAGAATATTCTAGACTGAAGGAACACCACAGAAAAGACAAGAAAGCGTGGAAGGGCGTGGCTTGAGGAAAAAGGTCGGGAAACTGGGGGTTGAAGAATGAACAGGTGAGATGGGTAAGGACTTCCAGAGAAGAATGACTACTGGGCTGGGGGGGGGTGACATCTGGGCCAGTCACAATTCTCCTCACGTGTCGCCTTCCACAATGCCAGGCACGCGCCTGGGGTTGAATACATATTTCTGGGCTGAATAACCGAATGTACAAAAGGCAGGCCCTAAATTTCCTCTCCGCCCCTTAGCGTGCCCCGCAGCGACATCGTCACAAGCGCGCGGCTTTTGGTCCCCGCCCTGGGCCTCAGGGCCTCGGGGCCGCGCGCGGGGCGTGGTCAGCCGGAGCTGTGACGCACCCGGGACGCAAGCCGAGGGCTCGGTTTCCACGGCAACAGGCGCTGGGCCCCTGTTTTTCCGCTCGCGCTCGTGCGTCACTTCCGGTCGCTCCCCTCTTTTTTTCAGCCTTGTGTAGGATAGGTTCCGATTGGGACCAACGTCGGGGTGGGAGTGGTACTGGGGAAGGGCTGTCCAAAATGAATCTTCGGTTCTGCGTGAAGAGCCGGGTGTCAGGCAGGTGGAGCTTGGCTTCCGTCCCCTAAGCCAATCGCTTTCCAATCCGTCCCCTAGGCGCTGCGGGAAATTGATGCCTCAGCTACCGGCGCTGGAGCATGCGCACTGCTACCGGAGGCGCCTCTGGGAAATCCAGTGCTCCGGGATTTCCACGCAGCCGGAGGGAATCCAGAGGGGCGAGTGATGGGCGTGGCATCAGGGGGCAGGGCGTACGAGTCACAGTGTTGATTGGCCGGTGAGAGGCCCGGGCGTGGAGCGGCAGCGGACCCCTGTGGCGGGCTCTGGCGTTTCATTCATTCGTTCATTCATTGAATGAACTGATTCACTCCATGTTTACTGAGTATACGCTGTGTCAGAGCTTGTGTAGGCGCTGGGGATTCAGAGCCGAGTCGGACACAGCCCCTGTCCTTAAGGAGCCCACGCTTCGACTGAAACCGCGGCGTCCCTGCCTTTCTTCGTTTGCACCTTATCTCCTCTCTTCTCTCAAGGCTGGTGTCCTTGCAGAAGGCGGCGACGCTCAGCCCATCTTACCTCAGGGACCCTCTCCGAGGCTTCCACACTTCTGAAAGCAGCTGTTGAACACGGAAAGGCCTGGCGTGGAATCCTGGCTAGCGCTCAATCACTGAGCCGCTTCACCCACTTTACATTCACCTCTGAAAGCATGATGCAGGCGTCCCCAACTTAGGGTGGCTCGACTTAGGGGATTTTTCAACTTTGCGATGGGCTTATCGGGAAGCAACCCATCATAAATCGAGGAGCATCTGTATAGTTATCTTGCAGAGGGCAGTGAGGTTTAAAATGAGCTTTGGTGCTTATCTTGAGGTTGAGTCCGAGTTTCTTCCTTACACGATTATTGTGAGGATATGAGATATTTATGCCAAGCACATTGCACATTGCCTGCCAGATAAGAGTTTCATAAATGAGGCCGGGCACGGTGGCTCACGCCTGTAATCCCAGCACTTTGGGAGGCCGAGACGGGCGGATCACTTGGGCTCAGGAGTTCCAGACTAGCCTGGGCAACGTAGGGAAACCCTGCCTCTACAAAAAAATTTACAAAAATTAGCCGGGCATGATGGGAGGCTGAAGTGGGACGTTGGCTTGAGCCCAGGAGGAAGAGGATCCACAGTGAGCCAAGATCGCACCACTGCGCTTCAGCCTGGGCCACAGAGCAAGACCCTGTCTCAAAAAAAAAAAAAAAAGATAAAAAAAAGTTTTGTAAATGGTAGTTACCATCGTGTTATTTTGAAGGAAGAGTTATGAAGGTCTAACCAAGTAGCTGGTTCTTAGTTGTGCTAAATAAGTATAGTTATTTTTTCCCTCCATAGCCTGTGAGCTAGAAAGCCCAGGTGAGACATGACACTATGGAGTCCTATAACACGGGAAGGAGAAGAAACTCTTTATGGTACTGGTGGGGGATCAAAACCCTTGAGAGGTGCTGGCTTTTGTGCAAAGTGGAGTGATTGGATCACCCAACCGGAACACCGTTAGCCAGGACATAAGCTGGAATTGTACCAGGAAAGTAAAGCTATATGGTCACCTTACCCTGAGGCTGTACAAGTAGCATGTGACAGAATTTGTCCATTCTGTCTCAAATTGCCTTCTCACACTTTCTTTAATCCTAATGATAGCCCTATGAAATGATTATCCTTATATAATAACTGAAAATATGGAAGGCAAGTAATTAGGGAGTGATGGAGCAGGGACTCTGTCCTAAACTTTTTTTTTTTTTTTTTGAGATAGGGTCTCACACTGTTGCCCAGGCTGGAGTCTAGCCTGCACTTTTTTTTTTTTTTTTTGAGACGGAGTCTTGCTCTTGTTGCCCAGGCTGGAGTGCAGTGGCACGATCTCTGCTCACTGTAGCCTCTGCCTCCCAGGTTCAAGTGATTCTCCTGCCTCAGCCTCCCGAGTAGCTGGGATTACAGGCGCCCACCACCACGCCCGGCTAATTTTTGTATTATTATTATTATTTTTAGTAGAGACGGGGTTTTGCCATGTTGGCCAGGGTGGTGTCAAACTCCTGACCTCGTGATCCACCTGCCTCGGCCTCCCAAAGTGCTGGGATTACAGGTATGAGCCACCGTACCTGTCCCAGCCTGTACTTTTAACTCACAGCTGTGATAATTGTCAACCTCAGCAAGCCTTGTGGGGCATTAGTCCCATATATAGATTATATATATATTATATGTGTGTGTGTGTATGTGTGTGTGTATATATATTTAGACAGAGTTTCACTCTTTGCTCTGTCTCCCAGGCTGGAGTGCAGTGGCACGATCGAGCTGACTATAGCCTTGACTTTCTGAGCTCAAGCAATCCTCTCACCTCAGCATCCCAAGTAGCTGGGACTACAGGTGTGCACAATCGTGCCGGCTATTTTTTAAATTTTGTGTGGAGATGGGGTCTAGCTATGTTGCTTGGGCTCATCTCTAGCTCCTGGGATCAAACAATCCTCCCTCCTTGGCCTCTCAAAATGCTGGGATTACAGACATGAGATACCGAGGCCAGCTTGGTCCTATTTCTTGAGACCCCTTGACTGGATGTTTCAGGGAAGCATATTCTGGCTGAGTTTACTGGATAATTTTCTTGTAGAGCTTGTTATGAACTGAATGTTCATGTTCTTCCCAAATTCATATGTTTAAATTTATTCCCCAATATGATCATATATGGATGTGGGGCCTTTGGGAGGTAATTAGGTCATAAGGGCAGAACCCCCATGAATGGGATTAGTGCGCTTCTAAGAAGAGACCAGGCTGGACACGGTGGCTCATGCCTGTAATCCCAGCACTTTGGGAGGCTGAGGCAGGTGGATCACCTGAGGTCAGGAGTTCGAGACCAGCCTGGCCAACATGGTGAAACTGTGCCTCTACTTAAAATACAAAATTAGGCCGGGTGCGGTGGCTCATGCCTGTAATCCCAGCACTTCGGGAGGCTGAGGCAGGCGAATCACCTGAGGTCGGGAGTTTGAGAGCAGCCTGACCAACATGGAGAAACCCTGTCTCTACTAAAAAATACAAAAAATTAGCTGGGTGTGGAGGTGCATGCCTGTAATCCCAAGTACTCAGGAGGCTGAGGCAGGAGAATCGCTTGAACCCAGGAGGTGGAGGTTGTGGTGAGCTGAGATTGCGCCACTGCACTCCAGCCTGGGCAACAAGAGTGAGACTCTATCTTAAAAAAAAAAAAAAAAAAGAGACCAGACAGCTAGTTTGCTCTCTATCTGTCATGTGAAAATACAAGAAGCCAGCCATCTGCCATTCAGAAGATGACCTTCATCACACCCTACCCATGCTGGCGCCCTGATCTCAGTGTTGTTCTAGTAATTTCTTATATCTGCCCAAACCAACTAAGACAAATAGCCACATCATCAAAGCATTCTGCCTGTTAGGACTTTTGTAGAGGGGAGAGAGTGTGAGTATGAGGTTGGACCTGGTTATTTTAGAAATTCCTTCCAACCTTAGATGTCTGTAAATTCCTTGAGGGCAGGTTTTGTATGTTTGAATTGTCACCCTTCAGAGGAGATGCTTAGGAAATGTTAAAGATGCTAAAGGAGCACAGCCCCAGGACCTAGACAGTACGGGGACTGCTTTGGATGTTCTCATTTGATCATTGTGGGCTGGGCTGTGGCAGGCTCTTACACTCTCTGAGCCTCCGTTTTCTCATTGGTAAAAATGCAGAGTAATAATACCAGCACTTTGGGAGGCCGAGGTGGGAGGATCATGAGGTCAGGAGTTCGAGACCAGCCTGACCAACACGGTGAAACCCCGTCTCTACTAAAAATACAAAAATTAGCCGAGTGTGGTGGCGCGCACCTGTAATCTCAGCTACTCAGGAGGCTGAGGCAGGAGAATCGCGTGAACCCGGGAGGTGGAGGTTGCAGTGAGCTGAGATCGTGCCACTATACTCCAGCCTGGGTGACAGAGTGAGACTCTGTCTCAAAAAAGTAAATAAATAAATTTAAAAAAAAGCAGAATAATAGTCCCCGCTCTCCTTCCCCCACAGATTTGCTGAGACAGCAACATAAATTGATTGAAGTGTGTACATTGCAAATAAGCAATGTTTCCTTTTGCCAGCTTTCAATCTTGCTTTCCAAGTTGCTTGCCTTATCCACTTACAGACAGAATAAGAAAAGACCTATGCAAAAAGTAGAGTCTGTGGGGTCTGACAGCCCTGGATTTGAATCCCTAAATAGCACCAGCCATTTGTGTGACCCCAGCCAAGTAGGGTATCCTTTCTGGACTTCAGCACTAAAAATAGCTCCCTTGCTTGGATCTTATGAGGTAAGCTTGGAGCCTAGTTTCTGCACTCAGACCTCCATTAGCAGTGGCCTTTTAAATGTATCTTTTCTGTATTCTCTGTTAAGCCCATACGCTCTTTTGTTTATTTATTCATTTAAAAAAAATAAAAAAAACCACTTTTTTTTTGAGACAGGGTCTTGCTGTCTCTCCCAGGCTAGAGTGATCATGGTTTACTGCAGCCTCGACCTGGCTGGACTCAAGCGATCCTCTTGCCTCAGTCTCCTGAGTAGCTGTGGCTACAGGTTTGTGCCATCCTGCCCAGCTAATTTTGGTATTTTTTCCAAGAGACAGAGTTTCCCTGTGTTGCCCAGGCTGGTCTTAAACTCCTGGGCTCAAGCAATCCGTCTGCTTCGGCCTCCCAAAGTGCTGGGATTACAGCTGTGAGCCACTGCACGGCCTCCATGCGGTCGTAACACCATGAGGTAGCCACGTTGGGCAGCTTGTGCGTTGTCAGGGAGACACTCTTCCTCAGCCCCTGGGCACCTCTGTTGAAAACTTCCTGGCTGTCTGGCAGGCTGGAAATCAGCTCTATTTGTTTTGCCCTGAAGATATGTTTTATTTATAACTCATTCTGACTCTGTAGAAAATAATTCAATAAAAACTCAATTGGTTTTCCACTAGCCCTGAGCAGGGATGAGGGATAGTATCTTATTTTATAACACATGTGATAATAAAACAGCCCTGGTCACATAGCCCAGAGCGGGTAAGTGCCTGCTGGCTGAAAGGAAAAATGCTGGCTCAGACCATTTCTCCCTTGCTGCTGTATGTGCTGAGAAAACCACTCCTGTCCTCTTTACTTTTCCATTTTAGGATTTTTTTTTTTTTTTTTTTTGAGATGGGCTCTCTCTGTCACCCAGGCTGGAGTGCAGTGGTGTGATCTTGGTTTACTGCAGCCCCCGCCTCCCGGGTTCAAGAGATTCTCCTGCCTCAGACTGCCTAGTAGCTGGGATTACAGGCATGTACCACCACGCTCAACTAATTTTTGTATTTTTAGTGGAGACTGGAGTTTCACCATGTTGCCCAGGATGATCTTGAACTCCTGACCTCAGGTGATCCACCCGCCTTGGCTTCCCGAAGTGCTGAGATTACAGGTGTGAGCCACCACACCCAGCCCTTTTTAGTGTTTGTTGTTGTTGTTGTTTGAGATAGAGTTTTGCAGTTGTTGCCCAGGCTGGAGTGCAATCGCATGATCTCGGCTCACTGAAACCTCTGTCTTCCAGGTTCAAGCGATTCTCCTGCCTCAGCCTGCTGAGTAGCTGGGATTACAGGCGCGCGCCACCACATCTGGCTAATTTTGTATTTTTAGTAGAGACGGGGTTTCACCATGTTGGCCAGGCTGGTCTTGAACTCCTAACCTCAAGTGATCCACCCGCCTCAGTCTCCCAAAGTGTTGGGATTACAGGTGTGAGCCATTTCTCCTGGCCAGGATTTTTTAATTGAAAAAGAAATACATGTACATGTTAAAAGATTCAAACAGAACATTAAACATACATAACGGAGAGCGGCTCTCTGTTTTCAATTTTCCCTGCGGATGCCACTGTTAATTCATGTGCTGGGCATCTTAAGTCTGTAAGCCTCCCCCATCTCCTGCTTTATTTTATTTTATTTTTGAACCCAGAGGGGTTTAAATCCTTAAATGGCTTCTGCCCGCACTTAGCAAGCTTGGCGCCTTGGCACTGAACTAACGACAGCTGTCCTAGCCCCTGTCGCCTCTTTGGAACCTTTTATGTGGATGGATTGTTGGGGCCCTCAAAGTCGGGAGTGCCATGGTGCCAGCTGGGGATCAAGACCGCGCGCCACACAGGGGGAAGCCGGCCCAGGCTGGGGCTCGCACCTCACGTGCCTCCCGGGCCCTGCGATCCTGGAGGCGCTCCCAGGCCGCGCGCGCCACGGTCACCCACCCACGTGGGGGGCACGACCGTGGGAGTCACGGGGGGTACCGTGAGGGTCACAGGGGGTGCCGCAGGGATCCACAGTGGGCTTCCGCGGGGCCTCCACCCCTGAGCTTCACAGAGGAAGTGAAATTTGAGCTGCGCGCCCTGAAGGACTGGTAAGCGGCGGGGACAGAACTGGGCCTCCTTCCAGCTGCGCCGCCCCAGGTGCAGAAGCTTTCCTCCTAGTCTCTGTTCTCTTGCTCCGGTCCCTCCCTCCCTCCTCGCTCCATCTCCCTCCATCTCCCTCCTTCCCTCCTCCTCTTCCTCCCTCCTTTCACCCCTCCTTTTTCCCTCCCTCCTCCCTCCTCCACCCTCTCCCTGTCCCCCGCTTCTCTCTCTCGCTGCCCCTCCCTCCTTCTTTCACCCCTCCTCCTCCTACTCTCCTCCTCCTCCCTCCCCGTCCCCGCTTCTCTCCCTCGCTCCTCCTCCCTCCTTCTTTCACCCCACCTTTTTCTCTCCCTCCTCCCTCCTCCTCCTCCCTCCCCATGTCCCCTCCCTCCCTGTCCCCTCTTCTCTCCCTCGCTCCTCCTTCCTCTTTTCTCCCTCGCTCCTACCCCCTTGCTTCCCTCGCGTCTCTTGCAAAACCCGGGACGGATCGGGGGCCCAGGCCTGGCCTCCGCGCACGCGCAGGAGCAGCGCCGGCTCGGCCGCCAGTAGGAAGCGCCAGCCCAGAGCCTGGGAAGTGGCCGCAGAGGCTGCTCGGCCCCGCTGCCCGCCAGGTCGTGGGCTCCCGCTCCGGGCCCGGGGCCACCGGCTGTGTAAGTGCAAAGCGGGGGGGCTCCCGGTCAGGCAATTCGGACCGGCTGCGGGGAGGGCTGCGCGGCTGGCCGTGGAGTCGGCGCGTCCCGCGGAGGGGCTCGCCCGGCCCTCACCTGTCCGGGCGGAGCCCGCCACACCTGTCCGGGTCCGCTGCCGGGCCGGGGTTCAGCGTGCACCTGCTCGAGGCGCCCTTGCTCCTGTTGGCGCTCTGCTTACATCTGTCCAAGGCCGTGTCCCACACCCGCTGAAGACTCGGCGGACACCTGTCCGGGACCCGGCCCACACCTGCTGCCCGGGCCGGCTCTGCTCTCCCGAGCTCGCGGCGGGGGTCCCCTTCCCCTCTGTGCCTCCGAGCTGTCTCCGCCTGGCTTCCCCTCCCGGGCCGTCCGCGGCGCTGGAGCCCCCCGCCCCTGGGCCTGGCTAAGCCCACTGGAGCCCGCGGGGTCTGGGACGCGCGGCTGGGGCCTGGGGCCCAGCACAGCCCACGCCCCCGGCGCTTTCCCCGCCCTGAGTTCCCGGACTTCTCCCCTAGCCCTTTCCCTCCTGTCTCCTGGATTCAAAGTGCCTGCGATCTAGCTGGGCGGCATCAGGCGGTGCTCTCTGGGATAAGCGCGCTGTCAACTCCAACTTATCCCAGGGAACCCTGGGGAGAGGAAGTCAGGCTACTGGCCTGTGGTCTTCTCCCTGTCAGCCCACCCCAATCCCCTCCACCCCTGCAGACCTTCCCAACGTGAATGTCTGTTAACCGAAAGTTTTCCCGTGTTAGGATGCGTTGTCTGTCTTCAAATGTTTCTATAGAGAGAGGAATTAAAACGCTGGAAGCAAGGCCCAGTTGAAAGGTATGGGGGAGTGACTTCCCTTCCATCCCTCACGGCCCCAGTTTAAACTGGTGACTGTCCCGTGTTTCTAAGGTAGTCATAGCTACCTATGACATCTTTATTTGTTAACCTGAAACAAAGCACCGGGTGGATGATGTTGGAGGCCCAGGAACATTGCCGTCCTAAAGATCTGGCTAGGTTTTGTTGTGTGTGTTTGTTCGTTTTTTTAATTGTGTGGAGGACTAGTAGTGTAGAGGGAAAAACAGTTGTCCGGAAACATGTAAACAATAAATGTTTCAGAAATCTAGTGTGTCAAAAATAACAGCTTCATTGAGCCTCGATTACCTGCCATAAAATCCACTGCTTTAAAGTGTACAATTCAGTGATTTTTCTTTTTTTTTTTTTTTTGAGACGGAGTCTCGCACTGTCGCCTGGGCTGGAGTGCAATGGCACGATCTTGGCTCACTGCACCCTCCGCCTCCTGGGTTCAAGCGATTCTCCTGCCTCAGCCTCCTGAGTAGCTGGGATTACAGGTGCCTGCCACCATGCCCGGCTACATTTTTTTTGTATTTTTAGTAGAGACGGGGTTTCACTCTGTTGGCCAGGCTGCTCTCGAACTCCTGACCTCGTGATCCACCCGCCTTGGCCTCCCAAAGTACTGGGATTACAGGCGTGAGCCACCATGCCTGGCCAATTCAGTAATTTTTAGTATATTCACACTTGTGTTACCATTGTCATTCCAGAACATTTTCATCACCCCAGAAAGAAACTCCATACCCATTAGCAGTCACTCCTCATTCCCCCCTCCGACAGCCCCTGGCGGCCACCGGTTTACTTTCGATATATATAGATTTGCATATTCAGGGCATTTCCTATTAATGGAATCATACAACATGTGGCCTTTTGTATTTAGCTTCTTTCATTCAGCACAGTGCTCTAAAGTTATTCATGTTGTGGCTTACATCAGCACTTTGTTCCTTTCTGTGGCTGAATAATATTCCATTGTATAGATTTAACATTTTGTGTATCAGGCAGTTGATGGACATTTGTGTTGTTTTCACTCCTTAGCTATTAAGAATAATGCTGTGCCTGGCCAGGCATGGTGGCTCACGCCTGTAATCCCAGCACTTTGGGAGGCCGAGGCGGGCAGATCACGAGGTCAAGAGATCGAGACCATCCCGGCCAACATGGTGAAACCCCCTCTCTACTAAAAATACAAAAATTAGCTGGGCATGGTGGTGGGCGCCTGTAGTCCCAGCTACTTGGGAGGCTGAGGCAGTAGAATCCCTTGAACCTGGGAGGCGGAGTTTGCAGTGAGCCGAGATCGCGCCACTGCTTTCCAGCCTGGCGACAGAGTGAGACTCCATCTCAAAACAACAAACAAACAAAAAACAAGAATAATGTTGTGCCTGTAATCCCAGCACTTTGGGAGGCTGAGGCGGGTGGATCACCTGAGATCATGAGTTCGAGACCAGCCTGGACAACATGGCAAAACCCTATCTCCACGGAAAATACAAAAATTAGCCGAGCATGGTGGCTCACGCCTGTAGTCCCAGCTACCCGGGAGGCCGAGGCATGAGAATCGCTTGAACCTGGGAGGCAGAGGTTGAGGTGAGCTGAAATCCTGCCACTGTACTCCAGCCTGGGTGACAGAGCGAAACTCCATCTCAGAAAAAGAGGAATAATACTGCTATGTACATTCCTGTACATGTTTCTGGTGTGGACACATGTTTTCAGATCTCTTGGATTGCTGGTTTTATAGTAGCTCTATGGAGGAACTACCAAGTTGAAGATACATATTTTTGCTGTTTTAATACCTGTATTAGCTTAGTCTCAGATACCAGAACTGGCTCAGTGGCAGGTGTCTTTTTTTTTTTTTTTTTAAAGAGTCTTACTTTGTCACCCAGGCTGGAGTGCAGTGGTGTGATCTCAGTTCACTGTAACCTCCTCCTCCCTGGGTTCAAGCGATTCCCGTGCCTCAGCCTCCCAAGTAGCTGGAATTATAGGTGCATGCCACCAAGCCTGGCTAATTTTTGTATTTTTAGTAGAGAAAGGGTTTTGCCATGTTGGCCAGGCTGGTCTCGAACTCCTGACCTCAGGCGATCCACTCGACTTGGCCTCCCAAAGTGTTGAGATCACAGGTGTGAGGTCAGGTTGTGTTTTTTTTTTTTTTTTTTTTGAGAGGGAGTCTTACTCTTATTGCCCAGGCTGGAGTGCAGTGGCGTGATCTCGGCTCACTGCAACCCCCATCTCCTGGGTTCAAGCGATTCTCCTGCCTCAGCCTCCTGAGTAGCTGGGATCACAGGCATGCGCCACCACGCCTGGCTAATTTTTTGTATTTTTATTAGAGACCGGGTTTCTCCATGTTGGTCAGGCTGGTCTCCAACTCCTGACCTCAAGTGATCTGCCTGCCTCCGCCTCCCAAAGTGCTGGGATTACAGGTGTGAGCCACCACACCCGGCTGATTATGCTGCTTTTTAGATGAGACGATAGTTTTTATTTTTAAATCATTTTTATTTATTAATTTTTTTGAGATGGAGTCTCGCTCTGTTACCCAGGCTGGAGTGCAGTGTTGTGATCTTGGCTCACTGCCTCCTCCACCTCCTGAGTTCAAGCAATTCTCCTGCCTCAGCCTCTGGAGTAGCTGGGACTGCGGGTGTGTGCTACCACTCCTGGCTAATTTTTGTATTTTTAATAGAGATGGGGTTTTGTCATGTTGACCAGGCTGGTCTCTAACTGCTGACCTCAAGTGATCCTCCCGCCTCTGTCTCCCAAAGTGTTGGGATTACAGGTGTGAGCCACCGTGTCTGGCCGAGATGATACTTCTAAAATAAGGCCCTTTGTTACCTGCGGTGGGCCGCGCTCTCCTCCTCTGTAGAATGAAGGCTTCGGTGTTTCTCAGCTTCTGTTAAACCTGTGCCTACTTTTGAGAAACATGAGCGCTCCAGTCTCCCCCGCTCAGTATTTTGATATGTCCTCCGAGGGGTTTTATGCCTCTTTGTTGGAAGGTGATGTGATTTTGGTTCTTTCGAAGGTGGTTTTTGTGTGCAGAAAAGACTCTTTAGGGAATCGTTGTGGGGAAAGGGCAGGAGAGAGTGGGGCGTCGTCCTTGAGAGCGTGAGCACTGGAGTCAGGGACTTGGGCTGAGTCACACACATGTAATATACTTGTGAACCGTTTAGATCCTGGGCAGAAGCAAGACATGTTGGGAGGCTAGGGTTTCCTTTTTTTAAAATTTAATTTTGTTCATACTTCTCTATCCATGTGTATTTTTGAAGTCTGTAGAGGTGGGGTTGTGATGTCCAGGATAGCCCCCGACACACAGTCCTCCTCCTCTCCGTGCAGGTGAGAAGCTTGCCATTAGAATTTCACAGAGGTCTTATAGCAATGTCACTTTAATCTTAGTGTCACCTGGGAGGGTTTTACTGCCACGATCTCTGCAGTCAGGCTTTGGTGACCTGAAGGTTATGCAGTTTTGGGCTTCCTATTTAAGAAAAAGAAAACAAAATTAAAAATGCAAAATTAGATAGAGGGCCATGGAAGGGGCCTGAAGCTGAACCCCATTAGCTCATGGTACAGCTGCCTCTGGCCATGGGGACCATGGCCAAATCCCCTCAGGAAGTGTCAGCCCACTGATGGGGACAGTGGAGGTGTGTATCGAGGCATCTTTTTCTTATTTGATACAGAGAGCTCATTTAATCTCCCTAACCTTTAAAAAAATTAGACTTTTTATTTGAGACTATAGTAGTTGTAGCTCCATGTGCATTTGTCAGAAATAATACTGAGGGATCCTATATACCTTTTGCCCAGTTTCCCCCCGTGGTGCCATGTTACAAAACCACAGTATGTTATCACAACCAGAATGTTGACTTGCTGACACCTTGAGGTATGTGTTACTATCCTCATTTTTATTCACAATGAAACTAGGGTTCAGGGAAGCACACAGGCTTGCTCCAGGTCACCCAGATCGTGCGTGTAGAGCTGGGAGTTGAATATCGGCCCTGACTTCCAGGCAGTGGGATTTCCATCATGACCGTCTGTAGGCTGGGGGCAGCATTCATTGGATTGTTCATTTGTTTGTTTGTTCACTAATCCCTTCAACAAACATGTATTGAGGATCTCCTATGAGCCAGATTCTTTCACGTGGGTCATCTAATTTAATTTTTCCCCAGCTCTGGGGAATCAGGTAATAACGTTTTCTTTTTATATCTGACAAAATTGGCTCAGAGAGGTTATGGCAACTCTCCCATTTATAAAGGAAAGGTGGTATATTTGTGTAATCTCTCCTTTTATGTTAGGCACAATGCTAGGCCCTTTACATTCGCAACCTCCTCAATCTAGATACAGTTTTATAAGGCAAGTTCTTTTTCTTTTAATTCTTTTTTTTTTTTTTTTTTTTTGAGATGCAGTCTGGCTCTGTCGCCCAGGCTGGAGTGCAGTGGCGCCATCTGGGCTCACTGCAAGCTCTGCCTCCCTGGTTCATGCCATTCTCCTGCCTCAGCCTCCCAAGTAGCTGGGACTACAGGTGCCTGCCACCACGCCGGGCTAATTTTTTGTATTTTTAGTAAAGATGGGGTTTCACCATGTTAGCCAGGATGATCTCGATCTTCTGACCTTGTGATCTGCCTGCCTCAGCTTCCCAAAGTGCTGGGATTACAGGTGTGAGCCACTGCGCCCCGCCTCTTTTTTTTTTTTTTTTGAGACGGAGTCTCACTCTGTCACCCAGGCTGGAGTGCAGTGGCGCAATCTTGGCTCACTGCAGCTTTCACCTCCCGGGTTCCAGTGATTTTCCTGCCTCAGCCTCCTGGGTAACTGGGATTACAGGCACGTGCCACCACACCCGGCTAATTTTTGTATTTTTAGTATAGGTGGGGTTTCACCATGTTGGCCAGGCTGGTCTCGAATTCCTGACCTCAAGTGATCCGCCAGCTTCGGCCTTCCAAAGTGTTAGGATTACAGGCATGAGCCACCATGCCCGGCCAAGACAAGTTCTATTATCACCACTATTTTGTAGCTGAGGAGTTCCAGGGAGCCCGGAATTCAAATCCAGATGTGATTGCATGGTGGATTTTTCTTAATATCCTGTTGAGGGGATGGGGGAGCAATTACACACGTGTTTATTCATTCACTCAACAGACATTTTTGAGCACTGACTCTTACTACTCCTGGTTAGGTGGTGAGAATAGAAAGACAAGAAACAGCCCCATTTCTGTAGAAGCTCCATGCTGAGGCCAAGGGACTGAAGGTCAACAGTTACAGCATTATGATCAGAGCTGCGACAGCCACGTGTAGAGCCCTAAGACCTGTTGATGCCACGGCTTTCCTTGGGGCTTCCCCTGCCTCTGGGTAGTGAAGGTCACAGTCACTGCCTCCCAGGGTAGGCTCTCAGCACTCAGGACTCTGTGTCTCACAGCCTCATTTCTTCTCTCTGAACAGGGACTTCAAAATGAGCGTCCCTGACTACATGCAGTGTGCTGAGGACCACCAGACGCTGCTCGTGGTGGTCCAGCCTGTGGGCATCGTCTCCGAGGAGAACTTCTTCAGGATCTATAAGAGGATTTGCTCTGTGAGTCAGATCAGCGTGCGGGACTCCCAGCGAGTCCTCTACATCCGCTACAGGCACCACTACCCACCCGAGAACAACGAGTGGGGTGACTTCCAGACCCACCGCAAAGTCGTGGGCCTCATCACCATCACAGACTGCTTCTCGGCCAAGGACTGGCCACAGACCTTTGAGAAGTTCCACGTGCAGAAGGAGATCTACGGCTCCACACTGTATGACTCCCGGCTCTTTGTCTTCGGGCTGCAGGGGGAGATCGTGGAGCAGCCGCGCACCGACGTGGCTTTCTACCCCAACTACGAGGACTGCCAGACGGTGGAGAAGAGAATCGAGGACTTCATCGAGTCACTGTTCATCGTGCTGGAGTCCAAGCGTCTGGACAGAGCCACAGACAAGTCTGGGGATAAGATCCCCCTTCTCTGTGTCCCGTTTGAGAAAAAGGACTTTGTAGGACTGGACACAGACAGCAGGTAAGCTTACCTAGAGACCCAGGCCCCTTGGCTTCCCTGCATCAGAAAGGGAAAGCACAGGGCAGAATTTCATTGCAGCAAGGAGTAGAAAGGTGTTGTCCATTGGTTTTTAAAACTAATGACTTTCTGTCAGAATCTGTTTGAGTGCTGCTAAAAAAACCAACCAAACAAAAACCAGTGACTTTTAAAGACAGAGACAGCCTTTGGTTGGGGGAGTCCTTTAGAGTTGTCTTGTACACTCCCCTCTTTTTAGTGGGGCTCCCCTCGTGGGACTCCTGGAGCTCTGTCCCATACAGCAGCCACAGCCAGTTGTGGCTTTTGGGCACTAGACACGAGGCTAGTTTTAGTTGAGATGGGCTGTGAATAAAACCCACGCCAGATTTTGAGACTTACTTCTGAAAAAATAAACTTTCTTGCTAATTTTTTTTTGAGACAGAGTCTTACTCTGTCTCTCAGGCTGGAGTGCAGTGGCGCGATCTTGGCTCAGTGCAACGTGCACCTCCCGGGTTCAAGTGATTCTCATGCCTCAGCCTCCCAAGTAGCTGGGACTACAGGCAGGTGCCACCATGCCTGGCTAAGTTTTGTATCTTTAATAGAGACAGGATCTTGCCACGTTGGCCAGGCTGGTCTTGAACTCCTGGCCTTGAGTGATCTGCCTGCCTTGGCCTCCCAAAGTGCTGGGATTACAGGTGTGAGCCTCTGTGCCTGGCCAACTTTCTTGCTAATATGTTTTATACAGATTACATGTTGAAATGATAGTATTTTACATATCTTAGGTTAAATAAACTATATTTTAAAAATCAGTATCAACTGTTTCATTCTTACTTTTAAAAATGTGGCAACTAGAAACTGAAATGTACTTACGTGGCTTGCATTTTATTTCTGTTGGACAGCACTGTGCTAGAGCACAGTTTGAACAGTTTTATTCAGTCTCGTCCCTTTGGTTCACAGATGAGAGGGTGAATCTGGAGAGGTAAGGGCTAGGTCCTAGCTGAGCTAGAAGTAGAGCCCACGTCTCCGGATTGCCAGGCTGTGCACCCTGCGTATGTGGCTACTTTTTCCCTCCTGATGGCCACAGTGTCGAATTCCTCACTTACAAAGCAGCCAAGCATGGATATCAGGATGCCAGAAATACCACCTGGGAGCTCCTAAACAGCTACCGTATACAAATGAAAAGTATGTCTGTTCTCTCTGTGTACAAGGAGTGTTGGATAGAGCAGGAAAAGGTCAGCTTCCCATCTTGCCTGTTATTAAGTCAAAAACTTTATTTCAAATCAAAATTGCAGATGAGCTCTTCCTTGCCACTTCCTTCCACTCTCTGCTTGCTGCTGTGTCTTGCCATGGTGGCTGTTCTGCAGAGCTGGATGAGATGCAAGCCTAGGCAGCAGCTGTTTGCCAAGAGGGCGTCCCCATTTGCCAGGGAAAGTGATGTGTCACTGTGTCAGTCACTGGCCTCCTGGCTTGGACAGGGCTCTCCCTCCTCCTGTATAGGATTGGCTGATGAGCCACAGGTGAGGATTCAGTGATGTAAGGTGCATGCCACCATAGTGCCTGCTGCAAAGTAGGTGCTCAGTATGTTTCTGAAATTTATCTAAGGTCACACGGTGTCGTTCTGGTTGTTGGTAAGTATGAGGAGAGATGATCACAGAATTGAGACACAGTAGTCTTAAATCCAGCCCTCAGAGTTGGAAGCATGGAATAGCCTCAGTCGCACCTGCCTGTGGTGCTTTGCAGGGTCTGGAAGGAAGGAATTTTCATTTCTTCACCCAAATGTGCATATTTGGCTTAAGGAAAGGAAAAGGCATGCTGTAGACCTGCTCTGTGTTTAATCCTCACGGCAGCCCTGTGATCTACACGGGGTTGCTGTGCTGGCTGATGTGGGGCTGAGGCAGCAAGGTTTAGAGACCCGGGCAGCCACCAAGCAGCAGAGCTGATATAAGCACCAGGTCTGTCTCTGAGGCCCGGGGCCTTTCTACCTCACCTTGTTGCCTTCTGCTGCGCCTCCTGTGCCTCGTGAATAGCGCACACTGCTGTCCAGCCAGCAGGCACTGTGGGAGTCATCCCTGATAAGGTGTTGCTGTATGGTGTGCACAGCTTGGCGGCCACCTGCCAGGTCGGCAGGGAGTGGCCTGCCCCTGCTTTACAGAGAAGGGGTGAGGGGTTGAAGCTCACAGGCAGCATGGGTCAGGAATCCTGCTCTGACCCCTTGACTCATGCCTTCCTCCTTTGCCACATGGGCATCAGTGACATTTTTCAGTCATCCACTTCTTGGCTGTGAGGTTGCAGATCCACCTTCAAATGCCAGGTCTTTTTTGCCTTTTGAAATCTGAGCTCACAACTCTGCAGGAGGAGCGGGAGTGTGCTGTGACGCAGTGCGTCACGCATAGTGGATAAGGACTGACAAGTGTTTGTTAGAGCCTTCATATGCCAGGCATGGCTCCAGGCACTGAAAATACAGTGGCACATAAAGCTGCTTGCTCACTGTAGTGGGACAGCCGCAATTAGACATCAGTTAGCATTTGAACTTCAGTGAGATAATGACACCAGTGAACTCAAATCAAATACATCCTCCTCTCATAATGGGTAACCTGTTGTTGCTTTTGTTTCTCCATGGTTCTCTAATTTTTTTTTTTTTTTTTTTTTTGAGATGGTGTCTTGCTCTGTCACCCAGGCTGGAGTGTGGTGGTGCAGTCTCGGCTCACTGCAACCTCCACCTCCTGGGCTCAAGCGATTCTTTGTGCCTCAGCCTCCTGAGTAGCTGGGATTACAGGCGTGCGCCACCACACTCAGCTAATTTTTGTATTTTTAGTAGAGACAGGGTTTCACCATGTTGGCCAGGCTGGTCTCGAACTCCTGACCTCAAGTGATCCACCTGCCTCGGCCTCCCAAAGTGCTGGGATTACAGGTGTGAGCCACAGTGCCTGGCTGGTTCTCTAATTTTTGAAGGAATGCTTTGGTGCAGGAACAAAGCCTTGTCTCCCCTGCAGCTCTTGGTAGGAGTGAGGAAGTGTCCAACCTGAAATGGGGTGGTATTTTGTAGCTCAACAGGAAATGTCCAGATGTAAGGCCAGTTTTGGTTTGACACATTGACCATACTGATAGGCCTCCTGACAGGTCATTCTACCTTCGGGACCTGGAGTTCCCCGGTACACGAGGTGTAGGTGTAATTTACTTACCAGCTCACATGTGCCCCTCATGAAAACCCATGGCCCATTCTTGTCCATGTAGTGTTGTAGTTATCAAAATTATTTCTGTTCTTATATGTTTCTAATTTTTGCTTGTTCCTCTTTCTTTTCTTTTTCTTTTTCTTTTTTTCTGTCATACTGCCCTGTGAGTGTGTTATTGGGTCTGAAAAGGTAGGCTGTCAACATGTTGCATTAAAAATAGCTAGATTTCCCTATGTGCTGCCTTCTCATAGCCTTCACTGCTTTAAAAAACAAACACTGCTGTCTAAATCTATATGTTAACTGGATAGTCTTTTCATTTTTTTAAAATATGTTTTTTAATTTTAGCTTTTTTTTAGCAGGTAACCCATTGGCGTTTGGTGTTTGCTAAAATATTTGCTCTGGGGGATCTTGTTCAGTCTGTAGCATTTAGTGACACACCAGCCTTTATTCTTTGGTTTGTTTGTTTTGAGGAAGTGAATTGCTAATTGATTTAGGCGGCTTTAGGGGGTTTTCCTGGGATAGCTTAACTGCAAAAGTCCCAGGCTGCAGCGCCATGCTTGATCCTGGGCTTCTGAGCGAACGTTTCTGGCCTGTGATTCCCGGCTGTGGCTGTGGGCCGTGCATGAAGGCAAGGAATGCTGGAGCTGGAGTGTGCTGGTGGCCAGGGGAGCTGCGGGAGGGTGCGGCTGTCTTTTCTTTTGCTTCTGCCTGGAGCATGCCATTTCCCATTTCCTTCACCTCAGCGACTTTCCACCGTAAAGGAGACACAGGCCATTCTAAAACCCACACCAGGCTGGGTGCGGTGGTTCACATCTGTAATCCCAGCACTTTGGAAGGCGGAGGTGGGTGGATCACCTGAGGTCAACATGGTGAAACCCTGTCTGTACCAAAAATAAAAAAGTTAGCCGGGCGTGGTGTCATGTGCCTGTAGTCCCAGCTTACTTGAGAGGCTGAGGCAAGAGAATTACTTGAATCTGGGAGGCAGAAGTTGCAGTGAGCCGAGCTCATGCCATTGCACTCTAGCCTGGGCGACAAGAGCGAAACTCCATCTCAAAATAAAAAACAAAAAAACCCACACCAGTCTTTTGCGCCCCTTATGAGGGCTCAAGGGCAATTTGTTTAAGTGTCAGGGAAATACGGCCTTCTAGTTCACTTGGATCTTGCAGACACAAGGCCCTGTATAAGTGACCACTTTCCTTTTTGCTTCTGCCAATGAGCATTCAGAACCAGAGAGGCAGTTCAACCTTAGCTATTGTACAGACTTTCCATTTAACCTCATGTAGGTAAGACATAGAAATAACTGTGTCTGCTTTTTTTTTTTTTTTTTTTGAGACAGAGTCTTACTCTTTCGCCCAGGCTGGAGTGCAGTGGCGCGATCCTGGCTCACTGCAAACTCCACCTCCTGGGTTGAAGCAATTCTCCTGCTTCAGCCTCTCAAGTAGCTGGGATTACAGGCATGTGCCACCACACCAGGCTAGTTTTTTGTATTTTTAGTACAGACAGGGTTTCACTATGTTGGCCAGGCTGGTCTCGAACTCCTGACCTCAAGTGATCCACCTGCCTTGGCCTCCCAAAGTGCTGGGATTATAGGCATGAGCCACTGCACCAAGCCAGTGTCTGCATTTGTTGACGCTAATGTCCCTCACTGGTGGCACATCATTTGTTTGCATTACTGATCTAGAGTCTCCAACACCAAGGGCAGCCCTGCAGGACACTCTTTGGCTGGCCTAGTCCCCTGTGGTTTCATCCCCCTCAGGGAAAGGTTCTCGCTCTGTGACCTGCTGCCACCACCTCACTGCCCAGGGGCCTTGTTTCTTCCTCAGTGCTCTGGTCCAAGTACCAACACTTTCTTTCTTCATTTGCTTTGTCCCAGTTGAGACAGGCTGGGCTTTCTGAAAGATTTCATCACATTCTAGGGTGGTGGAACAGAAGAGACATGAATGTATTAAGTACAGGAAGTCGTAGCTGTCCAGCTTGGAAAATGCAGGGCAGGGATCCAGTGGTGGCTGGTTTAACCCTGGGTTGTGGGCCTTTTCTGCCGCCACTGGCTCCCAGGATCCATGGGGACAGCCTGGCCCGGGCTCCCTCCTCCCCTGCTCTCCTGGCAGCCGAGTCTCGGAGTTCACAACCCAGGTGCTCTCCTGGACCGCAGGCCCTTCAGAGTTCAGACCACAGGAGAGTCTTGAGTCCTTGTCCTGGGCTGTCCTCTCCACCTCCTGTGTGAGAGACAAGCGCCTTTCCTAAGTGACCTGTGCCAGGAGAGACCTCCCTCATTAGCAGGTGACCTCCAGAGGTGACTCAGCACACATTTACGGGAAGCTTGCCATGTGCTGTGCTAGGTGCTGGGGCACGAAGCTGTGATATACTTTAGAGACAGAGGTGGGGAAGAGATGATGGACAGAAAGGAGAAATCTGTCTGAGAGTGTGACTCGAACAGAGTAGCCGGTGGGCTGTTTCTTACCATGGGGGAAACTGGGAGGCCATGGGGGAAGTGTTTTTGAGATGCCTGTTGGGCATTCAAACGGAGAGATTAAAGAGGCAATCGGATGTGAGTCCGGAGCTCAGGGGCAGGAGGTGGACTAGAGAGACACATGGTTGTTGGCAGTATGTAGCCTGTGTTGAAAACCCTGAAGGTGGATGAGCTGAGCGAGGGAGAATGCAGATGGAGGTAGGAGGAAGGCCCCGGGCTGACCCCTGGGTGCTTGCTGTGACCAGGAGACTGGAGGACAGCCCAGATCCTGTTTTTTTTTTTTTTCCTGAGATTGGAGTTTCACTCTTGTTGCCCGTGCTGGAATGCAGTGGTACCATCTCAGCTCACTGCAACCTCCGCCTCCCCGGTTCAAGTGATTCTCCAGCCTTGCCTCCTAAGTAGCTAGGATTACAAGCATCTGCAACCATGCCCCACTAATTTTGTATTTTTAGTAGAGATGGGGGGGGTCTCACCATGTTGGCTAGGCTGGTCTTGAACGCCTGACCTCAGGTGATCCTCCTGCTTCAGTCTCCCAAAGTGTTGAGGTTACAGGCGTGAGCCACTGCTCCTGACTGGGGTTTTCTATATTATTCCACGGAGTTAGGGGTTTTAGGTGCAGCTGCCACTTCTTCTAAAGGTACTGGGGGTGGGGCTGCTACTAAAGAAATCCGAAGGGAATGATGTGGCCAGATTTGCCCTTCACCGCCTCCGTCCTGGCAGCAGGATGGAGTCCCAGCTGAACAGACTGTCTTTCCCATGGACCCAGAAGGGCAGATCAGGAAGGGCATCTTGAGGAGAGAGGTGCTGGGGAATTGGGGGAGGGACTGTTGGATAGTTCTGGAATAGCTCTTTTTAACAAAAGATAAAAAACACAAAACAAAACCCTCTTATGAACATTGTAGTTACTATTGAGGAAGCAGTTCTTTTTTTTTTTTTTTTTTGAGACAGAGTCTCACTCTGTTGCCCAGGCTGGAGGGCAGTGGCATGTTCTCTGCTCACTGCAACCTCTGCATCCCAGGTTCAAGCAATTCTTTTGCCTCAGCCTCCTGAGTAGCTGGGACTACAGGTGTGTGCCACCATGCCCGGCTAATCTTTTTTTTTTTTTTTTTTTTTTTTTGAGATGGAGTCTAGCTCTGTCGCCCAGGCTGGAGTGCAGTGGCGTGATCTTGGCTCACTGCAAGCTCCGCCTCCCCGGTTCAGGCCATTCTCCTGCCTCAGTCTCCCGAGTAGCTGGGATTACAGGAGCCCGCCACCACGCCTGGCTAATTTTGTGTTTTTAGTAGAGATGGGGTTTCACCATGTTGGCCAGGCTGGTCTCAAACTCCTGACCTCAGGTGATCTGCCCGCCTCGGCCTCCCAGAATGCTGGTATTACAGGCGTGAGCCACCATGCCCGGCCTAATTTTAGTATTTTTAGTAGAGACAGGGTTTTGCTATGTTGGACAGGCTGTTCTCGAACTCCTGGCTTCAAATGATCTGCCTGCCTCGGCTTCCCAAAGTGCTGAGATTTCAGGTGTGAGCCACTGCGCCCAGCTGCTCTGGCATCTTAAGTTTGTCTGCTTTGGTGCTTTAGCTCTACCATGTGGGCACCTTTTAGTATACTTACTGTATTTACATCAGGCACGTAGTCAAAAGGCTCCCCACCCCAAAACATTGTAGTGCAAAATTATGGGCTGTAGCCATTATTTAAGTATACAAAGACTTCTTTTTTTTTTTTTGAGATGGAGTCTTGCTCTGTCGCCCACGCTGGAGTGCAGTGGCGCGATCTTGGCTCACTGCAAGCTCCGCCTCCCGGGTTCACACCATTCTCCTGCCTCAGCCTCCTGATTAGCTGGGACTACAGGCGCCCACCACCACGCCTGGCTAATTTTTTGTATTTTTTAGTAGAGACGGGGTTTCATCATGTTAGCCAGGATGGTCTCGATCTCCTGACTTTGTGATCTGCCCGCCTTGGCCTCCCAAAGTGCTGGGATTACAGGTGTGAGCCACCGCGCCTGGCTTTTTTTTTTTTTTTTTTTTTTTGAGATGGAGTCTCGCTCCGTTGCCAGGCCAGAGTGCAGTGGTGCCATCTCAGCTCACTGCAACCTCTGCCTTCCGGGTTCAAGCGATTCTCCTGCCTCAGCCTCCTGAGTAGCTGGGACTACAGGCACGTGCCACCATGCCCAGCTAATTCTTGTATTTTTAGTAGAGATGGGGTTTCACCATGTTGGCCAGGATGGTCTCTATCTCTTAACTTTGTGATCCGCCTGCCTCGGCCTCCCATAGTGCTGGGATTACAGGCATGAGCCACCTCGCCAGGCCCAAAGACTTCTTAAACTGTGTAATACCATCCCCGACCCTGCAAAAGAGATTCTCTCTATCCAGGTTCCCTTGGATTTTAATTGCAAACTGTTGTTGTTGAGCAGCTTTAGCTTTTCTTTGGATTTGAATGTAGAAATTTATTTGCCAGATAAATTGTTTTTTGGACTAGAATACCAAGCTCTTGTTTTCCATAAGCCATATAAATAGTACCAAAATCAGAAAAATATTAAGCATTTTCTTCTTTTTTTTTTTTTTTTGACAGAGGCTCGCTCTGTCGACCAGGTTGGAGTGCAGTGGTGCAATCTTAGCTCACTGCAAGCTCCGCCTCCCAGGTTCACACCATTCTCCTGCCTCAGCCTCCCGAGTAGCTGGGACTACGGCGCCTGCCACCACGCCCGGCTAATTTTTTGTATTTTCAGTAGACACGGGGTTTTGCCGTGTTAGCCAGGATGGTCTCAATCTCCTGACCTTGTGATCCACCCGCCTCGGCCTCCCAAAGTGCTGGGATTACAGGTGTAAGCCACTGTGCCTGGCCTCATTTTGTTTTTATACAATTTAAAATATTTGTATGGTTTTATTGTATTATGACTTTCATATGAAAAACTATAAGAGTATTTATATGACTTTTTGTAAAAGTCCTATGTTTTCAAAACAAATTGTTTATCATAATGTTTGCACTTTTAAAAACAAGTTATGTATTTAGAAGATGCTACTAGAAAAATATTTTTGAAATTTTGTGGGTTATATTTTGCTACAGCAGGTGTACACTTTTGTGAAGTTCATGTGAAGATGTAATAATTTACTCCTTTCTTTTTTTAAGGGACAGGATCTTGGTCTGTTGCCCAGATTAGAGAGCAGTGGCAAAATCATGGCTCACTGCAGTCTCGAATTCCAGGGCTCAAGTGATCCTCCTGCCTCTGCCTCCTGAGTAGCTGGGACTACAGGTGGGAGCCACCATGCCAAGCTACTTAAAACAATTTTTTTTGTAGGCTGGGCACAGTGGCTGACTCCTATAAATCTAGCACTGTGGGAGGCCAAGGCAGGTGGATTGCTTGGGCCCAGGAGTTCCAGACCAGCCTGGGCAACATGGTGAGACCTTGTCTCTACAAAAAATATAAATATTAGCTGAGCAAGGGGTTGTGTGCCTGTAGTCCCAGTTACTTGGGAGGCTGAGGTGGGAGGATCACCTGAGCCTTTGTAGAGACATGGTCTTGCTCTGTTGCCCAGCCGTCTCGAAGTCCTAGCCTTAAGTGATCCTCCTGCCTTGGCCTCCCAAAGTGGTGGTATTACAGGTATGAGCCACCATGCCTGACCTAATTTACTTCTTTAGGATGCTTTAAAGCAAATCTTTTCTAATTGGTTAGGAGTAAAGTTTTGTTGTTGCTTTAAAGTCTAATTTAAAATATATTAAACTAATATACAGTAGTATTTGTAAACTTATTCATGTATTAAGAGTTGACAGTTATGTTACTGGTGGAGGAAAATGTCCATTTGGATACTGAGTTTTTTTTTCCCATTTGGAACAGGATAACATACCAAGGAAGTGAGCAAAACACTGTCTACCTTTGAGAGTAAGAGCTGGCTGGGCAAAGAACTGTAATCCCAGCTCTTTGGGAGGCTGAGGCAAGAGGATCACTTGAGCCCAGGAGTTCGAGACCAGCTTGAGCAACATAAGGAGACCCTATCTCTACAAAAAATAAAAAACAATTAGCCAGGTGTTGTGGTGCACACCTGTGGTCCCAGTTACTGGGGAGGCTGAGGTGGGAGGATCTCTTGAGCCCAGGACTTGGAGGTTGCAGTGAGCTGTGATTGTGCCACTGGGCTCCAGCCTGGGCAGCAGAATAAGACCTTGTCTCCAAAAAAAAAAAAAAAAAAAAAAAGTAACAGTGTTCTAGAAACACATCAAGGACACTTAACCCAAAGTGCAGAGGTTGGAGTCAGGGAAGGCTTCCTTGAGAACCTGGTCATTGAGATGAGCCTAAAAGAGAGTGGAAGTTGTGAGGCGGATAGAGCCTGAGGTTGGGGGACTTCAGCGTTGCAGCAAGGTTGCCTGTGGAGTGCAAAGCCACAGTGGTAGGAGGGGAAGCCAGAGCCGTGGGAGGGGCTAGCTATGGACTGCATGCCTCTCCCTACGACTGAATTGAGCATCCTGTGAAAGGTTTGCAGTGGGGGAGGGACACAGACTGATTTGTGCTTTGGGAAGGACACTCTGGCTGTGTGTGTATAGAAGCAATGAAGGGGAAGGGGGTGCAGGGTGAGGAGTCAGAGACTAGGCGGAGGCTGCTGAGGTGACTGCTGTTGGGATGGGAAGAGCAGCTCAGATGCCTTTCTTTTCTTTTCTTTTTTTTTTGGGAGTCTCACCCTGTCCCCCAGGCTGGAGTGCAGTGGCATGATCTCGGCTCACTGCAACCTCCGCCTCCCGGGTTCAAGTGATTCTCCTGCCTCAGCCTCCTGAGTAGCTGGGACTACAGGCGCGTGCCACCACGCCCGGCTAATTTTTTGTATTTTTAGTAGAGATGGGGTTTCACCGTGTTAGCCAGGATGGTCTCGATCTCCTGACCTTGTGATCCGCCCGCCTCGGTCTCCCAAAGTGCTGGGATTACAGGCGTGAGCCACTGCACCCTGCTAGATGCTGTATTTTCTTATGGGGAGGGTCTGTTAGCAGGGGCCATCCTGACACTGCCTTGTGGCCAGGAAGGAGACAAACGAAGGCTGGCGTTTCTTTTTCTTTCTGCGTCTGCCTTACGTTGTGATCTTTGTTTAAAACTTATTCAGAATGGAAATGCTAAATTCCAGAGTAACAAAGAGTTTGTTGAACTCGTTAGAGTTACACATGATAGGATTTAACATTGTATTGAGATGTGTCAATAACATTCATTTACTTAGAAACGTCACATCTTCTGGATTTCCAGAGGAGTTTTATTCTTGATAAGTTTGCTTTCTTGATGAGGGAAAGTTTAATCCAGCTGCAGTTTTTCTTTAAAAAAAAAATCATCTATCTTAAGAAATATAACATTTAAAGGTTAGATGTATTTAAAAATGATAAAAGGAATACTTTGGTACAGTTTCTTTGGTTTCTGAGTTGATTAGGGACTCAGAAGCCTTTGCATTATTTAGTGGTATATCCTTGCCAATATTTAAAGAGCTGTTAGTGAGCACCCCAGGCCCTGCTCTCTGGAAGCTTTCCTAAAGCTTGCCCTGAAATAGCGAGGATGAACGTCTTGTTTGCTAAAGCCAAATGGTTGGCTAATAAGACTCAGCATAGCTGTCTTTATAAAATAATAAGAGGTTTGATGTTAAGAAGTGGAAGATAATTGATTTTTTTAAAAAGCTGAAACATAAACTTCCTTATGCTAATGTTACAACTGGAAAATCTAAAAAGAAAAATCCAACTGTAACATTGCCTACGTGAAAGACATGGTAGAAGTCCTTACGTACCGATCACCTTTAAACAAATTGCTTGGCAGTACATTTTTGAAATTAAGACCACTCCAGCTCACATAACTGGCAATGATTATTGCTGACTTAAAATTATAGAGCCTACAGTTGCCTTCTTAGCATTTTTAGTAGTGAGAGAATTGAATAGTGCTTAGTCAGAGTGCTTTCTGGGTGGGAGTTGTATAGTAATAAAGATACATTTTCATGTATTTTCTAGACATTACAAGAAGCGGTGCCAAGGCCGCATGCGGAAGCACGTGGGGGACCTGTGCCTGCAGGCAGGGATGCTGCAGGACTCCCTGGTGCATTACCACATGTCGGTGGAGCTGCTGCGTTCTGTGAATGACTTTCTGTGGCTTGGAGGTAAGATGAGCTGATGAAGATGATCTGATATGTAATTGTTTCAACTGTTAATTAAAATGAGAGGCTGGGTGCGGTGGCTCACGCCTGTAATCCCAGCACTTTGGGAGGCTACGGCAGGCCAAATATGAGGTCAAGAGATTGAGACCATCCTGGCCAACATGGTGAAACCACGTCTCTACTAAAAATACAAAAATTAGCTGGGCGTGGTGGCACGCGCCTATAGTCCCAGCTACTCGGGAGGCGGAGGCAGCAGAATTTCTTGAACCAGGAGGCAGAAGTTGCAGTGAGCAGAGGTTGCACAACTGCACTCCAGCCTGGCAACAGAGCGAGACTCCATCTCAAAAAAAAATAAAATAAAATAAAAAAAGAAATGAGAGGAAACGGCAGAAGAAATTCCCCAAAAAGAAGGGATGAGGGAGGAAAAGCAGCCAGCCTGTGCTGGTTGCCACGAGCAGTGGCCTGGGATGCTTCCCTGCTGTATCTGCTGCCCTCCTCCCACCCTGCCATGCGTCCTCTGAAGGAGGCCCTGCCCACACTTTCCCTTTTCCTCTGTTCTTAGTATACCTTGCCCTCTGCTTTGGATGCCGTTCCCCATGATCTTCACCTCTTAGACTCCTCCCTCAAAACCTCCTCCATGTGTCACATGATGAATGGATAAACGAAATGTGGTATGGGCATACAGCGGAATATTATTCAGCCATGAAAAGGAGTGAAATTGTGATACCACTGCAGCACGGATGAACCTTGACAACTTTGTGCTAAGTGAGAGAAGGCAGGCATGAAAAAGGCCGCAGATTGTATGATTCTATATATATGAAGTGGCTAGAATAGGCAAATCTATAGAAGCAGAAAGTAGACAACTGGTTCTAGGGGCTGGGAGGAGGGGGAATGGGAAGTGACAGTTAACGGGCATAAGGTTTCTTTCTGGGGTGATGAAAATGTTCCAGAGTCAGTTAGTGGTGATGGTTGCACAGTTGTGAATATACTAAAAACTGCTGACTTGCACACTTTAAGTGGGTGAATTATATGGTATGTGAACTCTATGTCAATCTTAAAAATTAAAAGAAAGGGAAGAAGAAATCCTACTTCAAAGCACAGCCATCTCTGATCCCCCGCAGCAGTCGGCAGAGCGGGTGCCCTGCCTGAGATGTTGCTGACACTTCGTGGTGGAATCGGATGTCTGTGTGTGGTCTTCCCTTTGGGGACTGCGCCTCCTGGAGGTGGTCCTGGGAGGATGGACTGGCTGAGTCCATTGTGTGGGTAAGGACTAAAACAGGGTTCTTTCGTTGAGGTTGACAGTTTAGCAAGGACACCTGTCAGCCACTTATGATAATACAAGTCGGAATGAAGTAATGAGGTGAGTTCTGTAACAGAAGTTTAACGAGGTGCCGTAGAACATATTAAATATAACAAATTCTTTCGTTCTTGGGGACGGAGTCTCGCTCTGTTGCCCAGGCTGGAGTGCAGTGGCATGATCTTGGCTCACTGCAATCTCCGCCTCCTGGGTTCAAGCGATTCTCCTGCCTCAGCCTTCCGAGTAGCTGGGACTTACAGGCATGCACTACCACACCCGGCTAAATTTTCTATTTTTAGTAGAGACGGGGTTTTGCGATGTTGGCCGAGCTGCTCTTGAACTCGACCTCAGCTGATATGCCTGCCTTGGCCTCCCAGAGTGCTGGGATTACAGGCATAAGCCACTGTGCCCAGCCAAATATAAGAAATACTTCAAACGGCCAGGCATGGTGGCTCATGCCTGTAATCCCAACACTTCTACAAAAAATAAAAAATAAAAAAATCTTACTTCACCTCACTTCTACAAAACAAAATTAAAAAACATTAACTGGGTGGAGACCAGCCTGAGCAACATAGGGAGACCTCACTTCTACCAAAATAAAATAAAATAAAATAAAATAAAAAGACATTAGCTGGGCTTGGTGGTCTGTGCCTGTAGTCCCAGCTACTTGTGAGGGTGAGGCAGGAGGATCGCTTGGGCTCAGGAGGTCAAGGCTGCAGTGAGCCACGATCGCACCACTGCACTCCATCCTGAGCAAGAGTGAGACTTTGTCTCTTAAGAAAAAACCAAAATAAAACTTAAAATGGACTTAAATTTAGTTTTTTAAAGAGGCTAGGGAAATAGAAGTGGGGAAAGAAAGGGAGTAAGAATTAGGGATGGAAAAGAAAAGAGAATCAGATAAAGGATTATGCAGGCTGAGAAAGACATAGTTTTACTTGGTTTTCTTGAAAGAGCATTGTCTCCCTAAGTACTCCTTATTGTATCAATTAGAGAATCTGTGCATCTCCCAGTGGGCTCTGAGACTAGGGCATGTGCAGCAGGTGCTTCTCCAGAAAGACTGGTACTGCCCATATGCCTTCCCCATGCGGCGCTGGACTGGATGAGGAGGGCTCCTAAAGGGCACACAGAGAAGGACGGTGCTGTGTGCCGTGGGCCTCTTCCATGCTCAGCCTCTCAGAAGTGGACAGTGGAGTTGTCCACAAGCTACTTAGGCCTGACATCACAGCAGACTGAATGTAGAAGCTGATAGAAGATCCAGCTGACTTGTATTAACTCTGATATTAAAGAAATGTGTGAACATGTCAAATAATGCCATTCCTCCAGTACTTTATTTTTGTTTTGGAAAACAATTATTTTTCATAAAACTGTTAACACATGACAAGCTTATTATTTTATTTTTTATTTTTATTTTTTTGAGTCAGTCTCACTCTGTCGCCCAGGCTGGAGTGCAATGGCGTGATTTCAGCTCACTGAAACTTCCATTTCCCAGGTTCAAGCGATTCTCTTGCCTCAGCCTCCCGAGTAGCTGGGGCTACAGGTGTGTTTTATCATGCCTGGCCAATTTTTGTATTTTTAGTAGAGTCAGGGTTTCACCATGTTGGCCAGGCTGGTCTTGAACTCCTGACCTCAAGTGATCCACCCACCTTGGCTTCCCAAAGTGCTGGGATTACTGGCATGAGCCACTGCGTCTGGCCTATTTTAAGAGGAATTAATACATAAATACTTAAATCCTTTTCTCAGTTTTATTTTCCAATATGGTAAATATCTACAGGTGTAACCCACATCACAAAAAAAGCTCTTTGTGATCCTAAGTCATTTTTAAGAGCATCAAGGAGTTTTTAGACCAAAAGTTTAAGGAGCACTGAGTTAATGGATAAAGATGATAGAGATGAATACTGTGGCACACCTTCTAAGGCATGTGGCATAGCTGGAGATTATTAGGTTGTTACGTCATGAGAGAAGAACGGACTGTGTAGCGAGTTAATATGGCTGTTTTTGAGGAAGAGGGAGGACTACAACCTCAAAAGGAGCAGATGCCTATGGGGTGCATGGTCTGGAAAGGCATTCTGGTCTTGCTTTGGTGCTATTACTGTGAAATATTTTCAATCCAGGGCACTTTCTGTTATACATCTCTGTAGCTCCAGAACCTGGCGCAGTCTGCCACACAGTTTGTGCAGGAATGCCGGCCACGTGAATGGATGAACGCAGAGGCTGGCCTGTTTTACGTGTGCAGTCAGCCCTGCAGGGAAACCTTGAGTGTGGTGAGAGTGTTCTGCATTGCCTGCCTGGACATGGGCATGGGAAAGACAGGTGGCAAGTTCCCATTTGCAAAAAACTAGTGATCTTTAGGTTTGATCTTTGTTTTGGGAGAAAAATTGGCATTTCCAAATAATCCACCTGTTTAAATCATTGTTAGTTACTGCAGTTTGAGCTAATGAAGGGTCACTGACTTGACTAATGATGCTGGTTTTTGTTTTTTGTTTTCTGGTTTTTGTTTTTTGTTTTCTTAATGCCCAGCTGCCCTGGAAGGATTGTGTTCAGCTTCTGTCATCTATCACTATCCTGGTGGAACTGGTGGGAAGAGTGGAGCTCGGAGGTTCCAGGGCAGCACCCTTCCTGCTGAAGCAGCCAATAGACACCGGCCAGGTGAGCTCTGCCCTTTTTCCGGCCTCTGCTCACTTGCAGTCTTTAAATAAAGCAGACTCATTTGTTACTTTTTCCTTTGAGTTAGGACTAATATTTAAATAAACTGTAAAATCTGTTGAGTCAGTAATTTTTTTTTTTTTTTGAGACAGAGTCTTGCACTGTTGCCCGGGCTGGAGTGCAGTGGCGCAATCTCGGCTCACCACAGCCTCCACCTCCCAGGTTCAAGCAATTCTCCTCCCTCAGCCTCCTGACTAGTTGGGATTACAGGCGCCCGCCACCACACATGGCTAATTTTTTGTATTTTTAATAGAGGCGGGGTTTCACTATGTTGGCCAGGCTGGTCTCGAATGCTTGACCTCGTGATCCACCCGCCTCGGCCTCCCAAAGTGCTGGGATTACAGGCGTGAGCCACCATGCCCTGCCCAGAAATCTTGTATGAGACATTTTGTTCTGATTTTATTGAATACTTTCAATCTTACTGAATACCACTAATGGGTTAGAATGATTGGTTGATTTCTGGAATACTTGTGTAAAATTTCCTGGTAGAACAGACTTGAGGTTCTGTGTCTAAGTCTTTTTTATAATTTTATGTATTAGGAGAAGCTAGTCCCAGAGGTCAATTTTAATAAGCTGATTCAGGGCCTGGGAGCAGTTTCTTATTTTATTGGCTGATGACATTCTCTCAATGAGTTGTTTGATTTGCTTATGCTTGGTAGAACCAATGAAGAGTGAGAAAACTTCTTGGGTAGAGCAGACCCACGAATGCTGAATGAACATGAACGTTTTGGTCCTTGATGAATGAACCTGCCTTTAATGGCTCAGGATTTAGTCATCATGTTGCATAGGTCACAAAGAAGGAAGCAACAAAATAATGAAAGCAGGGATTTATTGAAAACGAAAGTACACTCCACAGTGTGGGAGTGGGCCGAGCAGCGGGCTCAAGGGCACGGATACAGAATCTTCTTGGGTCTAAATACCCACTAGAAGTTTCCCATTGGCCACTTCATGCTCACCTCTTGTAAATGAAGTGGTAGCCTGCAGTTAGTCTGATTGGTTGCGGAAAGCAGCCACTCAGAGGCTAAGGTGAAGTTACAAAGTTATGCTTCTATGCAAATGAAAAGTAGACAAAGTTATACTTCTCTGCAAACTAAGACTCCACCAGCAATCAGTCTGAGTGGTTCCGGACAGCCAGTTTCCCACCTGCCATGCAGAAAAGGTCAAAGGGAGCAGCCTCTGGTCCTTTTGTTACTTAGTCATGGAAAGTTAGGGTTTTCCTTTCAATGTAGTTGTAGGAAGTCTGTGTGAAACAACCTTAAGTTCTTTGCCTCTAGATCCTATTCTTCTGCCTCAGGCTTATCTTTTTTGTGATTGAGAAAATTTTGATTTTTTTCCTGTATCTGTAATAGATGAGAAAAGTAAAAACGTTGATTTGACATCAGTTACTTTTCCTTTATAGATTGACTACAAGGGGACATTGTTGAATAGATTATGTGTGTTTTTGTTGTTGTTGTTGTTGTTTTTTGAGACAGAGTCTCGCTCTGTCACCTGGGCTGGAGTGCAGTGGCTCAATCTCGGCTCACTGCAACTTCTACTTCTTGGGTTTTAGTGGTTCTCCTGCCTCAGCCTCCCGAGTAGCTGGGATTACAGGTGCCCGTCACCACACCTGGCTAATTTTTGTAAATTTCAGTAGAGATGCGGTTTCACCATGTTGGCCAGGCTGGTCTTGAACTCCAGACCATAAGTGATCTGCCTGCCTCGGCCTCCCAAAGTGTTGGGATTACAGGTGTGAGCCACCGCTCCTGGCCTGTGTGTTGTTTTTTGAGACAGAGTCTTGCTCTGTTGCCCAGGCTGAAGTGCAGCAGCATGATCTCGGCTCACTATAACCTCTGCCTCCCGGGCTCAAGTGATTCTTGTGTCTCAGCCTCCTGAGTAACAGGATTACAAGTGTGTGCTACCATGCCCAGCTAATTTTTGTAGAGACGAGGTTTCGCCATGTTGGCCAGGCTAGTCTCCAACTCCTGACTCAAGTGATCCACCCGCTTCGGCCTCCCAAAGTGCTGGGATTACAGGTGTGAGCACTGTGCTTGGCCGATTATGCTGTTTTAATATATAAATAAATGTGTTTGTATTTCAACAAAATTGTATGATTAATAGTTGGCAGTCCTTTGGGAAGTATTTTTTTGTAAGACACTTAGGCTATTTACTGACTGAAATATAGAGACATGACTTTTTTTTTTTTTGATACAGAGTCTTGCTCTGTTGCCCAGGCTGGAGTGCAGTGGCGCGATCTCGGCTCACTGCAACCTCCGCCTCCCGGGTTCACGTCATTCTCCTGCCTCAGCCTCCCGAGTAGCTGGGACTACAGGCGTCCGCCACCACGCCTGGCTAATTTTTTGTATTTTTAGTAGAGACAGGATTTCACCGTGTTAGCCAGGATGGTATCGATCTCCTGACTTCATGATCTGCCCGCCTCGGCCTCCCAAAGTGCTGGGATTACAGGCGTGAGCCACTGTGCCCGGCCAGACGTGACTTTTATGATTATAGGGTTGGTATAGATTAAGGTGGCTTTTGGTATAGTGCAAAATCCAAGGACTAGGAGAAAGCTTTGCCACTGATTGCTAGAAGAACAAATTCTCTGGGTCTCAACCTCACTACCTGTAGAATGAAGAGAGTGGGCCAGATGCTCGAGTTTTCTTCCTGTTCTAAGATTAGTTTCTATGAGCCTGTGTCTTCTGTTTATATTTAGGGGTGTTAAAGTTTTTGGATTAAATACTGAATACTGTTCCCTTCCTTGAAGCAGATTTCAGTATGTGCTAGTTACACTTTTAGTTATGGTCTCTGAGCATCGTATTTTAAAAAGCCCTGTTGATCATTTCTTATTATGCCAACAATTAAATTTGTTACCTTTTTTTTTCAGCAACCTGGAAAGACCTTTCTGGCCATAGGTGGCGCTGTTGTACACATATATTTTTAATGTCCTAATTTCCCTGTTGGTGAAAGAAGACTTAGACAAGGCTTCCTTCATTTGAATTTTGCTGTTGTTGTTGTTTAATGCTTTAGAATAGCACTATGCCCATTATATTTGGATACCTGGAAAAGTATTCTAGTTATTTTTATTATGTCATTTCAGCATGAAAATTTCAGATGTGCAATGTGGACAGTGGTGAAATTGGACTTTTCTTCCAATGTCAGAAGGCAGTCAGCCATGATTTATAAAAGAGATAGAAACTGTCTGGAGCACCTTAAAGCTGAAAAGAATCTGGAACTCCCTGAGTATTGCACCCAGTTTTGCATGTTTGCTAGTGGGTGGTGTTGTGGTGTCATGGAAAAGCCTCGTTCAGCTGGCTTGTGTCTGAATGCAAGTCCTACAGTTCTTTCTCAGGTGCCCCCCACCTCCTCGCTCTGCATCTATGAGCAGGGGCTCCTAATTTCTGCTTTGTAGAATTGTGAGAATTAGAGAGAATGTGTGCAAAATGTTTAGCGTGGCAGTCATCTCATAAAATATCTCACGACCATTAGCTATTATTTTATATGAAGTCATCATTTTATAGTGTTTGGAAATTACTAAGGCATTGAAATAGGAAAAATGTTTTCGTGAAGAGAGACTCAGGAAATGAAGGAAATATTTGAGGTGGGTCAGTAGTTTTTATTTTTATTTTTTTTTTTGAGACAGAGTCTCACTCTGTCGCCGAGGCCGGAGTGCAGTAGCTCACTGCAACCTCTGTCTCCTGGGTTCAAGCAATTCTCCTGCCTCAGCCTCCCGAGTAGCTGGGATTACAGGCACCCACCACTACGCCCGGCTAGTTTTTATATTTTTAGTAGAGACGGGGTTTCACCATGTTGGCCAGGCTGGTCTTGAACTCCTGACCTCAGGTGATCCGCCTGCCTTGGCCTCCCAAAGTGCTGGGATTACAGGCGTGAGCCACCGCGCCCGGCGAGGAGGGTCAGTAGTTCTTATACCCATAATTTAGCTGCAGGTTTAGAGACATGGCCGTTATGTAGCCATCTTGACCTACCCAAGCCACAGAATTATTTGTGGATTAGTATATGTTGGGGCTTAAAGGGGCCCAATAAAAACACCCCTGTTTTCTTCAACAACCAACTGAGAGACGAGACAAGAGTAAGGTAGAGAATAAAAATTCCGCCCTTATTAGTGATGAAACCACATTCTCTGCCGGGCATGGTGGCTCACACCTGTAATCCTAGCACTTTGGGAGGCCACAGTGCATGGATCGCTTGAGCCCAGGAATTTGAGACCAGCCTGGGCAACATGGTGAAATCCTATCTCTACAAAAAATACAAAAAATTAGCCTGGGATGTTGGCGCGTGCCTGTAGTCCCAGCTACTCAAGAGGCTGAGTTGGGAGGATTGCTTGAGCCCAGGAGGCAGAGGTTGCAGTGAGCTGAGATTCTGCCACTGCACTCCAGCCTGGGCTACAGGGCAAGACCTTGTCTTAAAAAACAAAAAACAACCCCCACATTTTCCATGAACTTGAGGGATGCAGAAAAATGGGCATCCTACTACTGTGTGTCCAAGATCTGGTGGCTCTGGGCCACAGCAGACCTTCCTACGAGGGGCCCTCTCCCTGTCAGCCATAGGCATGGCGGAGCAGAACATCCCGTGTGCTTCCTGAGTGCAGCACCCAAGGGCAAAAGAAGGGGTTCACATGCCCAGCTTGTCTCCCAAACTCATCTTACACCTCACTCCACTTGGGTGGGGGAGGAATGGGGGTGGGCAAGAGGTCAGTGGTGCTTAGGACAAAGCCTTTATTATGGAAACCAGAGGAGTGAAGAGCAAGTGCCATCTTCCCCCTCAGTTTAAATAGGTCATGGGGTGACAGTTCTTTCTTTGTAACACAGAAATAAGGATATCCTTTGCTATTTAGACTAGTAAGGAAATACAAAGGATGATTAGAAGGGACATTTGTAAAATCACTGTAACAGATAACATTTTTTTTTTTTTTTTGGGATGGAGTCTCACTCTGTCATCCAGGCTGGAGTGCAATGTCGTGATCTCGGCTCACTGCAACCTCTGCGTCCCGGGTTCGAGTGATTCTCCTGCCTCAGCCTCCCAAGTAGCTGGGATTACAGGCGCCTGCCACCTCGCCCAGCTAATTTTTGTATGTTTAGTGGAGACACGGTTTCGCTATGTTGGCCAAGCTGGTCTCGAACTCCTGACATCAGGTGATCTGCCCACCTCGGCCTCCCAAAGTGCTGGAATTACAGGCGTGAGCCACCACACCTGGCTGATAACATCTGTTGAACATTTAAAATGTGCTACACACATTTTATTTATTTTTATTTTTTTGAGATAGAGTCTCACTCTGTTGCCAGGCTGGAGTGCAATGGCACAATCTTGGCTCACTGCAACCGCTGCCTCCCGGGTTCAAGCAATTCTCGTGCCTCAGCCTCCCCAGTAGCTGGGATTACAGGTGTGCACCACCATGACCAGCTAATTTTCGTATTTTTAGTAGAGATGTGGGTTCACCATGTTGGCCAGGCTGGTCGCAAACTCCTGACCTCAAGTGATCCACCCACCTCGGCCTCTACACACATTTTATATACACCAATTTAACCCTTTAATCTTCACAACAACCAGATAAGGTAGGTTGGATTATTATCCCAGTTTTACAGATGTGGAAACTGAGGCATAGACAGGTTGAGGAACTTGACCAAGGTTATGGAGCTAGTAAGTGGCAGAGCTGGGATTTAAATCCTGGCAGTTGGCCAGGTGCAGTGGCTCACACCTGTAATCCCAGCACTGGGAGGCCACGGTGGGCAGATCACGAGGTCAGGAGTTCAAGACCAGCCTGGCCAATATGGTAAAACCCCGTGTCTACTGAAAATACAACAACAACAAAAAATTAGCTGGACGTGGTGGTGCGCACCTGTAGTCCCAGCCACTTGGGAGGCTGAGGCAGAAGAATTGCTTGAACCCGGGAAGCGGAGGTTGCAGTGAGCCAGGATTGTGCCACTGCACTCCAGCCTGGGCGACAGAGTGAGACTCTGTCTCAAAAAAAAAAAAACAAAAACAGAAAAACAAAAAACAAAACAAAAAACCCCTGGCAGTCGGGCTGAGCTTCAGTAGATTGGCTTCCGGGGTTTAGAGGTATCAGCATATCTACAGTTCCATGTATACATCTATACATCAGTCAGGGGGTTGGCCAGTGTGGAAAGGGTGGGACAGAGAGAGTTATGCAGCGCTGGCATTTGTGTCTTGGCCACTGTCCACAGAGAGTGCACTGCGGTTTGCATTAATCATTTGTGTAGGCAGCAGGTTTCTCCCTGTAACAGAACTTTAGTCCATCAAATTCATCTAGAAAACTCCTGTTCAGAGAAAGTGGAGTTTTCTAGATGAACTTGATTTGTATTTCAACAAAATACAACTACTGAATTCTGTTTCAGGGAAGGGAGTGGTATTCAGTTCCCCATCTGAACACTTTAATGCCCCTAAATATAAACAAAAGATGAGGCTCACAGAGGCTTACCTTAGAACAGGAACAAACTGAAGCATCGGCCCACTCTCTTCATTTTACAGGCAGGGGTGATGGTGTGAGGCTTTGTTATTCAGGTGTCAGGATCCTGCTGTAGAGGTGACAACCACTAGGAAAGGGCCTAGAAACCAGCATTTGGTGTGTGAGGGCATCCTCTGTAATGGTCCCAAATGAGACGTATGGACCTGATTTCTACTTATCTCCTGCCTGTGATTTGGCCTTTGAAGAGAAAATGTGCTGATCGTTGAACCCTGATATTTTGGTCTGATTGATAATTTTGTGTCTCCCGTTACATTAATAGTTAAACCTCCAGTTTTCCTACACTGGTCTCTTACAAGTTTGGTTAATGTGAAATCAGTCCACTAGAGGCTGATGATACTAATAGTCAAATGATTGATGATTGTGATAATAACTCTGGGGCATCAAAAGTTTAACTCATATCCCCTACCTAAAGGACATGGCATAGTATAATATATTTGGCCAGGTTCTTCACAGAACAAAACGTTTCTAGGTTATCTGGAAATCCAGACTTCCTCAAGGTCTGTGCAGCTGAACGTCTGCTCAGTGCAGACCTTGGACCTGGTGTTGTGGCGTGTGTGGCGGTGGGGCTTCCCTTGGCTCCTCTGGGCTTCAGTCTCCCCATAGGCAGGGAGGGTTAATATCTGTTTATTTTGTAGGGTTGCTCTGAAGGTCATACATGATATTTGTTAAGCATCATGCTTGGCAGAAAGGTGTTATTCAATGGAAAACACCTGTTTTTTATTTTAATGGTGGCGTCAAGATTGCAGTGATTTTTAGTCTGCGTTTACAAACAGATGGCTGTACACAAAATAGCTCTTAAATAGCACCATAATCATGGGGCCTCTTCTCTGTGTAGACAATTGAATACATGTGCTATTTCCATAAGATTATTGGGACATACCTTTTTGAATCTTCTTAACATGTTTAAAAATGAAAATAGCTAATGATAAACATGACTCTTGGAACCAGTACCCCTTGAGGTGTGTTTTGCCATGATGGGAAATTGCATTCTATAGAGAAGTTGAATTGGATCACACAGATGTTTGGGTAGTTTAGCAGACCACCAAGGCTTTCAAAAGTTTCTTCATAATAGTGAAGTTAATAGTTTTGTATTTTAAGCTAACTACAAAGCTACCTTCTAAAAGCTGGAAATCTTTAACTTGATGAAGTGTCCAATTATTCTGTGTGTGTATGTGTGTGTGTGTGTGTGTGTGTGTGAGAGAGAGATATATATATAGAGAGATGTATTTTAGGGGGGTTGTGAAAAGTTCCACAGAGCCACTGGCACCTTTTCTCCCCCATTCTAGGCTGCTGACATACATTTGCACAAATAATAATCCTTTGTCACTTGGCTTATTTGTGGAAATAAGGAATTGTCATACTTGTTTAAGAAGAGCTGGCAGGCCGGGCATGGTGGGTCATGCCTGTAATCCCAGCAGTTTGAGACCAGCCTGGCTAACATGGTGAAACCCGTCTCTACTAAAAATACAAAAAAAAAAAAAAAATTAGCCGGTCGTGGTGGCGCACGCCTGTAGTCCCAGCTACTTGGGAGGCTGAGGCAGGAGAATTGCTGGAACCTGGGAGGCAGAGGATGAAGTGAGCTGAGATCACGCCACTGCACTCCAGCCTGGGCAACAGAGCAAGACTCTGTCTCAGAAAAGAAAAAAAAAAAAAGAACTGGGAGCATGAACATAGAAAGTGGGAAGGCAGAGAGGTGAGGAGGCACTTAACAATTTGTTTAGGGTATGAGTAATAGTAGCTTTTCTTTTCTCTTTTCCTGTCTGAAGCAAAAAGGCACCAAACTTGTAACATACTGTTCCTCAGAATTGCTTTTCTGATCAGATACAAGTCAGATTTTTCTCTAGGCTATGTGAATTATGAAATGTGTTTTAGTAGTTATTTTTAAAAGTAGTTTTGTTTTCCAAATAAAATACCATAATCTGTTCTTTCTTCCAGGGGCACAGGAAGTTCTCATTGATCCAGGTACATGATCTATGTGTTTAGTTTCTTTTGGTTATTTTTTTAAGTGCTTGTTTCATGGTGATGTGAATGAATGGTTAAAATTTCTGGATGATGATCTTTGGAACATTCTGATTTAAGTAACTTTAAATCAGAACTGTTAAAAGCTTGATGATTGATTGGTGGGTCCTTGCTTGATGGGCACCCCGTTGCTTTATGTTGTCTGTTGAAGAGGAGGCTTCTTCCTCTAGCATGGCTAAGTGAATGATTTGAGAATTGTGCCTTTAATTCTTTGAATGCATTGAGCATGTTTGTCCTGTTAATTTTGAATTCATTTGTAATCACGACTTTGCTCTGATTTGTGGCTTGTGCTCCCTTCCACGTGAGTTAATTCTCTACTGCATTTCGTCTGTGTGTTCTTAACAGGGAAAGAAATCTCGTAGTTTTTACAAAGGCAGGTTTTTCTTCCCCTTGTAATATCTTCTGTAATTAATACAGCAAAAACCTCTTTTATTACAGTGCTTAATTATTTCATGATGAGCTCTATTATTTTCTGACTTAATGAGAAACAATGACAGGGTAAATAATACAAAATGAAAACAGTCTAGAATTGAAATCAGATGGCTGTGCTTACACAGCCTTTGTGACTAACACATTCGCTTTCATCGCCTCGTGCATCTTGGCTCTGAAATGAAGTTGCCCCAGGTTTGCAGGCGTTGGTTTTAACATTTGCGTTCACTCCTTTCTCTAGGCCGTGGCTAAGTTTCCTGATGGAGTTTGTGGAATGTGTAGAGAAAGGACAACAAATGCTTAGTTTTGGTTTCAGGAGACCTGAGTTGCTGATGAGAAGGCATCTGGGGGACAGTCAGGCGGGCAGACTTTATGCCACTGAAGAGCTGAAAGCCCCGCCAACACTGATGACAAATGAAATGGATGTTGAATGTACTGGTATTTGACCAGTATGAGTTGCTGAGCCCCAGTTTGGCTGGTTATGCCTGCTATAAAATACTGAATTGCAGTGTGTCAATCACATTAGTTGTAGGAGAATTAGATGTGTACACCATATAGAAGTAGCTTAGAGCTATAAGAAAAATCAGGCGTTTGTTGAGATAAGGCATTTTAAAAAGATTTCCGACGCTTTTCAAGATAAGGTTGTGTAGAGGTGAAATTGAGTTTAGAGTGTTGGGAGGAAAAGTGAGGAGATTCTGTGGGGCTTTGTTATTCAAGGGTGCATCAAGGTTCTGCTGTAGAGGTGAAAACTGCCAGGAAGGACCCAGAAACCAGTGTTTGGTATGTGAGGACATCCTCTGTAATGGTCCCAAATGAGAAACGTGTGGACCTGACTTCTCTTTACCAATGGGAGAGCGAGTAAAGAGAATGAGATGCCGTCCTGGCCCCACATTCTGGTTCCTGCCTTCCAGGCCACGCCAGTTCCTGCTAATGCCTTCTGGCCTCTGCTCTTGGGGACCTTTGTATCAGGACTGACTCGCTACTGAAATCATATCTGTCTTTCAAGCGTTGGTCCTTTCTAAACCCTTGCAAATGTGTTAGCAGTGACAGTGCTGGTAGGGAATCTTCCTAGCTCCTAGGAGCAATGCAATTTGATTCTTCACAGCCTCTCTATCTGAATAGCTAACACTCTCTCAGGGGTTGTAAAATTGTTCAGCTCCCGGAAAACCCATTCATGTGAAGCTATCACAAAATTACATCACTTTCATTTGATTTTTGAGTTTTAAATGGACATAATGTTTGAAGCAAACTGTTTCCAAATTTTTTTCCTACCCGCTTTCCTCACCACCGTTTCCAAAACCGGAAGAAGAGTTTCACGGTTTTCGGGGGCTCCTCCATCTCTCATCCTAAGAACTAAGCTTCCCCTCCCAGCATTTCTAGCAGCTAGGCCTTTGTGTTCTTTATCTGCATTTTTAAAGTGGAATGATTCTTAAAACTCTTTTTTCTTGTGTTTTTTTCTTTCATTTCTTTCATTTTTTTTTTTTTTTTGGAGACAGGTTCTCACTCTGCCGCCAAGGCTGGAGTGCAGTGGCTATTCACAGGCGCGATCCTAGCTCACTGCGCCCTTGAACTCCAGGCAATTCTGCCACCTCAGTCTCTGGAGTAGCTGGGACTACAGGTGTGTGCCACCATGCCCAGCTAATTTTTTAATTTTTTCATAGAGATGGAGTCTCTCTCTGTGTTGACCCAGCTGGTCCTGGCCTCAAGCAATCCTCTCACCTTTGCCTCCCAAAGTGATTACAAACATGAGCCACTGTGCCTGGCATCTTTTTTTTTTTTAATTTAATTTCTAAACATTTCGTGTACATTCAGCAACTACTTTACGTAAAATGATCTTTTGGATAATTTTAGTTGACTCATAATTGCTTTTTCCGTTTTCATGTGGAGGAGAGTTTCTTCTTCCTGTAATAAAAATGAGCAGTTTGCACTTATTATGTGAGAGACACTGTTCTAAGGTGCTTTTTTTTAAAAAAACAAACAAACAAACAAACAAACTAGTTTTAATGCAGTTTACCTATTTAAAGGGTAAAATCCAGTCATTTTTAGTATATTTACAAAGTTGTGCAACCCTCACCACAATCAGTTTTAGGACATTCTCATAACCCCAGCAGGAAGCCATATACCTGTTAGCAGTCACTCTCCTTTGCCTATGTCCTTCCCTTACCCCCAAGCAACTAGTAAGCTATTTTCTTTCTCTATTATTTGCCTGTTCTGGACATCTCATATAAATGGCATCATACATATAATGGTATGTGGTTTTTGTGACTGGCCTCTTTCACTTACTGTATGTTTCAAGCTTCATGCGTATAGCACGTGTCAGTATGCATTTCTTTTTCTTCTTGCAGAATAATATTCCATTCTGTGTATATATATATGTATATATATGTGTGTATATGTATATATGTGTATATATGTATATATGTGTATACATGTGTATATGTGTATATATGTGTATATGTGTATATATGTGTGTATGTATATGTGTTATATATGTGTATGTATATGTGTATATATGTGATGTGTGTGTGTGTGTGTGTGTGTGTGTGTGTATGCCACATTTTGTTTTTCCATATTCCATCAGTTGATGGACATTTGTATCATTTGTACCTTTTGGCTATTATGAATAATGATGTTATAAGCATTTGTGTGGACATGTGTTTGTTTGATTTATTTATTTATTTGTTTTTTGAGATGGAGTTTCATTCTTGTTGCCCAGGCTGGAGTGCAATGGTGCGGTCTTGGCTCACTGCAACCTCCGCCTCCTGGGTTCAAGCGATTCTCCTGCTTCAGCCTCCCAAATAGCTGGGATTACAGGTGCCCACCACCATGCCTGGCTAATTTTTTTTGTATTTTTAGTAGAGAAGGGGTTTCACCATGTTGGCCAGGCTGGTCCTGAACTCCTGACCTCAGGTGATCCTGCCTCAGCCTCCCAAAGTGCTAGTATTATAGGTGTGAGCCACTGTGCCTGGCCCATATGTTTTAAATTCTATTATGTGTATGTCTAGGAAGGGGAGTTGCTGGGTCATGTGGTAACTCAACGTTTAACTTTTTCAGAAACTGCCAGATTGTTTTCCAAAGTGGCTGTACCACTTTACATTACTACTAGCAATGAATGCAAGTTCTAATTTCTCTGCATCCTTGTCAATACTTGTTACCTTTTTGATTGTGGCCATCCTGGTGGATGTGACCTGGTGTCTCATTGTAGTTTTGGTTTGCATGTCCCTCGTAGCTAATGATGTGCATCTCTTCATGTGATTATTGTCATCTCTATATTTTCTTTGAAAAAATATCTATTTAGATAGTTACCAATTTTTAAATTGGGTTGTCTTTTTGTCTTTTTATTGTTGAGTTGTAACAGTTTTTTTTTTTTTTTTTGAGACAGAATCTTGCTTTGTCGCCCAGGCTGGAGTGCAGTGGTGTGATCTCGGCTCACTGCAACCCCTGCCACCCGGGTTCGAGCGATTCTCTTGCCTCAGCCTCCTGAGCAGCTGGGATTATAGACACATGCCACCACGCCCGGCTAATTTTTGTATTTTTAGTAGAGATGAGGTTTCACCATTTTGACCAGGCTGGTCTCAAACTCCTGACCTCAGGTGATCCGCCCACCTCGGCCTCCCAAAGTGTTGGGATTACAGGCGTGAGCCACTGCACCTGGCTAGTAACAGTTTTTTATATATTCTATATATGAGTCCTTTGATATATGATTCGCAAAATTTTTCTTTCATTCTGTGTGTTATCTTTTCATTTTCTTGATATGGTGTCCTTTGAAGCCAATACAAGTTTTAAATTTGGATGAAATCCAGTTTATGTTTTCTTTGTTCCTGTGCTTTTGATGTCATATCTACGACTTAAGGTGCTCTATATAAACTTTACACCTAAAGCAATTTAATCTTCACGATTCTAGGAGACAGGTACTGTTGTTATCCCTAGTCTATAAATGGGGAAACTGAGATGCAGGAAGGTTTTCTGACTCGCTGAGGGTCATAGCTAGTAAGTGGTGATGTGGGCATTCAAACTCATGAGTTTGCACCCAGGATTTATCCTCTTAACCACCATACTCTATTGCTTTTTTTAGGGAATCATTTACTGAAAACTATTTGCTTGTTTGATTTCTTGCCCGTTTTTTTTTTTTTTTTTTTTTTTTGTCATGAGGGACCTTATCTCTTCATTCACCTTGCAGAGTTCGGCGTAGGTTTATTTTTGGTCGAATGTAGGCAGAATCATTGCTATCAGTTAATTTCTGCATTACTTACTCTGCAGTGGTGATCACTGCTAGTTGAGCTAACAAAGTCATTTAAGGCTTTTCTGGTCATCACACTAATAAAGGTAGTGTCATGACTACAGAAAGTTCAAAAACAGTATTTGATTGATTCCATTTCGTTAACTAAAGGAAAAAAATCCCCAGTGTTGACACAGATTGTAAGCCTTTCCAGAATACGGTCGTTGTCTTCCTTTTTTTCCTGTTGTTCCCTCGCACAGTGCCTGGCATAGTGCCTCATTGTCCAGCGGATTAGCTAGAGTATGGCGGTCTTCAGTCACTGTGTACAATGACAGAATTTTGACAACAGTATCTGTTGTTTGTTTCACAAGGTAAAAATCATATAGAAATATCTCTCAGATGTATAGAAAAAGCCTGGAATTTTGTAAAGACTTCCAGAAAACAAAAACATACAAAGGTATTTTCACTGCTTTTAGATGTCTTAGACGTATTATGGTTACACAACAGAGTAAATTCGTTAACTAGATTTGACAAGTCATGTAATATTGATTACCTGTCATAATTTAAAATATTCTGGCTCCATTAAAGTAATTAGTGCCCATGAGTAAGCAAAAATAAGCTAACATTTATATGCAGCATGGGGGTAGACTTTATATATATGTGTGTTCATGCATGTATTTCCGTCTTTCAGAGGCTTTGGCAGCTTTTCAACAATATTCTAACTTTAGAATTCTATTTAAAAAATCATCACTGTGGCTAGTGCACTTTGGGCTGAGTTTATCCTGTCTTATGCACAGAATTCCACTGTCTCCTAGGGAAAGGTTTCCTTCCATTATATTGAGTTAATATCTGAATTACAGGAGCTGTGATTTCTTGAACTCCTGGCCTTAAGTGAGCCTCTTGCCTCAACCTCCCAAAACGCTAGGAATTTAGGCGTGATCCACATTACCTGGCTGGGGCTGTAATTTCTAGGCCTTTTCCTCTCCATGTGTTTAAAGTTGACTATCAAATGTGATTTTCCCTTTGTTTGTTGGGTTTTCATTGGTCAACTAGAACTTTTGAAAATGAATTTGTTTTTATATGTTATACAAATTTCCCTAGGAACTTGATGGGTTTTTGCTTTTAAGTTTTCAATTTATGAAAAACTTAAATATACTCTTATTTATAAGTTATTTTTCACTAGATATTTGTTTATCTCTTTATACATTTTTTTAAGCAGTAGGTGTGCATGTTTAAAAAATAACTTATACATGTAACAAACCTGCACATGTACCCCTTGAACATAAAAGTTGGAAAGAAAAAAAAATGTAAAAACAAAATCATGTTTTTTCCTTATTGTAAAAGTCATCTTCATTATAGAGAATTTAGAAAATAAAGGTAAAGAAAATAAATAAATTTAAAAATTACCCATACCTCCCCCACCCCAGGTAGGTTGTAGTAAATTTTGAAATTGGGAAGTGTAAGTCTTCTGAATTTGTTCTTTTCTTCTCAAGATAGTTTTGGTTATTCTGGATCCTTTGAATTTCCGTATGAATTTTAGGATCAGATGGTCATTTTCTACCAAGAATCCAGCTGGGATTTTGATAGAGATTTGATAGAGATTCTCCAAACTGTTGATCAGTTTGGAGAATATTGCCATTTTAAGAAGATTATATCTTGTAATCCATGGACATGGATGTCTTTTCAACATTTACCTTCTTTAATTTTTTTTAGCCAATGTTTTGAGTTTTCAGAACATCATTTTATACTTTTTATGGGGGTTAAATTTTTTGGGTTAAATAAAAAGTATTTTATTCTTTTTCATGCTATTGTAAATGGAATTGTTTTCTTAATTTCATTGTCACATGGTTCATTGCAAGTATATGGAAACACAATTTTTTGTGTATTGGTTTTATATCCTTCAAATTTGTGGAACTCATTTCTTAGCTCTAAAAGTTTTTTAGTGGATTTTTTAGGATTTTCTAGAGGCAGGATCATGTCATCTGAAAAGAGACAGAGTTTTTCATCGTTTCTCTTTTTTTTTTGAGACGGAGTCTCACTCTGTCCCCCGATCTGGAGTGCAGTGGCGCAATCTCGGCTCACTGCAAGCTCCGCCTTCCGGGTTCACGCCATTCTCTTGCCTCAGCCTCCCGAGTAGCTGGGACTATAGGCGCCCGCCACCACGCCCGGCTAATTTTTTTGTATTTTTAGTAGAGACGGGGTTTCACCGTGTTAGCCAGGATGGTTTTGATCTCCTGACCTCGTGATCTCCTTGCCTCGGCCTCCCAAAGTGTTGGAATTACAAGCGTGAGCCACCGCACCCGGCCTCTTCCTTTCTAATTTGGATGACTTGTCTTATCCTTGATTGTAGGGAGAGTCTTTTATCATGAAGCATGATGGTAGCTGTGGGTTTTTCACAGATGCCCTTTATCAGGTTGAGAACATTCCCTTCTATGCCTCGTTTTTTGTTTTGTTTTGTTTTTTTTTTTTTTTTTTTTTTTTGAGACGGAGTCTCACTCTGTCGCCCAGGCTGGAGTGCAGTGGTGCGATCTCAGCTCACTGCAAGCTCCACCTCCGAGGTTCACGCCATTCTCCTGCCTCAGCCTCCCGAGTAGCTGGGACTACAGGTGCCCGCCACCACGCGCGGCTAATTTTTTTGTATTTTCAGTAGAGACGGGGTTTCACCGTGTTAGCCAGGATGGTCTCAATCTCCTGACCTCCTGATCCACCCGCCTCGGCCTCCCAAAGTGCTGGGATTACAGGCGCGAGTCACCGCGCCCGGCCAATTTTGTTGTATTTTTAGTAGAGACGGGGTTTCACCGTGTTAGCCAGGATGATCTCGATCTCCTGACCTTGTGATCCACCCGCCTCCGCCTCCCAAAGTGTTGGGATTACAGGCGTGAGCCACCGCGCCTGGTTAGCCTAGTTTGTTGAGTGCCATCACGAAAGGGTGTTGAATTTATCAAATGCTTTCTTTGTGTCTGTTGAGATGATCATGTGGTTTTGTCCTTTATTCTACTAATTTTCAGACATTAAACTAACCTTAGATTCCTGAGCTGAATCCCACTTGATCATGTTGTATAAACCTTTTTATATCATGCTGGATTCAGTGTGCTAATATTTTATTGAGGATATTTGCATCTGTCTGTCTGTCTGTCTATCTATCTATCTATCTATCTATCTATCTATCTATCTATCTATCTATCTTTTTGAGATGGAGTCTCGCTTTGTCGCCCAGGCTGGAGTGCAGTTGCATATCTCGGCTCACTGCAACCTCTGCCTCCCAGGTTCAAGCGATTCTACTGCCTCAGCCTCCCGAGTAGCTGGGACTACAGGCATGTGCCACTGCTCCCAGCTAATTTTTGTATTTTTAGTAGAGACAGGGTTTTATCATGTTGGCTAGGCTGCTCTTGAACTCCTGACCTCAGTCAGTCCACCTGCCTTGGCCTCCCAAAGTGCTGGGATTACAGGCGTGAGCCACTGCGCCCGGCCTTGCGTCTATATTCATAAGAAATGTGGATCTGTAGTTTTCTTTTGATGTCTGTTTCTGGTTTTGGTATTAGGGCAACATTAGCCTCATATAATGAATTGGTTAACGTTCCTTCCTCTTATGTTTTCTGGAATAGTTTATGAAGAATTGGTGTTAATTTGTCCTTAAATATTTGGTAGAATTCACCATTGAAGACAGCTGTACCTGGCCTTTCTTTATTTTTATTTTTTATTATACTTTAAGTTCTGGGATACACGTGCAGAATGTGCAGGTTTGTTATATAGGTATACACGTGCCATGGTGGTTTGCTGCACCCATCAACCCGTCATCTACATTAAGTATTTCTCCTAATGCTGTCCTTCCCCTAGCCCCCCATTCCCTGACAGGCCCTGGTGTGTGATGTTCCCCTCCCTGTGTCCATGTGTTACCATTGTTCAGCTCCCACTTATGAGTGAGAACATGTGGTGTTTGGTTTTCTGTTCCTGTGTTAGTTTGCTGAGAATGATGGTTTCTAGCTGCATCCATGTCCCTGCAAAGGACATGAAGTCATCCTTTTTTATGGCTGCATAGTATTCCATGGTGTATATGTGCCACATTTTCTTAATCCAGTCTATCATTGTTGGACATTTGGGTTGGTTCCAAGTCTTTGCTATTGTGAACAGTGCTGCAATAAACATACATGTACATGTGTCTTTATAGTAGAATGATTTATAATCCTTTGGGTATATACCCAGTAATGGGATTGCTGGGTCAAATGATATTTCTGGTTCTAGATCCTTGAGGAATCGCTACACTGTCTTCCACAATAGTTGAACTAATTTACACTCCCACCAACAGTATAAAGGCATTCCTATTTCTCCACATCCTCTCCAGCATCTGTTGTTTCCTGACTTTTTAATGATCGCCAGTCTAACTAGCGTGAGATGGTATCTCATTGTGGTTTTGATTTGCATTTCTCTAATGACCAGTGATGATGAGCTTTTTTCGTATGTTTGTTGGCCGCATAAATGTCTTCTCTTGAGAAGTGTCTGTTCATATCCTTCGCCTTTGCTTACTTTTTGATGGGGTTGTTTTTTTCTTGTAAATTTGTTTAAGTTCTTTATAGATTCTGGATATTAGCCCTTTGTCAGATAGATTGCAAAAATTTTCTCCCATTCTGTAGGTTGCCTGTTGACTCTGAAGATAGTTTCTTTTCCTGTGTAGAAGCTCTTTAGTTTAATTAGATCCCATTTCTCAATTTTGGCTTTTGTTGCCACTGCTGTTTTAGTTATGAAGTCTTTGCCCATGCCTGTGTCCTGAATGGTATTGTCTAGGTTTTCTTCTAAGATTTTTATGATTTTAGGTCCTACGTTTAAGTCTTTAATCCATCTTGAGTTAATTTTTGTATAAGGTGTAAGGAAGAGGTCCAGTTTCAGTTTTCTGCATATGGCTAGCCAGTTTTCCCAACACCATTTATTAAATAGGGAATCTTTTCCTCATTGCTTGTTTTTGTCAGGTTTGTCAAAAATCAGATGGTTGTAGATGTGTGGCGTTATTTCTGAGGCCTCTGTTCTGTTCCATTGGTCTATATATCTGTTTTGGTACCAGTACCATGCTGTTTTGGTTACTGTAGACTTGTAGTATAGTTTGAAGTCAGGTAGCGTGATGCCTCCAGCTTTGTTCTTTTTGTTTAGGATTGTCTTGGCTATTTGGGCTCTTTTTTGGTTCCATATGAAATTTAAAGTAGTTTTTTAAAATTTTGTGAAGAAAGTTAATGGTAGCTTGATGGGGATAGCATTGAATCTATAAATTACTTGGGGCAGTATGACCATTTTCATGATATTGATTCTTCCTATCCATGAGCATGGGATGTTTTTCCATTTGTTTGTGTCCTCTTTTATTTTGTTGAGCAGTGGTTTATAGTTCTCCTTGAAGAGGTCCTTCACATCCCTTGTAAGTTGTATTCCTAGGTATTTTATTCTCTTTGAAGCAATTGTGAATGGGAGTTCACTCATGATTTGGCTCTCTGTCTATTATTGTGTCCCTGGCTTTTCTTTCTGGGAGATTTTTTGATTATTGATTCAATCACTTTACTTGTTATGGGTCTATTTAGATTTTCTAGATCTTCTTGAGTTGGGTTTAGTAGTTTGTGTCTTTCTGGGAATTTGCCCAACTCATCTAAATTAGATAATTCATTGGTGTATAATTGTTCATAATATTGTCTTACAATTTATTTATGTAAGGTTGGTAGTAATGTCTATTCTTTAAGCTCTGATTTTAGTAACTTGATTCTTCTCTCTTCTTAGCTAGTTCATAATTTTGTGGTTGTTTTAAGAATGAACTTTGGTTTTTGTTGACTTTTCTCTATTGTTTTTCAATTCCCCCTTTCATTTATTTCTGCTCTAATCTTTATTTCCTTCTTTCTGTTTGCTTTGAATTTAATTTTCTCTTCTTTTTCTAGTTTCTTAGGTTGTTGACATGAGCTCTTTCTTCTGGTTTAAGAGACAGGGTCTTGCTCTGTCGCCCAGGGTAGAGTGCAATGGTACAGTCATAGTTCACTATAGTCGTCTCCTGTGCTCAAGTGATCCTTCAGCTTCGGCCTCTGAGTAGCTAGGACTTCAGGTATGCACCATGCCTGCCTACTTTTTAAATTTTTGTAGAGATGGGGTCTCTCTATGTTACCAAGCCCGGTCTTGGACTCCTGGCCTCAAGTGATCTTCTCACCTCTGCTTCCCAAACTTCTGGGATTATAGATGTGAGCCACTGCACCTGGCCTGTTTTTAAAAAATGTAAGTATTTATAGCTACAAATTGCCCTCTATGCACTGCTTTTGTGGCATATCATTTTTAGTATATTATGGCTTTTTTTTCAGCTCAAAGTATTCTTTTTCTTTTCTTTTTTTTTGTGTGACAGAGACTCACTCTGTCACCCAGGCTGGAGTGCAGTGCCATGATCTCGGCTCACTTGCAACCTCCACCTCCTGGGTTCAAGCTATTCTCCTGCCTCAGCTTTCCGAGTAACTGGGATTACAGGCGTGCACCACCACGCCCGGCTAATTTTTTGTATTTTTAGTAGAGATGGGGTTTCACCATGTTGGCCTAGGTCATCTTGAACTCCTGACCGCAAGTGATCTGGCCACCTTGGCCTCCTAAAATGCTGGGATTATAGGTGTGAGCCACTGTACCTGGCCAGTTTTCAGCTCAAAGTATTTTTTTTCCAATTATTTTTATTTTTATTTTCTTCTTCTTATTTTTAGACAAGGTTCTACTCTGTTGCCCAGGCTGGAGTGCAGTGGCGATTACAGCTCACTGCAGCCTAGAATTCCTGGGCTCAAGAGATCCTCCTGCTTTCGCCTCCCAAGTAGCTGAGACTATAGGCACATGACATCATACCCAGCTAATCAAAGTATTTTCTAATTTCTAGGCCAGGCGTGGTGGCTCATGCCTGTAATCCCAGTACTTTGGGAGGCTGAGGCAGGCAGATCATTTGAGGTCAGGAGTTCAAGACCAGCCTGGCCAACATGGTGAAACCCCATCTCTACTAAAAATACAAAAATTAGTTGGGCATGTTGGCACGTCTGTAATCCCAGCTCCTGGGGAGGCTGAGGCAGGAGAATTGCTTGAACCTGGGAGGCAGAGGTTGCAATGAGCCAAGATCGCACCACTGCACTCCAGACTGGGGGACAGAGAGAGAACCTGTCTCAAATTAAAAAAAAAAAGTGTTTTCTAATTTGTCTTGTGATTTCTTCTTTGACCCATTGGTTATTTAGCTGTGTGCTATTTAATTTCCAAGTATTTGTGAATTCCCCAAATTTCATTCTGTTGTTGATATCTAAAATAGTTCTGTTATAAAAAAAGAATTCTGTTGTGGTTGGAGAACACATTTAAATGATTTCAGTTATTTATTTGTTTATTTATTCATTTATTTTGAGACAGGGTCTCTCTCTGTCACCCAGGCTGGAGTGCAGTGGCATGATCATGGCTCATTGCAGCCTCAACCTCTCAGGCTCAAGCAATCCTTCCATCTCAGCCTCTAAAGTAGCTGGGACTACAGGGCCATGACACCATGCCTGGTTAAGTTTTAGATTTTTTGTAGAGTTAGGATCTCACTATGTTGCCCATGCTGGTCTCGAACTCCTAGGCTCAAGTGATCTTCCTGCCTTAGCCTCCCAAAGTGCTGGGATTTTTGGTGTAAGTCACTGCTCCTGGCCTTCTTTTTATTTTTATTTTTTAAAAATTTCTACTGTAGAATATTTTTTGGTCATGCTTCCTTTATCTTCTTTCAGCTTGCTTAAAAACCACAACTTCTTCATATTTCTTCTTGGGTCAATTTCCCTTTAATTCTTTTGATGATGTATCTCCAGTCTTATTCCAGAATTTTTATGTTCCTGGGGAAGAAAAAGAATCAGACCTTCCTTCAAGACTTGGTTCCTTACTGGGTATATACCCAAAGGACTATAAATCATGCTGCTATAAAGACACATGCACACGTATGTTTATTGCGGCACTATTCACAATAGCAAAGACTTGGAACCAACCCAAATGTCCAACAATGATAGATTGGATTAAGAAAATGTGGCACATATACACCATGGAATACTATGCAGCCATAAAAAATGATGAGTTCATGTCCTTTGTAGGGACATGGATGAAATTGGAAATCATCATTCTCAGTAAACTATCGCAAGAACTAAAAACCAAACACCGCATATTCTCACTCATAGGTGGGAATTGAACAATGAGAACATATGGACACAGGAAGGGGAATATCACACTCTGAGGACTGTTGTGGGGTGGGGGGAGGGGGGAGGGATAGCATTAGGAGATATACCTAATGCTAAATGACGAGTTAATGGGTGCAGTACACCAGCATGGCACATGTATACATATGTAACTAACCTGCACATTGTGCACATGTACCCTGAAACTTAAAGTATAAAAAAAAAAAAAAAAGACTTTGTTCTTCAGTAGGTGTCTGGCAGCTGTCAGTAAAGCCAAAGGCTGGCCTGACGCTTATGTTCCTTTCATCATGGTGTCCAGATGATGACTATTTATTTATTTATTATTATTTTTTTTGAGACAGTCTCGCTTTTGTTGCCCAGGCTGGAGTGCAATGTGTGATCTCAGCTCACTGCAACCTCTGCTTCCCTGGTTCAAGCGATTCTCTTGCCTCAGCCTCCTGAGTAGCTGGGATTACAGGCATGTGCCACCACACCCAACTAATTTTTGTATTTTTAGTAGAGATGGGGTTTCACCGTGTTGGCCAGGCTGGTCTTGAACTCCTGACCTCAGGTGATCTACCTGCCTCGGCCTCCCAAAGTGCTGGGATTACAGACGTGAGCCACCGTGCCCGACCCGGGTGGTGACTTTTTAATTATTGCACACACTGCTGTGGCAGTGGATTCCCCGTGCCCAGCTCAGCACCTGACACTTAGCGAGTGTTATGAGTGTGTAAGTGATGAAGTGACTCATTCTGCTCATGGCCTATGTCCTTTCCTTTCCTTTTTCCTTTCCTTTCCCAGACACAAAGACCAGTGGATCATGGCCTATGATCTTAATTTGTAATTTATCTTCCCCATTTTCATTTCATTTATATTCCCAGTTGTATATGTTTTAGCGCTTTTGTCTTTACGAAATACATCCTGTTTTTAATATAATAGAATTGTTTTGTAGCTTAATGAGTTTACTGTAATTCTAATTTTTTTAAACTGTTGATTTTGAAATAATTTAAAACTTATAAATCTTATAAAAGAGTGGTAAAGATAATTCTGATGTACTCTTCACCCGTATTTCCCAGTTGTTATCATTTGCTTTATTATTTGATCTCTGTGCATATACAAAGTTTTTTTTGAGCGATTTGACAGTGAGTTGCAGACCTGAGGCCCTGTCCTGAATACCTCGGTGTGCATTTCCTAAGGACAAGGTCATTCACATAAACAGTACAGTGATTAAAATCAGAGAATTTAACGTTGATGCATTCAATACCTTTATCTACCCCCCAGACCTTATTTGCATTCCACCAGCTGTTCCAATACAGCAGTTCTATTTCCTGATGCGGGATCCAGTCCAGGATCACACACGGCATTTAGTGTTTATGGCACTTAGTATCGTCTCAGCCTATCTTCGTTTTTCATGATAATTGATATTTCTGAAGAATGCAGGCCATTTATTTTGTGGAATGTTCTCACTTTGTGTTTGCCTGAAGTTGCTTTTTGATTATGAGGTTTTGCATTTTGGCAGGGCAGAAGGAGGGGTCAAGTGATCCATCATGCATTAAATCAGAGGCACATGAGGTTCATTTGTCCCATTACTGGTGAGGCTAACTTTGATAATTGGTTAAAGTGGAGTCTGATGGAGTTTTCCACTGTAAAGTTACTATTTTTCTCGATGTAAATAATAAGTAATTTGTGGGAAATAGTTTGAGACTGTATACATCTTGTTTGTCATCACACTTTCACCCACTGGTTCTGGCTGATTCAGTGAAGAGTTTCACCTGAGTCAGTTATTACTGTGCTGGCTGCCAAATGGCGATTTTCTTGCTTCATCATTCCTTATGTGTTTATTCGCATTTTACTATAAGCAGGAGCTTTTTTTTTCTTTTCTCCTTCTTTCTTTCCATCCATCCACTTATTGTTATGGACTTATGGATCATTATTTTTTTAGTAGGTTCTAATCCATTGCTATTATTCTTTATTTTGTAGCTCATTGGCTAGATTTGGCCAATGGAAGCTCTTCAAGCTGATTCTTAAAACCTTTTGACATGTTCCTCAATCAGTTATTGAACATATGTTTACTTTCAGGCTCAAGATATTTTAGGTTCAGGCCGGGCACGGTGGCTCATACCTGTAATCCCAGCACTTTGGGAATTTGAGGCAGGCAGATCACCTGAAGTCAGGAGTTCAAGACCAGCCTGGCCAACATGGCAAAACCCCGTCTCTACTAAAAATACAAAAATTAGCTGAGCGTGGTGGTGGGTGCCTGTAGTCCCAGCTACTTGGGAGGCTGAGGCAGGAGAATCGCTGGAACCTGGGAGGCGGAGGTTGCAGTGAGCCAAGATTTCGCCACTGCACTCCAGCCTGGGCGACAAGAATGAGACTCCATCTCAAAAACATAGAAAGATATTTTAGGTTCATTTTGTACTTTCCCTGTTCCAGCTCTGGAATCGGACGTTTTTCTAAGGAGTTTTAGTTTCTTTTGTTGGAAAGTGGTATTTAGAAACCAAGGTCTGGTCACTAAGCATGCTCATTGCTCCTAAGGTTCATTGATTCTAGGCCCTTTGAGAAGTTCTACTGTTATGTCAAGTTCATACTAACTAACTAACAAAACCCGTACCTAGAGTTAGAGTTCAAGGATTGGTTGTGGTTCTTTTGGTTATTTATCCTTGGTCATGATACCAAGGATAAATACACAGGGTGCTGCAGTCAGAGGTTACTTGAATTTGTCCTTTAATGCTTCCTGTCAGTGTGATTATGTTATTTGAAATGTAATTATTGCTGTTTATATATCATTAATGAGTTTCCCCATCTTTGCTGATTTTTAAAATCTTTTTTCCTTTTTTTATTTTTACAGTTCTTTGAGTTGCTGTTTTATATTTCTAAATCTATATAATTTTTTTTTTTTTTGAGACAGTCTCGCTCTGTCACCCAGGCTAGAATGCAGTGGTACAGTCTCAGCTCACTGCAAGCTCTGCCTCCTGTGTTCACGCCATTCTCCTGCCTCAGCCTCCCGAGTAGCTGGGACTACAGGTGCCCGCCACCACGCCTGGCTAATTTTTTGTATTTTTAGTAGAGATGGAGTTTCACCATGTTAGCCAGGATGGTTTTGATCTCCTGACCTTGTGGTCCGCCCGCCTCGGCCTTCCGAAGTGCTGGGATTACAGGCGTGAGCCACTGCGCCCGGCCTTTTTTTTTGTTGTTGTTTTATTTTTGAGATGGAGTCTTGCTCTGTTGCCCAGGCTGGAGTGCAGTGGCATGATCTTGGCTCACTGCAATCTCTGCTTCCCGGGTTGAAGCAATTCTTGTGCCTCAGCCTCCTGAGTAGTTGGGACTACAGGCGCATGCCACCATGTCTGGCTAAATTTTGTATTTTTAATAGAGCTGGGGTTTTACCATGTTGGCCAGGCTGGTCTTGAACTCCTGGCCTCAGGCGATCTGTCTGCCGCAGCCTCCTAAAGGGCAGGGCTTACAGGCATGAGCCATTGCGCCTGGTCAAATCTATATAAAATGTTAATATGATTCCAAAAATCAAAACTATATAAAAAGGGTTACCCAGAGAAGTGCCACTTCCTCTCCTATTTTTTTTTTTTTTTTTTTTTTTTTTTTGGAGACAAGGTCTCATGCCCTCACCCAGGCTGGAGTGCAGTGGCATGATCACAGCTCACTGCAGCCTTGGCCTTCTGGGCTCAAGCAGTCCTCCTGCCTCAGCCTCCCAAGTAGCTGGGAATCACAGGCGTGTGCCACCATGCCTGGCTAATTTTCATGTGTTTTTTTGTGGAGATGGGATTTTGCCACGTTGATCAGGCTAGTCTTGAACTCTTGGGCTCAACCCAGGAGCCTTCCTTGGCCTCCCAAAGTGCTGGGGTTATAGGTGTGAGCCACTGCGCCCAGCGCCTCTCCTATTCTTTCCACCTCATTTCCCTACCCTTATATCATTTGTTCCTGGCCTTTTCTTCTTCTTATTTTTTAAATAAACACATTAATGTTCTTAATTCTTTTTCTTGTGCAAAAGGTAAGATATTACATATATTCTTTTGTACTTGGTGTTTTTTGTTCTATTTTGGTTGCTAATGTATCCTGGAGATCAGTCCATATCAGCTTATGGAGATCTTTCTCATCCACTTTCACAGCTGCGTGGCACACTAAGTGTGCAGGTACCGGGTTTTATTTCACCACTCTTCTGCATGTGGATGTTTGATTGTTTCCAGTGTTTGGGAGTTACAGATAATATATCAGCAAATCACATTGCATAGGTATGTTTCTGTACTGTTGAAGGTGTGTCTTCAGTGTAAATTCCTAGAAGTGGAATTACTGGGTCAAAAAGTAAACATAAATGTAGTGTTACTAGATCCTGCCAAAGTCTTCTTCATAAAGGCCGCATCATTCGCACTCACAGTAGCAGTGCATGCGAGTGTTTTCTACATATATACACCAACACTGTGTGTTGTCAGGCTTTTAACATTTTTGCCAACTAGATACGTGACAAATGGCATCTCTTACCATTAATGAAGTTGAATATCTTTTTAAATGCTTAAGGGTCATTTTTATGTTTTTCTTTTATGAATTATCTGCCCAAATCTTTTGGCCATTTTTTTTTTCTGTTGGATTTTTAGTTGTGTTTTTCTTTTTCAACTTTTGTGACCTTGATGTATGTGGAATTAGCCGTTTGTGATATATGTTGCATATATTTTTAAATCAGATTATCATTTATGTTTTGCTGTGTTTATAGTAATTTTGCTGAGTTTTTATGTGGTTGAATATATTAGTCTTTTATTGCGTTTAGGTTTGTGTGATAGAGAGCCTTTTCCTTTGTCCAGGTTTTAGAGGAATTTACCTGTGTTTTTTGAACTATGGTTTTCTGTTTTACATTCAGATCTCAGATCCATTTGGAGTTTACTCTTGTGTCTCCTGTGAGGTGTGGGTTTGATTTTTTTTTTTTTTTTTTCCAAATGGCCACTCAGGTGTCCCAGACCATTATTAAAAAGTCCATCTTGGCCCCAGTGATTCCAGGCACTGTGTCCTGGTGCTGGAGGACTCGATCCCACCCTGTGGCTTATGGATGCCTTGTCTTCCTGCCATTCCTCTGCAAAATAAAGCCTACAGTGCCCACGTAGCAGGGTTTTTGCTTTGTAGTTGGACAGCAGATGTTAGTGACCCAGGCTGGTGCTAGCCTGTTAGCCATTGCTGAAATTATTGCCACACTGGTTCTTGGTGTATCTAAGCCCTTTTTGTGCTTCTCTCTAGGAGAGAAAGGCAAACCTTTCTCAAGCGGCATCCATCTCTGCTGTCTTCCTTCTTTTTTTTGCTTTATCTTATGTGTATGTCTGGGTTTCCAGTTTTGTGCCTTGTATACAGTCTTGTGTGGTAGCAGCTCAGTACCTATCTCTTTAGTGAATGATGAAAGCATTGTTGGGCTGATACTTGAGAACCTTTTTGGTGGTGCCTTTTTCAACCTTCCCCCCTCCCCGTGACTTCTCATCCATGCTCTTTCTTTGTCTCTCCTCCCATCTGGGTCTTAGCCTCCTGTGGCATTGATTTTCCTGCCTGTAATCTACAGGCTATGGGTCTTGATGGCTCTGGTCCACTAGTTCATGATGACATCTCATACGGGCTGTCACAACTTTACAGATGTCAAGAAAGATCAAATCTATGGCTTACTAGTGTTTCTAGAACTTATTAGTCTTTTGTTGAATGAAATTAAATTGGTCTGACCCACTAAGCTCTCTTGGGAGCGATGCTCTTGTTATTTTCCTATGGTTTATATTTTTCTTGGTTGCTCCACATAGAAATTTTTCCTCTAGCCTTGATGTTGAAATTAAGTTTATCAGCTAGACGCAGTGGCTCACACCTGTAATTCTAGCACTTTGGGAGGTCGAGTTGGACAGATCGCTTGAGGTCAGGAGTTCAAGACCAGCTTGGCTAACATGGTGAAACCCCATCTCTACTAAAAATACAAAAATTAGTGGGGCTTGCTGGTGGGTGCCTGTCATCCCAGCTACTTGGGAGGCTGAGGCAGGAGAATCACTTGATTGTAGCGAGGAGGGGGGTTGTAGCGAGCTGAGATCGTGCCACTGCACTCCAGTACCACTGCACTCCAGCCTGGGTGACAGAGAGAGAGACTCTGTTTCAAAGAAAAAAGAAATTAAGTTGATCAAATTAGCCCTCATGACTGGAGATGCCCTTTCTTTAAAAGGTGGAGGGAGCACTTGTTCCTTCTCCGTCGGGGGGATTTCCCTCTTATGCTTTGATCATTTACTCCTCAGAGAAGAGATGAGATACCATGTGAAGAATGAAAAACCCACCTCATTCTGACCCGCCCCCCCCCACCATTTCTCCAAGGGAAAAAAAGAGAGTAAAACTCAACAATGTGAAGATAATTCATTATAGCTAATGAAATAAATCAAGACTCCTTGTCACTTATTAAATATTAACTTATGCTAGAAACAAATGTATTATAAGCATGAAAAGCACACAAAGCACTACACTTCTGTCGTTAAGAACATAGGCCCAAGATGGCCTCCTACTTGGGGTCACCAGCTCTGTAATTGTGAGAACTAGTAAGGAGATTTAATCTCTGTAGGATCTTGTCTCCTCCCCTGCAGAGATGGGGTACACTAAGAATACTCTCATAGAGTTGCTGTAGATGATGACACGTGTGGATGTTCCTGACGTAGGTCCTGCTTCCGCTGAGTGTGAAAAAATGTCGCTTTTGCCCCTATGGCATTATAACAACCTGTGTGAATGCTCACTGCTCGAAGGGGTGCCTGGTACCTGGGGGATGGAGTTCTCAATTCTCTACCCACAGTTTATGTCACCGGGTCGTGCTGATTTGGATCTATTCTTTAAAAAGTGCATATTTGAGATATATTTTTCCAAGCATGCCCTTTTCTATTATCATTTATAGTTCTTCCCTCTTGTCTCTTGCTGTGATTTTCACAAAATCAGCAGGAAACAAAGTCCTAAACCACCTGCCTCTCCACAGTTCTGTTACAGTTCTTTCTTCCCTCACCAGAAGAGGATTTTGCACATGAAATGCTTCGTTCTCCTTTTCTTAGAGTTCTCCTTCCATCTGTCCATCCATCTCTCCACTTACCTGTTTATTCTTCTGTCTTGTTCCAAAAAACCTTTTGAGGCAGCTTACAGAATTAGAGAACAAACAATAAGCAGATGAAAAAACTGGACCAAGATTAGAAAACAAGGGTAAGAAGTGAGCTGCACAGGGGATGAGGGCAGTGTGAGATGCACGTCTTTGGCCTTGTGAGGTTATACAGATGGGTGGCAGGCTCATCCCTGAGCCTCCCAACAGTGCAAGGGAAACAGGATTTGTGGGAGATGCTCACTCTCTGTAAGCTAAACAAGTGGTTTCATAGAAGCCCAGCTTTCCCTGCTATTGAGATTTAGGAGAATATTTTTTGAGTGTTCTGTGAAGTCAATGAATATTTTATCTTTATTTTTTTTCTGCCAGAGTTCTCTGTTTAGTTGGTTATATTCTTTAAATGGAAGTTGCTCCAAAATGCTTGTCCATGTGGGTTTGGTGGCTGGGGAATCAGATGCTTCTGCTTATTGATAGGAGTTGGTCAGAAATAGAAAAAGGCATAGAAAGCATACTATCATTTATAATTTTTTTTTTCAATGCCGTGTGGTTCAGAAAATGCTTTTGCGTAGTTGACCTCCTTTGAGGATGCGGGGTGGTTTCTTGCTAACATGAAGAGCTTCAAGCTATGAGAGAATGTGTGCTGACTTCACCATTGCCTTCAAGACAATTGAGCTAGTTACTGTAAATATGTTACTTTTATGTAATGCATTTCATGTTCTTCAATAAAAAATTTCAAAAGGGAGGAAAACTTATTTTGAGTTAACCAACATTTAATACAATGCTTTGATAGCAAGGCTATTATAGGAAGCATATAAGCTGTGAAGACTAAACACTTACATTATTTAAATTTCAGTAGGGCATATTTAAGTTTTGTCTTATTCATGCTCCTCTTTAACAAAGAAATAATACAGAAAAAGCAAAAGATTATTTCTTTTCTTCCTCTTGGTTTGCAGGTGCCCTCACCACCAATGGCATCAACCCTGACACCAGTACTGAGATCGGACGTGCTAAGAACTGCCTTAGCCCTGAAGACATAATTGACAAGTATAAAGAGGCGATTTCCTATTACAGCAAGGTGATTTTATGGCTTTGTGATTTTTTTTACACAGTTGTGTTGTTTAATCAGAAGTTTCCATTTTACATTGTGTAATGCTGCAGTGTCTCTTAATTATTTATTTCTGTAAGTATTCATGTCTTGCTCTCTAATGCATAGTACTATATGCCTAAAATGTTTTCTTTTTCTGATTCAAAACAGTGTAGGTTTAGTATAATAAATTTGGAAAAGAGAGAAAAAAGGCTCTCATGGCCTGCGTACTCACAGATAATGATTGTTAATATTTTATATCTATTTTCTGGTTCTTTTATCAATGTATATTATTTATATTTTAAGAAATGGAGCATACTTATGTACTGTGTGGTGACCCATTTTAGTCTGTGTTTTCTATGCTGTTGAAATCTTCCAAGGCATAATTTTCAGTGACCTGTAGAGCATTCCATCTTATGGAGGCACCCTTCTTTTTAGTTTGGATTGAAAACAATTTTGCATTCCAAATGTACTTACTAAAATACTGGAAAAGAAAAGTTGTGCCGAAGAGTGGCATCAAGTAAAAAAATGAAAGTCCTCTACCTCCTCTACTCTTATTAACAACTTGGTTTATTATCAACAACTTGGTCCATAGCCTCCATGACCTTTATGCCTATGAGACACACACACACACACACACACACACACACACACACACGCATGCTCACACACACGTGCACACATGCACTTACACGCGCATGCTCACACCCGCACACAGGCACGTACACACGCATGCTCACACACATGCACATACACACATGTTCACACACACATACATACAAGCATGCTCACACACGCACACACATGCACGTACACACATGCTCACGCGTGCACACATGCATGTACACACATGCTCACATGTGCGCACACATGCACGTACACACACATGCTCACATACACGCGCACATCTTATTTATGAAAATGGGATCATAGTATGTTATTCTGCACTTGCTTTACCCACTCAGCAGTATCTCATAGACCACAGGTGTACTCTCGCCTCCGGACCTGCTTGCTTCTTTCAGAGCATGTGGAAAGGTTTTCTAAAATCCTGCTTGCTTCTTTCAGAGAGTGTGGAAAGGTTTTCCAAAATGTGGATGTAGTCATGTATTCATCAAGACATTTTGTGAGACATGCTCATAAACAGCACCTAGAACAAGATGAAATGCCTGCTCTTAAGATTTCACAGCTTGCCTTAATTTGCTTAATTATTCTCTCGTGGATGGATACTTAGGCTTTCTCACTTTTTCACCGTGAATTAGAAAAAATGCTTTACTGAACATTTTTGCCCCTATATTCTTGTGTTCTTGTATCCTTATTCCTTTAGGTTCAATTTTTCTAGAAATTTATCCTGGATATGATATTAACATTTATCATAGGTTATGTTCAAGTTACTCTCCAAATTCCTCCTCTGATAGAGAGTGAAAAGATGTAGAATTATTTATTTCACCAATCCTGTTACTGATTATTATTTATTTCTGTTTTTTCTTCCCCCTATTGTAAACAGTTCTCTGATAAATGCCCCTATGCATACATCTTTTTGGATTGATTTTTTTTAAGGGAACAATTCCTAGAAGTTGACTTGAGTTAAAGAGTATATGTTTTTTTTGGCATGGTACAGTGGCTCACGCCCGCCAGTAATTCCAGCACTTTGGGAGGCTGATATAGGCAGATTGCCTGAGCTCAGGAGTTTGAGACCACCCCGGGCAACATGGTGAAACCCTGTCTCTACTAAAATACAAAAAATTAGCCAGATGTGGTGGTGTGCACCTGTAGTCCCAGCTACTCGGGAGGCTGAGGCTCAAGAATCACTTGAGCCCTGGAGGCGGAAGTTGCAGTGAGCCGAGATCACACCACTGCACTGCAGCTTAGGCTACAGAGTGAGACTCCGTCTCAAAAAAAAAAAAAAGTATACTTTTCTTAAAGTGTTATATATTCCTGTATTGTCCTCCAAAAAGGTTATTAACAATTTACTCCTCCATAAACAAACACTAGCTATTATTTTTGAAAAATATTTGCCAATACAGCTGAGTGCATTGGCTCATGCCTGTAATCCCAGCACTTTGGGAAGCCTAGGTGGGTGGGTCACTTGAGGCCAGGAGTTTGGCATTATGCTTAGAAATATCTTTTTTTTTTTTTATGGAGACAGAGTCTCGCTCTGTTGCCCAGGCTCGAGTGTAGCAGCATGATCTGGGCTCACTGCAACCTCCGCCTCCTGGATTCAAGTGATTCTCCTGTCTTAGCCTCCTGAGTAGCGGGACTACAGGTGCGAGCCACCATGCCCGGCTAATTTTTTATATTTTTAGTAGACACAGAGCTTCACCATGTTGGCCAGGCTGGTCTCGAACTCCTGACCTCAAGTGATCTGCTCACCTTGGCCTCCCAAAGTTCTGGGATTACAGGCGTTGGCCACTGCACCTGGCCTGCTTAGAAATACTTTCTTAATGATAGAATAAAACTCTTTTCCTTAGTTTTTTAATCTCTAAAATGAGGATGATAACAGTACCCATCATCTCATAGAGCTGTAGTTAAGATAAGCTGAGATAATCTATGCAAACATATATCTGTATTCACCGTTATTAGCATTTAAAATATTTTTATAATTATCTAATTATCTGTAATTTATTTTGTGTGTATTATGACATAAGAATACAATTTATTTTTTCCAGGTCATTACCTCATTGTCGCACCACAATGTATTGAATTCATATTTTTTTCTTTTTGATTTGAATTCTTACCTGTACTAAATACTTTCACATATTAACTTTTCATTCCTTTCTATGAATCTTTCTTTTCTTCAGCACCATATTTTATCTATTTTAGTAGTTTACTTGATATCTAAGAGTGTTTCTTTCTTTCTTTCTTTTTTTTTTTTGAGACAGGGTTTTGTTCTGTTGCCCAGGCTGGAGTGCAGTGGCGTGATCACGGTTCATTGCAGCCTTTATCTCCCAGGTTCAGGTGATCCCCCCACCTCTGGCTTCCTGTGTGCTGGGACTACAGGTGTGCAACACCATGCCCAGCTATTTTTTTTGTATTTTTTGTAGAGATGGGGTTTTACCATGTTGCCCAGGCTTGTCTTGAACTTCTGGCTCAAGCAATCTGCCTGCTTCGGGCCTCCCAAAGTGCTGGGGTTACAGGCGTGAGCCACTGCACCCACCCATTTTTTTTTTTTTGAGACAGGGTCTTGCTCTGTTGCCCAGTCTGGAGTGCAGTAGCATGATCACAGCTCACTGTAACCTCAAAATCCTTCACTCAACCAATCCTCCCACCCTCATCCTCCTACCTCACTTGGCCTCACTCAGATGACCAAGTAGCTGTAACTACAGGTGCATCCCACCGCACCTGGCTAATTTTTTATTTTTTATTTGTAATGACAGGGTCTGTCCATGTTGCCCAGGCTTGTCTGGAACTCCTGGCCTGAAGCAATCCTCCCACCATGGCCTCCTGAGACGCTGCGATTACAGGCCTAAGCCACTACACATAACCTCCCAGAATAAAACATATTGAAAGCCCCATCAAAACTCCAGTCTGTTTTTTTTTAACTTGAACAAATTATTTTAGAATTTTTGAGGAATAATATATTAATCATACTGGCCATGAAAATTTGGATGGTAGGAAAGAATTAATTAAAAAAAAAAAAAAAGAGGTTGAGTGCAATGGCTCATGCCTGTAATTCCAGCACTTTGGGAGGCTGAGGTGGGAGGATCACTTGAGCTCAGGAGTTCCAGACCAGCCTGGGTAACATGGCAAAACCCCGCCTCTACAAAATATACAAAAAAATTAGCCGGGTGTGGTGGTGCACACCTGCTGTCTCAGGTACCAGTGAGGCTGAAGTGGGAGGATCACCTGAGCCTGGGAGATTGAGGCTACGATGAGCTGTGATCAAGCAACTGCACTCCAGCCTGGGCAACAGAGCAAGACTCTGTCTCAAAAAAAAATAATTTTTCATGATTTCATTTTAAATCTCTTTGTAATATACATTAAAATATGTAAATTTAACCAAAAATATGTGGGAAAAATTTGTGATGACTTTTATTCTCACGTCAATAGAAACTGTTTTAAGAGATTTGAAGGAAAAATGGCATTTCCATAGAATCAAGTCCCTGTGTTAGTTTTTTCTTGTGTCATGAAACAGTATATACAATTGATAGATTTCTGACTTCATTGTTGGTATTTAAGCAGGTATAAGTAGCTCCTTTTTCTGATCGTCTGTGATAACTTATATTTAATATAACAGATTACATGTACATTATATGTGTGGAAAAGGGGAGGAATGAAGCCTACCCTTTCTGACATAGTAATTATAAAACTGCTTGTCCCACCTTGTACATGATTTTAGTGAGAAAGATAACCAGTTGCGCCTTTGCTTCTTCATGATTGGTAAATAGACTGCATGTTCATTAGCAGTGATGCCACACCAGGCCACTAGTGGGTCTCAGCAAAGGCTTGTCGATTATATGCATTGGTTTTCACATGACCTAATGCCCCAGCAAAAGAATATTAGTGTGTTTTTCCTCCCAACCTCTGTTTCTCTTCAGGTACTAGTATACATGGACAACCTCTATAAACCCTTTCTTTAATTTTAAATTATGCAACATCAGTTGAAAATCAGTCCAGTTGGGATAACTAGGAAAAAAAATAAAAATAAGGTTTGGAGTAGAAAACAAAAATGCAGAATGGCTAGCATGGAGGATTTTGCAGTGGAGGCTTGGGAGGGAGAAGGGCATTGGAGGGAAGGAAGGAGATCCATCCATCTGAACTCTTCTTTTTTGGAAGGGTTCTGGAACCTGAATCCTTCCTCCTTTCCCTGCTCCCGGGTCTGGAGCCACATGGTGTGTAAGAGGGGGTGGGGATGGCTCTCCTGGCTTGAAGCTAGGAGAACTGGGGATGAAGCTTAAGAGATACTCCCCAGTTTATTGCATAGTTGAATGAAATTCCACGAAGGCTTTTCTGTTCCAAACGCCCTCATTTGTTCTTCATCTCAGGAACCATAATAGGAACTGAGAAGTAGGAACAAGCAACTCTGAGACAAAGTCAGAAAGCATTGAGCACACAGGGAGCCGGATGTTTTGCAACCAAGTAAAATGAATTTACAACAACTGCATTACAGCCGCAGGTGTGAGAGTTTCTAAAAATGTTTGAGAGTACTACAAGGGATGATAAGCAGAAATGGATAGCAAAGCATCCATTGATAATATTTTGAAATTTTGCAAAATAGCAAGCTACTGTGGTCATATTATTTTAATGAATGCATACACATTTATGTGGCATTCATAGACTCACTCAGCCACACCAATCGCTTTTGCTTCCATAAAGGATAGACTTTCTCACAAACAAATTCTCTGGCTTTGGTGGGGAGGTGTATTAGTCCATTTTCATGCTGCTGATAAAGACGTACTGGAGACTGGCAATTTACAAAAGAAAGAGGTTTAATTGGACTTACAGTTCTGTGTGGCTGGGGAAGCCTCACAATCATGGTGGAAGGCAAGGAGGAGTAAGTCCCGTCTTACATGGATGGCAGCAGGCAAAGAGAGAATGAGGAGAGGACTCCAAAGCGGAAGCTCCTGATAAAAACACAGATCTCATGAGACTTATTCACTACCACAAGAACAGTATGGGGGAAACCACCTCCACAATTCAATTATCTCCCACTGGATCCCTCCCACAACATGTGGGAATTGTGGGAGTACAATTTAAGATGAGATTTGGGTGGGGACACAGAGTCAGATTATTGTCATTCCACCCCTGGCCCCTCAAATCTCATGTCCTCACATTTCAAAACCAATCATGCCTTCCCAGCAGTTCCCCAAAGTTTTAACTCATTTCAGCAGTGACTCAGAAGTCCACACTTCAAAGTCTCATCTGAGACAAGGCAAGTCCCTTCTGCCTATGAGCCTATAAAATCAAAAGCAGCTGCTTATTTCCTAGATACAATGGGGGTATACACATTGGGTAAATACAACCATTCCAAATGGGAGAAATTGGCAAAACAAAGGGGTTACAGGGCCCATGTAAGTCCGAAACCCAGAGGGGCAGTCAAATCTTAAAGCTCTAAAATGATCTCCTTTGATTCCATGTCTCGTATCCAGGTCATGCTGATGCAAGAGGTGGGTTCCCATGGTCTTGGGCAACCCTGCCCCTGTGGCTTTGCAGGGTACAGCCCCTGTCCTGGCTGCTTTCATGGGCTGGCATTGAGTGTCTGTGGCTTTTCTAAGTGCACAGTGCAAGCTGTCAGTGGATCTGCCATTCTGGGGTCTGCAGGATGGTGGCTTTCTTCTCACAGCTCCACTAGGCAGTGCCCCAGTAGGGACTCTGTGTGGGGGCTCCAACCCCATATTTCCCTTTTGCACTGCCCTAGCAGAGGTTCTCCATGAGAGCCCCACTCCTGAAGCAAACTTCTGCCTGGGCATCCAGCTGTTTCCATACATCTCCTGAAATCTAGGCGGAAACTTCCCAAACTTCAGTTATTGACTTCGGTGCACCCACACACTCAACACCACATGGAAGCTGCCAAGGCTTGGGGCTTGCACCCTCTGAAGCCATGGCCCGAGCTGTATGTTGGCTCCTTTCAGCCTTGGCTGGAGTGGCTGGGACACAGGCACCAAGTCGCTAGGCTGTACACAGCATGGTGACCCTGGGCCCGGCCCACGAAACCACTTTTTCCTCCTAGGCCTCCAGGCCTGTGATGGGAGGGACTGCTGTGAAGACCTCTGACATTTTCCCCATTGTCTTGGGGATTAACATTTGGCTGCCTCTTACTTATGCAAATTACCACAGTTGGCTTGAATTTCTCCTAAGAAAATCTGATTTTCTTTTCTATCTCATTGTCAGGCTGCAAATTTTTCAAACTTTTATGCTGTTTCCCTTTTAAAACTGAATGCTTTTAACAGCACCCAAGATATCTCTTGAATGCTTTGCTGCTTAGAAATTTCTTCTGCCAGATATCCTAAATCATCTCTCTCAAGTTCAGAGTTCCACAAATCTCCAGGGCAGGGGCAAAATGCCACCAGTTTCTTTGCTAAAACGTAACAAGAGTCACCTTTGCTCCAGTTCCCAACAAGAACTGAGATCTCCATCCGAGACCACCTCAGCCCTCTTTCGTTGTCCATATCATTGTTCATTTCATTGTCCATATCATTATCAGCATTTTGGTCAAAGCCATTCGACAAGCCTCTAGGAAGTTCCAAACTTTCCCACATTTTCCTGTCTTCTTCTGAGCCCTCCAAACTGTTCCAACCTCTGTCTGTTACCCAGTTCCAAAGTCGCTTCCACATTTTCAGGTATTTTTTCAGCAACACTCCATTCTGGGTACCAATTTACTGTATTAGTCTGTTTTCATGCTGCTGATAAAGACATACCTGAGACTGGGCAATTTACAAAAGAAAGAGGTTTAACTGGACTTACAGTTCTGTGTGGCTGGGGAAGCCTCACAATCATGGCAGAAGGCAAGGAGGAGCAAGTCAGGTCTTACATGGATGACAGCAGGCAAAGAGAGAATGAGGAAATGCAAAAGCAGAAACCCCTGATAAAACCATCAGATCTTATGAGACTTATTCACTATCATGAGAACAATATGGGGGAAACCACCCCCATGATTCAGTGATCTCCCACCAGGTCCCTCCTACAATGTGGGAATTATGGGAGTACAATTCAAGATGAGATTTGGGTGGGGACACAGAACCAAACCATATCAGGAGGGGTATCTGGAGCCCTGTGATGGGGGAAGTGCTGTTGTAGTTATTGAGTCCCAGTAGCACAGCCTTTAGAATGTGACAGAAACATCTGAACTCTTTTTTGACTGAGGCATTTCCTTTACACCCTGCAGTATAAGAATGCGGGAGTGATTGAGTTGGAAGCGTGCATCAAGGCTGTACGTGTCCTTGCAATTCAGAAACGGAGCATGGAAGCATCAGAATTTCTTCAGAATGCAGTTTACATTAACCTTCGACAGGTGAGTGTATGTCTACCTGTAAGTGGAAGAGTTCATCCAGTTCTTACGGAATTGATTCACTATGAATTCAGCTTATTTCGTTTTGCTGAGGTTCAGCATGCCATGATAAAAACTGTTGAATCTTAACTTGATTTCTAATTAACATGGTTATTTGTATATTTTACTTCTTTCATTGTGGTATTTAACTTTCAAAATTCAGAACTTGCTGTCCTTTGCATTTTTTTTGTTTGTTTTTTGGAGAAGTAACTGTGTTTTACCAGCTTGGCAACCTTCAACAAGCTTTACGCCTCTTGTCTTGATATTGTCACTCATGAAGTACTTGCCATTTGTAACCCTGTTTGGGGTGTTGGGTTTATAAAACATGCAGTTTGTGAAAGCACTTATATAGCTCCTTTGACACAGTGGTAACCCAGCAAATAATACTTTAATCTGAATCTAAATGGATTTTTAATAAAACAATCATTAAAACCTTTAGTTGTGGATTGATAATGCTAAATCCTAAAATTGATAGTCTTAGAAGGATTTTAGATATTTAGTTAGTTTAACTTGGATCTTTATAGATAGGGAAACTGAGACCAAGTTAAACAATTTGCTTAAGGACACCAGACGAGTATGAGAACGTAGGTCACTGTAATTCAGCAGATACTTAGGAGGGCGTTGTGCTAAGGGTGGGGGAAAGAGAGCTGAGGCAGGTGGGTCCTGTCCTCATCCATCTGACAGTTTTGTGGGAAAGGCAGACATTGAGCAGTGGGTAAGTGGAAAAAAATTGGAGGTACAGGTGCCAAGGGAGGAAGTGGCAAAAGGATTTAACTTAGTTTAATGGAGGTGGAGGGTGTGGGGGCCAGGGACAGTCTCTAAGTCAGTGAGATTGGAACTGGGCCTTGAAGGATGAATAGGAGATAGCCAGGTAAAGAAGAGATGGGAGAAGGTCATTCAGGAAGAAAATGGCTCAGCATGAGTGATGCCCAGAAACAGAACACATCACTGGGAGAGACCAAATAAAGTCAGAGATGGCGGTGGGGGTAGAAAGATGGGGAGATGGAGAGGTAGGGGAGGAGAGGGAGGGAGGGAGAGGAAGAGAGGGGTAGGGAGGACAGAGTCTGAGCGGGAGGGCTTTCTCGGCCAGGTGAAGCATTTGGGGCTGCTTCTAAGAGCGGCGGGTTTTAAAAGCAAGGTCTTGGCCAGGCGCAGTGGCTCACGCCTGTAATCCCAGCACTTTGGGAGGCTGAGGCGGGCAGATCACGAGGTCAGGAGATCGAGACCATCCTGGATAACATGGTGAAACCCCATCTCTACTGAAAATACAAAAAATTAGCCAGGCGTGGTGGCGGGTGCTTGTAGTCCCAGCTACTCAGGAGGCTGAGGCAGGAGAATGGCGTGAACCTGGGAGGCAGAGCTTGCAGTGAGCCAAGATCACACCACTGCACTCCTGTCTGGGTGACAGAGTGAGACTCTTGTCTCAAAAAAAAAAAAAAAAAAAAGGCAAGGTCTTAACATCAGGGACTGATGTGACCAGATTTGTATGGAGTGGAGGGAGAGGAAGGGAGGGGGCCCATTGCAGAGGCCCTTGGGGAGCCCAGGCGAGCAGTGCTGACAGCTTCCCCAAAGGACTGGGGCTGTTGGCAGGAAGGCCAGCCCGCTGGAAACGTGCTTGGGAGTCTACGTGGAAAGGGTCAGCGGCCGGCTGTGGGTCGGGTGGAATGGAGTGTTGCTCTGTTAGGTGCCCGATGGTCAGGCCGGGCTCCGAGGAGGGCAAGCTGCAAGGCAGTGGTGGAGGGAAAGAGGAGAGGTTCAGCTTCTCACATAACGAGAGAGGTGTGGGTCTGGGGGCTCAGGCGAGAGACAGGGCAGGGGGTGGAGGAGAGAGGAGAGAGACTTTCAAATCAGTTTCTCTTTTGAACACACAAAGAAGTATGACTAATAATAAGACACTCATGCTTATCATCCAGATTTAATATGTTGAAATGTTGCCGCATTGACTACAGAGATTCTTAATTTTTTCAATTGAAAGCAGATAACCTAAGTAGAAACAAAATAACAGTCACCACCATCTCAGAGTTGGTCCATATTTTGGTACTTTATAATGTTTATAGCCATAGTCTATAAAAAGAGAGGCGCTTTAGCATGAGAGTTGAGCACACAGACTGGATACAGACTGCTCGGGTTGGCATTCCAGCTTCACTTCCCTTGACGAGATGTTTAACCTCTGTGTGCCTCAGTTCCCTCTTCTGTAAAGTGTATTTACTGCCCCTTGGACCCGTCATCTTGGCTAATTTCCTAGATTAGACGTTGGTAGGGAGGCCGATAAGTCAAAGTGGCAAGTGTCAGTGTCACACCAAAGGGAGCGACCAGAACAGAGTAAAGCCCATAAACCGAGTAAAAACAAACAACACCACAGTCCCTCAAAGCTGTAGGCCACGTAGTATGAGGGAAACAGCACCACCGCTGGGGCAGTGTGTCATCAGAAGAGCATTAGGAAGAGGTCCGTATCTTGCAGTTTATGTTGAAGTTTCTGGTAAAGATGGTCAGAAGCGGGAACCTGACACTTCAAAGTGGAAGCTTCAGTTACCTGGGCGCCCAAGGGGAGGTGTTCTCCCCAGTGATGCCGGGCAAATGAACCAACAGCTGGATCATACTTCTCATTTGACATGCTTTTTGGGGGACCTACGTGGGGTTCAGCACTGCGCCGGGCCACAGATTTGCAGGGCCAATGAGGATGTGGTCCCTGCCCCGGAGCCTGATGCTCTAAGTGCTGAGGGTGGAGGGCTTCCCGGAGGAGGTGTTCTCTGAGGAGAGTGAAAAGTACCCGGCAGAGTGGTGCTGAGGAGCCTCTGAGCAGAGAGACTGGGTGTAAACATGTGGCTGGGTGTGAGCTCTGAGCACAGAAGTCACTTGGGGATCATAGCAGTTTTGTTTGTGAGGGACAGTGTGGGGAAGAGAGGCCCCAACGCAGGCTGAGGTCAGTTCCTGTCACAGGTCTTGCATAAAAGTCATCAGGTGGGCAAGAGAGAATCCCTGAAGGAATCTAAGCTGGGAGTCGCAGTGGAGTCGCGCTGTCAGATGGGCTCAGGTTCACACCCCTGTGTTGCCACCTGTTCGCTGCATAACCTTGAGCACAATCACTCTGTGTCTCTGCCTCTTAATAGTATGGTCTGTAAAATGACAGGATAACAAGTTCATGTGGTCACTGGAAGGACTGGCCTTGACACCTCCTGTCCAGTACTGTCTTGATGCCTGCCCCATAAAGTGACTCTGCGATGGGCAAGTGTTATGATCAGATTGGAGGGTGTAAAGAGACATCTTTTGTGACAGTGGAGGGTGGACTGTGCTTTTAAACGGACCCTCCGAAAGCCTGAAGCAGTGGAATTGCAGACAATTTGGTTGGGAGCTGGGGGCAGGGCTTTGAGACTGGCTTGCCGTTAACAACTGGAGTTGCCTTTGCAAGTTAATGCTGCTCAATTGGGCATGCAGGGAATCTCTTTTCACTGGTGGGTATAGAAACACACATTTCATAAAATAAAATGTTTTCACTTAAAATGTGAGGACATTTTGTTCTTTGGAGCAGCCTGTCCTTTTGCTGTTTGCTCTTTCTTCCTGTGGACCACTAGAGGTCAGCAAAGACACGGCGAAAGGGGAACAGCGCTCCCATGCTGGGCGGGCGGGGACAGTGCAGATGTGGTTCCGTGGCCCTGTGAGTTTTCCCCAGCACGACGCTTGGCTTGAGTTGACTCATCTCCATGTTTGTTTGCCAGATGAGCAGGCAGCAAGATAATGAGTTCTGGTGGGATTTTATAAGAACAATAAAGAAGAGGGGTCTGTAGTTTTTCTGAAATAGAACAAGCTTTTGGTTCTTGATCAAGTATGTTCCATTGTAGAATTGATGAGTTGTATCTATTCCTGGAAATGACTTTGGCTAATATGGAAATTTTGAAAGGAACTGAGATATGATTATTGCAGGTTCCTTCTGCTTTAAGAATCCCTGTGCAAATACAAAAACTGATAAATAATACATCTGGATTTAGTGGTATTGGAAAGGGTTTTTTCGTTTTACGGAATTCACTGCTGAGTTCCTTCTCTTTGTGTGCAGGGATATGGATTGACCTGTCTTTTCTTTAGTTGTTTAGGTGAATGGTTTATGATAATTATCTATCTAAGATAATTCACAAATGGCAGCAAATACCTCATTTAATAGCTGTCTACCTGTACATTTATGGGTTGGACATGTGGATTTTTACAAGCAAATAGTGAAGTAGAGGTGAGGTGGAAGAAGCATGGACTTTGGCCCCCCAGATTTAGGTTGAAGTTGCCATTTCCTCACTGTGCGACCTGGAATAGTTATGTAACCTCATTAGCCTGTTTCCAAGTCTATAAAATGGGAATGATAGCTGGGTGTGGTGGGGGGCACCTGTAATACCAGCTACTCGGGAGGCTGAGGGAGGAGAATCGCTTGAACCCAGGAGGTGGAGGTTGCAGTGCGCCGAGATGGCGCCACTGCACTCCAGCCTGGGTGACAAGAGCAAAACTCCATCTAAAAAAATAAAATAAAATAAAATAAAATAAAATAAAATAAAATAAAATAAAATAAAAATAAAATGGGAATGATAATATTCACTTCTTTCTAGAGTTGCTGTAAGTTGTGAATGATAGAATAATGCATATAAAGTGCTAAGCACTGTGCTTGGCTTTTAGAAAGCATTCAGCAAACATGTCTGCCTCACGGCTCACTGGTTGTATCAAAGGGATGCAGGCAGCTCCTGTTTGTTGAGGACCCATTAACAGACAGTTTACAGGCTTGTGAATTTGGTTATTTTCTTTAATCCTTATAATTCTGTGTTTCCAGTACAGATATTCTTGTTTGTAGAGGAGGAACCTCAGGCTAAGGAAAGGTTGTACAACTTGTCCAAAGCCAGACCATAATTTCAGAGGCGAAGGGCCTCTGGGAGGCGTGCTGGTTCTCTCTTTCCTGCCCTCACTCACTTGTTCCACACCAAAGGCCAGGCACTCGGCGCTGTGTCCGTCGTCTGCTAGCCTTGAGCGTTCAGCGGGCAGCAAAACAGACGTGGTCTCATGCTGACTGAGCTTCAGGTCTACAGGGGGAAATGGGTACTGAGCAGATAAACATAAACATAGATAATTGTGAATTTGATCCAAGGAAAAGAACATGTTCTGCCTTGTAGACCTGGGGAATTTTCTAGTCAGGCCTGCTCTAGCAGTATTAATCCTGTAAAATAAGCTCTGTTGGCACACAAAAAAGATGAAAAGGCAGAACCTCTCCATTATCGGATAAGCTGAAACTCATTGATAATATGAGTGATTAAGCAGCCAGCTTGTTGCATGCATTTAGCTAGATGCTTTTCAGATATTGGCCATAATCATCACAACAACTTTGCAAAGTAGTTTATTACGCTCCATTTTAAGGATGAGAAATTGAGGAGAGGAGTTTGCCGTGTCTCCAGGATTGTCTTGTAGATACCACCATTGGTATTTAAACCATTTGGGTTCTAAAATCCAAGCTCTATGTACCACATCAGGTAGTTTCCCTCAAACTACCCAAATGATTGAAATTCACTTTCTTAATTCTTTTTTTTTTTTTGAGACGGAGTTTCACTCTTGTAGCCCAGGTTGGAGTGCAGTGGCGCGATCTCAGCTCACTGCAACTTCTGCCTCTTGGGTTCAAGCAATTCTCCTGCCTCACCCTCCCGAGTAGCTGGGATTACAGGTGCCCGCACCACACCCGGCTAATTTTTGTATTTTTGGTAGAGATGGGGTTTCACCATGTTGGCCAGGCTGGTCTCAAACTCCTGACCTCAGGTGATCCACCTGCCTTGGCCTCCCAAAGTGCTGGGATTACAGGCGTGAGCCACCATGCCCTGCTCACTTTCTTAATTCTTTTTTTTTTTTTTTTTTGAGACAGAGTTTCGCTGTTGTTGCCCAGGCTAGAGTGCAATGGCACGATCTCGGCTCACCACAACCTCTGCCTCCTGGGTTCAAGCGATTCTCCTGCCTCAGCCTCCTGAGTAGCTGAGATTACAGGCATGTGCCACCACACCCGGCTAATTTTGTATTTTTAGTGGGGACAGGGTTTCTCCATGTTGGTCAGGCTGGTCTCGAACTCCCGACCTTAGGTGATCCACCTGCCTTGGCCTTCCAAAGTGCTGGGATTACAGGCGTGAGCCACTGCACCCGGCTCACTTTCTTAACTCTTAATTAGTCAAAAATGGCAAGTGACAGTAAGAGAAAGTGGTAGTAAGGAATTGTTTGAAAAACTAGAAAATAATCTGACTTTACCAGATTAGAGAACATACTCTAGGATCAACTCTCATTGAATCCAACACCCTTTGCCTCCCACAAACCAAATATTCAGGAATGATTCCGAGCCATTTGAAAACATTTTGGCTTATGATACTGCTGACTAAGACCTGCCACCTCTTTGTTCCTGGTTAATTTTCTCTTCAAAACCATTCAAATTTTATGCAGGCTACTCTGTTCAGATGTAAGAATAGCCTCTTTAAAATTTTTGATGCAGTTCCTTAATGAAGCTGTTGCTAAGGAAACCCAGGAAAAGCCTGCTAGATATGCACATAATAATTGCAACCTCAAACTTTATGTCAATTTAAGCTGAAAATCAGAGGCACGGGGAGATTTGGGAAAGGCTTTTTAAGATAGAAGGGGGAAAGTAGTAGGAATGCAGCTTAGCTATGGCTGAAACAGTTCAGTCCAGCCAGCAGGGTGCGTGGCTTTCAGAGATTGTTTGTGAGGATTTCATAGTTCTCACAAAGAAACTGTTGGATGGGGAAGGAGGAAAGTAAGTTCCTTATTAGAGATGTAAAAGGAGAGAGAGGGAACTGAGACATTTCTGCATGAACAAGAGTCTGGTATATTGCACCTTGTCTTTAGGAGAGAGTAAGAGGCATATAAGGAAATCTCTCTTGAGTGAGCAGTCAAAGCTGCAGAGATATGAGCAAGCCAGGTGGGCCTCTGATGCCCCGCTGGGCTGTGGATGATGGCAGCTGCCTGCAAAGCGGTGGGAATCTTTGACCCAGTCCTTAGGCTGGAGTTTCAGATCTCCATTTGAAGCCCAATAAAGTGAGGAAAGAGGGAGAGGACTAAAATAAAGGAAAAGCCAGAGCCTGGAGAATGAGCCCCATATCCGTGCTGTGGGTTGTTCTGTTTAACCCAGGAAGGCATTGAGAATGATGCTCCAGGATGAGAATGGTGCTTCACAGCTTCCTGCCTGGGGACATGCCTGCAGTTGGTGCAGATACTTATTTCGTGGGAGTTGATATTTATCTCTTTTTATTTATTTATTTATTTAGAGACAGGGTCTCACTTTCTTCCCTAGACTGGAGTGCAGTGGCCGGATCTCCTCTCACTGCAACCTCTGCCTCCCAGGCTTAAGCGATTCTCCTGCCTCAGCCTCACAAGTAGCTGGGGTTACTGGCACCCGCCACTACTGCCCGGCTAATTTTTGTATTTTTAGTACAGATGGGGTTTCATCATGTTGGCCAGGCTGGTCTTGAACTCCTGACTTCAAATGATCCACCTGCCTCGGCCTCCCAAAGTGCTGGGATTACAGGCATGAGCCACCACGCCTGGCCTTCATCTTTATCGTTTTGCTTTAGCTGTTAGGAGCCTTAGAGCTGAGTCTCTAGCTTACCCTTAATAATTACATCTACTTCATGGCAGACATTTTTGTGATTTAACCTTCCCCTGGTTTCCTTTAACTAGAATTCTCATTTTCTTTTTACACTGATTTTTATCTTTTTTTTTTTTTTTTGGTTATTGTTGTTAAATTGTATGTGTTTAAAAAATTGATTTTAGATCCTTTTTTACAATGAGGCAGAATGTAAATAAATGCATAAACGGAGCATATTACAGACACTTATTGCTTTTAGAAATTCTAAGCTCTTTACCTTAGGGGTTACCTTAGAGCTGAGCTGAATATTAAAGTGATACATTTTTAATAGGAAAGTTTGGTAATGCATGCAGATTCTAGACTGGGGACTGTATCTTATTCATTTTTTTAGCCACTGTGCTAAGCACAATACTTGTCATAGACCAGGCACTTTTTAATGTTTGTTGGATGCATGAAGTGGAGTCAGCTATGACTCATGTTCCATCCTGTGGCACTCGCCAGCATCAGCACCACTCGCCTGAGTGGCCGTGACGGCAGTGACCATTGGTGGGTGTGCACACCTGTGTCTGCACTTAATCCATAACCCCCCCTATGAGGGATTGCTTTTATTGTTTTATATTTGTAATGTATAATATACTTTATTTTTACCTGGAAAGACTTCAAACCTTCAGAAAAGCTGCAGGAGTAGTTCAATGAACACTTATATGCCCTTTACCTAAAAGGACAGTGCCAGGCACGGTGGCTCACGCCTGTAGTCCCAGCACTTTGGGAGGCTGAGGCAGGCAGATCACCTGAGGTCGGAAGTTTGAGACCAGCCTGACCAACATGTAGAAACCCCGTCTCTACTAAAAATACAAAATTAACCAGGCATAGTAGCGCATGCCTGTAATCCCAGCTACTTGGGAGGCTGAGGCAGGAGAATCGCTTGAACCTGGGAGGCGGAGGTTGCAGTGAGCTGAGATCGCGCCATTGCACTCCAGCCTGGGTGACAAGAGCAAAACTCCATCAAAAAAAAAAAAAAAAAAAAGACAGTGTTTGTCCTTCTGTGTCTAGATTACTCACTTAGCGTCATGTTTTCATGGTTCATCCATGTTGTAGCACGAATCAGTCCTTCATTCCTTTTTTTTTTTTTTTTTGATGGAGTCTCACTCTGCTGTTCAGGCTGGAGTGTGCAATGGCGCCATCTCTGCTCACTGCAACCTCCGCCTCCCAGGTTCAAGCAATTCTTCCACCTCAGCCTCCCAAGTAGCTGGGATTACAGGCATGCACCACCACGCCCAACTAATTTTTGTATTTTTTTTTGAGATGGAGTCTTGCTCTGTCACCCAGGTTGAGTGCAATGGTGTGATCTCAGCTCACCACAGCCTCTGCCTCCTGGGTTCAAGCGATTCTTCTGCCTCAGCCTCCTGAGTAGCTGGGATTACAGGCATGTGCCACCACGCCCGACTAATTTTGTATTTTTAATAGAGATGGGGTTTCTCCATGTTGGTCAGGCTGGTCTCAAACTCCCAACTTCAGGTGATCCGCCCGCCTTGGCCTCCCAAAGTGCTGGGATTACAGGTGTAAGCCACCGCACTCGGCCCCCTTCATTCCTTCTTTTTTTTTTTTTTTACTGTAAGTTCTAGGGTACATGTGCACAACGTGCAGGTTTGTTACGTATGTATACATGTGCCATGTTGGTGTGCTGCACCCATTAACTTGTCATTTACATTAGGTATGTCTCCTAATGCTATCCCTCCCACCTCCCCCCTCCCCACCCCACAACAGGCCCCGGTGTGTGATGTTCCCCTTCCTGTGTCCAAGTGTTCTCATTGTTCAGTTCCCACCTATGAGTGAGAACATGCGGTGTTTGTTTTTTTGTCCTTGCGATAGTTTGCTGAGAATGATGGTTTCCAGCTTCATCCATGTCCCTACAAAGGACATGAACTCATCCTTTTTTATGGCTGCATAGTATTCCATGGTGTACATGTGCTACATTTCTTAATCCAGTCTATCATTGTTGGACATTTGGGTTGGTTCCGAGTCTCTGCTGTTGTGAATAGTGCTGCAATAAACATACGTGTGCATTTGTCTTTATAGCAGCATGACTTATAATCCTTTCGGTATATACCCAGTAGTGGTATGGCTGGGTCAAATGGTATTTCTAGTTCTAGATCCCTGAGGAATCACCACACTGTCTTCCACAATGGTTGAACTAGTTTACAGTCCCACCAACAGTGTAAAAGTGTTCCTATTCTCCACGTCCTCTCCAGCACCTGTTGTTTCCTGACTTTTTAATGATCACCATTCTGAATGGTGTGAGATGGTATCTCATTGTGGTTTTGATTTGCATTTCTCTGATGGCCAGTGATGATGAGCATTTTTTCATGTGTCTGTTGGCTGCATAAATGTCTTCTTTTGAGAAGTGTCTGTTCATATCCTTCGCCCACTTGTTGATGGGGTTGTTTGTTTTTTTCTTGTAAATTTGTTTGAGTTCATTGTAGATTCTGGATATTAGCCCTTTGTCAGATGAGTAGATTGCAAAAATTTTCTCCTATTCTGTAGGTTGCCTGTTCACTCTGATGGTAGTTTCTTTTGCTGTGTAGAAGCTCTTCAGTTTAATTAGATCCCATTTGTCAATTTTGGCTTTTGTTGCCATTGCTTTTGGTATTTTAGACATGAAGTCCTTGCCCGTGCCTATGTCCTGAATGGTATTGCCTAGGTTTTCTTCTAGGGTTTTTATGGTTTTAACTTAACATTAAAGTTTAGTTAAAGACTTAGCTTAAAGTTTAGTTAAAAACATTAAAGACTTAACATTTAAGTCTTTAATCCATCTTGAATTAATTTTTGTATAAGGTGTAAGGAAAGGATCCAGTTTCAGCTTTCTAAATATGGCTGGCCAGTTTTCCCAGCACCATTTGTTAAATAGGGAATCCTTTCCCCATTTCTTGTTTTTGTCAGGTTTGTAAAAAATCAGATGGTTGTAGATGTGTGGTATTATTTCTGAGGGCTCTGTTCTGTTCCATTGGTCTATATCTCTGTTTTGGTACCAGTACCATGCTGTTTTGGTTACTGTAGCCTTGTAGTATAGTTTGAAGTCAGGTAGCGTGATGCCTCCAGCTTTGTTCTTTTGGCTTACGACTGACTTGGCAATGCAGGCTCTTTTTTGGTTCCATATGAACTTTAGAGTAGTTTTTTCCAATTCTGTGAAGAAAGTCATTGGTAGCTTGATGGGGATGGCATTGAATCTATAAATTACCTTGGGCAGTATGGCCATTTTCACGATATTGATTCTTCCTATCTGTGAACATGGAATGTTCTTCCATTTGTTTGTATCCTCTTTTATTTCCTTGAGCAGTGGTTTGTAGTTCTCCTTGAAGAGGTCCTTCACATCCCTTGTAAGTTGGATTCCTAGGTATTTTATTCTCTTTGAAGCAATTGTGAATGGGAGTTCACTCATGATTTGGCTCTCTGTTTGTCTGTTATTGGTGTATAGGAATGCTTGTGATTTTTGCACATTGATTTTCTATCCTGAGACTTTGCTGAAGTTGCTTATCAGCTTAAGGAGATTTTGGGCTGAGACAATGAGGTTTTCTAGATACACAATCATGTCATCTGCAAACAGGGACAATTTGACTTCCTCTTTTCCTAATTAAATACCCTTTATTTCTTTCTCCTGCCCGTTTGCCCTGGCCAGAACTTCCAACTATGTTGAATAGGAGTGGTGAGAGAAGGCATCCCTGTCTTGTGCCAGTTTTCAAAGGGAATGCTTCCAGTTTTTGCCCATTCAGTATGATGTTGGCTGTGGGTTTGTCATAAATAGCTCTTATTATTTTGAGATACATCCCATCAATACCTAATTTATTGAGAGTTCTTAGCATGAAGGGCTGTTGAATTTTGTCAAAGGCCTTTTCGGCATCTATTGAGATAATCAGGTAGTTTTTGTCTTTGGTTCTGTTTATATGCTGGATTACATTTATTGATTTGCATATATTGAACCAGCCTTGCATCCCAGGGATGAAGCCCACTTGATCATGGTGGCTAAGCTTTTTGATGTGCTGCTGGATTCGGTTTGCCAGTATTTTATTGAGGATTTTTGCATTGATGTTCATCAGGGATATTGGTCTAAAATTCTCTTTTTTTGTTGTGTCTCTGCCAGGCTATGGTATCAGGATGATGCTGGCCTCATAAAATGAGTTAGGGAGGATTCCCTCTTTTTCTATTGATTGGAATAGTTTCAGAAGGAATGGTACCAGCTCCTCCTTATACCTCTGGTAGAATTCGGCTGTGAATCCGTCTGGTCCTGGACTTTTTTTGGTTGGTAAGCTATTAATTATTGCTTCAATTTCAGCTCCTGTTATTGGTCTATTCAGAGATTCAACTTTTTACTGGTTTAGTCTTGGGAGGGTGTATGTGTCCAGGAATTTATCCATTTCTTCTAGATTTTCTAGTTTATTTGCATAGAGGTGTTTATAGTATTCTCTGATGGTAGTTTGTATTTCTGTGGGATTGGTGGTGATATCCCCTTTGTCATTTTTTATTTCGTCTATTTGATTCTTCTCTCTTTTCTTCTTATTAGTCTTGCTAGTGGTCTATCAATTTTGTTGATCTTTTCAAAAAACCAGCTCCTGGATTCATTGATTTTTAAAGGTTTTTTGTGTCTCTATCTCCTTCAGTTCTGCTCTGATCTTAGTTATTTCTTGCTTTCTGCTAGCTTTTGAATGTGTTTGCTCTTGCTTCTCTAGTTCTTTTAATTACGATGTTAGGGTGTCAATTTTAGATCTTTCCTGCTTTCTCTTGTGGACATTTAGTGCTATAAATTTCCCTCTACACACTGCTTTGAATGTGTCCCAGAGATTCTGGTATGTTGTGTCTTTGTTCTCATTGGTTTCAAAGAACATCTTTATTTCCGCCTTCATTTCGTTATGTACCCAGTAGTCATTCAGGAGCAGGTTGTTCAGTTTCCATGTAGTTGAGTGGTTTTGAGTGAGTTTCTTAATCCTGAGTTCTAGTTTGATTGCACTGTGGTCTGAGAGACAGTTTGTTATAATTTCTGTTCTTTTACCTTTGCTGAGGAGTGCTTTATTTCCAACCATGTGGTCAATTTTGGAATAAGTGCGATGTGGTGCTGAGAAGAATGTATATTCTGTTGATTTGGGGTGGAGAGTTCTGTAGATGTCTATTAGGTCTGCTTGGTGCAGAGCTGAGTTCAATTCCTGGTTATCCTTGTTAACTTTCTGTCTCGTTGATCTGTCTAATGTTGACAGTGGGGTGTTAAAGTCTCCCATTATTACTGTGTGGGAGTCTAAGTCTCTTTGTAGGTCTCTGAAGACTTGCTTTATGAATCTGGATGCTCCTGTATTGGGTGCATGTATATTTAGGATAGTTAGCTCTTCTTGTTGAATTGATACCTTTACCATTATGCCATTATGTAATGGCCTTCTTTGTCTCTTTTGATCTTTGTTGGTTTAAAGTCTGTTTTATCAGAGACTAGGATTGCAACCCCTGCCTTTTTTTGTTTTCCATTTCCTTGGTAGATCCTCCTCCATCCCTTTATTTTGAGCCTATGTGTGTCTCTGCATGTGAGATGGGTTTCCTGAATACAGCACACTGATGGGTCTTGACTCTTTATCCAATTTGCCAGTCTGTGTCTTTTAATTGGAGCATTTAGCCCATTTACATTTAAGGTTAATATTGTTATGTGGAATTTGATACTGTCATTATGATGTTAGCTGGTTATTTTGCTCGTTAATTGATGCAGTTTCTTCCTAGTCTCGGTGGTCTTTACAATTTGGCATGTTTTTGCAGTGACTGTTACTGGTTGTTCCTTTCCATGTTTAGTGCTTCCTTCAGGAGCTCTTGTAGGGCAGGCCTGGTGGTGACAAAATCTCAGCATTTGCTTGTCTGTAAAGGATTTTATTTCTCCTTCACTTATGAAGCTTAGTTTGGCTGGATATGAAATTCTGGGTTGAAACTTCTTTTCTTTAAGCATGTTGAATATTGGCCCCTACTCTCTTCTGGCTTGTAGAGTTTCTGCCGAGAGATCCGCTGTTAGTCTGATGGGTTTCCCTTTGAGGGTAACCCGACCTTTCTCTCTGGCTGCCCTTAACATTTTTTCCTTCATTTCAACTTTGGTGAATCTGACAATTATGTGTCTTGGAGTTGCTCTTCTTGAGGAGTATCTTTGTGGTGTTCTCTGTATTTCGTGAATTTGAATGTTGGCCTGCTTTGCTAGGTTGGGGAAGTTCTTGTGGATAATATCCTGCAGAGTGTTTTCCAACTTGGTTCCATTCTCCCTGTCACTTTCAGGTACACCAATCAAACGTTGATTTGGTCTGTTCACATAGTCCCGTATTTCTTGGAGGCTTTGTTCATTTCTTTTTATTCTTTTTTCTCTAAACTTCTCTTCTCCCTTCATTTCATTCATTTGATCTTCAATCACTGATACCCTTTCTTCCAGTTGATCGAATCGGCTACTGAAGCATGTGCATTCGTCACGTAGTTCTCGTGCCATCGTTTTCAGCTCCATCAGGTCATTTAAGGACTTTTCTACACTGGTTATTCTAGTTAGCCATTTGTCTAATCTTTTTTCAAGGTGTTTAAGTTCTTTGCAATGGGTTCGAACTTCCTCCTTTAGCTTGGAGAAGTTTGGTCATCTGAAGCCTTCTTCTCTCAACTCATCAAAGTCATTCTCTGTCTAGCTTTGCTCCGTTGCTGGTGAGGAGCTGTGTTCCTTTGGAGGAGGAGAGGTGCTCCGATTTTTAGAATTTTCAGTTTTTCTGCTCTGTTTTTTCCCCATCTTTGTGGTTTTTTCTACCTTTGGTCTTTGATGATGGTGATATACAGATGGGGTTTTGATGTGGATGTCCTTTCTGTTTGTTAGTTTTCCTTCTAACAGTCAGGACCCTCAGCTGCAGGTCTGTTGGAGTTTGCTGGAGGTCCACTCTAGACCCTGTTTGCCTGGGTATCAGCAGCGGAGGCTGCAGAACAGCTAATATTGCTGAACAGCAAATGTTGCTGCCTGATCGTTCCTCTGGAAGTTTCGTCTTAGAGGGCTACCCGGCCATGTGAGGTGTCAGTCTGTTCCTACTGGGGGGTGCCTCCCCCCAAGTTAGGCTACTTGGGGGTCAGGGACCCACTTGAGGAGGTAGTCTGTCCGTTCTCAGATCTCAAACTCCGTGCTGGGAGAACCACTACTCTCTTCAAAGCTATCAGACAGGGACATTTAAGTCTGCAGAGGTTTCTGCTGCCTTTTGTTTGGCTATGCCCTGTCCCCAGAGGTGGAGTCTACAGAGGCAGGCAGGCCTCCTTGAGCTGTGTTGGGCTCCACCCAGTTCAAGCTTCCCGGCCACTTTGTTTACCTACTGAAGCCTCAGCAATGGTGGGTGCCTCCCCCCAGCCTCACTGCCACCTTGCAGTTTGATCTCAGACTGCTGTGCTAGCAATGAGCGAGGCTCCGTGGGCGTGGGACCCTCCCAGCCGGGCGTGGGACCCTCCCAGCCATGCGCGGGATATAATCTCCTGGTGTGCCGTTTGCTAAGACCATTGGAAAAGCACAGTGTTAGGGTGGGAGTGACCCGATTTTCCAGGTGTCATCTGTCACAGCTTTGCTTGGCTAGGAAAGGGAATTCCCTGACCCTTTGCGCTTCCTGGGTGAGGCGATGCCTCATCCTGCTTCGGCCCATGCTCGATGCACTGCACCCACTGTCCTGCACCCACTGTCCAACAAGCCCCAGTGAAATGAACCCGGTACCTCAGTTGGAAATGCAGAAATCACTCATCTTCTGTGTCGCTCACGCTGGGAGCTGTAGACTGGAGCTGTTCCTATTCGGCCATCTTGGAACCGCCACTTCATTCCTTCTTATGGCCACTTAGTATCCGCTATATGGAGATACCATGTTTTATTTATCCATGCATTGGTTGATGGACTTTAGGTTGTTTCCACCCTTTGGGTATTAAGAATAATGCTGCAATGAACACTCATGTACATGTATTTTGTGGGAACAAAGTTTTGTGGGAATGTACAAGTGTTTGTGGGAACACATATTTTCAGTTCTCTTGGGTATATACTTAGCAGTGAAATTGCTGGGTTTAACTTTTTGAGGAACTGTGAAACTTTTCCAAAGCAGCTGCACCATTTTACATTTCTACCAGCAATGTCTGAAGGTTCCAGTTTCTCTATATCCTCATTAACACTTGTTATTGTCCATCTTTTGATGAGAGCCATTCTAGTGGGTGTGAAGTGATGTCTCATTTTGGTTTTGATTTACATTTCCCTCATGGCTGATGCTGTTGAGCATTTTTCCCATGTGCTTTTTTTTTTTTTTTTTTTTTTTTGAGACAGAGTCTCACTCTGTTGTCCAGGCTGGAGTGCAGTGGCACAATCTCGACTCACTGCAGCCTCCGCCTCCTGGGTTCAAGTGATTCTCCTGCCTCAGCCTCCTGAGTAGCTGGGACTACAGGCGCATGCCACCACACCCAGCTAATTTTTTTGCACTTTTAATAGAGATGGGGTTTCACCATGTTGGCCAAGATGGACTCGATCTCCTGACCTCATGATCCGCCCACCTTGGCCTCCCAAAGTGCTGGAATTACAGGCGCGAGCCACTGCGCCTGGTCCTCTTTGTCAAGTTTTAAATTGGGGTTTACTTTCTTTTTGTTATTTAGCTGTAAGAGTTCATTATATATTCTGGATACTAGTCCCTTACCAGATCCATGCTTTGCAGAATTTCTCTCCCATTTTGTTATTGTCATTTCACTTTCTTTCTTTTTCTTTTCTTCTTCTTTTTTTTTTTTTTTTGAGATGGAGTTTGGCTCTGTTGCCCAAGCTTGAGTGCAGTGGCACAGTCTCAGCTCACTGCAACCTCCGCCTCCCGGGTTCAAGCAATTCTCCTGCCTCAGCCTCCCAAGTAGCTGGGATTACAGGCATACACCACCACACATGGCTAATTTTTGTATTTTTAGTAAAGACAGGGTTTCATAATGTTGGCCAGGCTGGTATTGAACTCCTCGCCTCAAGTGATCCACCTGCCTCGGCCTCCCAGGTTGCTAAGATTACAGGCATGAACCACCATGCCCGGCCCATTTCACTTTCTTGATGGTGTCCTTGGCAGCACAAAAGTTTTTAATTTTGGTGAAGTCTAATTTATTTATTTTTTCTTCACGTGTTTTTGGTGTTATATATTTAAAAGATTGCTAACCCGAGGTCATTAAGATTTCTTGTTTTCTTTTAGGAACTTTATAGGGTTAGTTTTTGCATTTAGGTCTGTGACCCATTTTGAGTTAATTTTTGTTCATCATGTGAGTTAGGGGGTCCAATTTATTCTTTTTTTTTTTTTTTTTTTTTTTTTGAGACAGAGTCTCTCTTTGTCACCCAGGCTGGAGTACAGTGGCACGATCTTGGCTCACTGTAGCCCCCGCCTCCCGGGTTCAAGTGATTCTCCTGCCTCAGTCTCCTGAGTAGTTGGGATTACAGGCACCTGCCACAAGGCCTGGCTAATTTTTTCTATGTTTAGTAGAGACAGGGTTTCACTGTGTTGGCCAGGCTGGTCTTGAACTCCTGACCTCAGGCGATCCACCCACCCCGGCCTCCCAAAGCGCTGGGATTACAGCCGTGAGCCGCCATGCCAGGGCTAACTTTATTTGTTTGCATATGAATATCCAGTTGTCCAAGCAGCATTTGTTGTAAAGACAATTCTTTCCCCATTGGCACTCTTGTGGAAAATTAGTTGATCATAATTTTTTTTCTATTCCATTGATCTTATGTGGTACTTATGCCAGTACCACACTATCTTGGTTATTATAGCTTTGTAGTAAATTTTGAAGCTGGGAAGTGTGTCTCCTCCAACTTCGTTCTTTTTGAAGATGGTTCTGGCTATTCTGGGTTCCTTGTACTTCTATGTGAATTTTGGCATAAGCTTGTCAATTTCTCCAAATAAGTCAGCTGGGATTTTGATAGGGATCGCATTGAGTCTGTAGATCCATTGGAGGTGTTTTACCATCTTAGCAATATTGTCTTCCAATCCATGAACACGAGATACCTACAATAAAGAACCAGTAAATCTTCCTTTTTTCCAGGAAGGAGACAAATTTAGTTGGCAGGCAAAACTTAGAATTTAATTTTTTGTTTTAATTGATTATTTTTTATCTTGGCTGTTTCCTAATAAGAAAGGCATCTTACATTACTGTCATATTTAGATAAGGTGTTGTAGGAATCGGTAATTTCATCTGTAGGATAGGGGTTTTATTAAGCGTATAGATTGTCCTCTCATTTTTTGGCTTCATCCCTTTCTTAATTTTGTATGTCCCTTCAAGGCTTCAGTCTAGTTGCTGGCTTAATTTTTTTCTTTTTATGCAAATTTAATTGCAATAAATAATTCTTTTATAAGGCAAACAATATATGGGGACAAGTGATTTATCCTAGCATTTCTTTCCTGCATGTTTGCTTCACCTTAAATGTGTCATGTATACTGTGAAGATTTGGGGCTGATATTAATTCTCTTAGGGAAGGTGTAATGTGAGCCAGATGGCAGAATAGGACCTTTCCGCACTTGCCCACCTGAAGAAACACCAACCTGACAACCATCCACACACACACCTTCACAAGAGCCAGGAAACCAGGCAGGAGACCACAGCTACACCCACGGTCGCACATAAATAAGAAAAGGTGCATGGAAGAGGATGGGAAGGACAGCCTTGCACCAGCCTCCTCCGGCCCCAGGCAGCACAGCATGGAGGGAGATGACCTCCACTAGGGAAAGGAGAGCAACGTGAGTGCCAGGCCTGCCTCGGACACCAGCACCAGGCTGCCCTGGTAAAAACCAGCACCGGGCAGGCCCTGTGGCCCCAGTTACCAGGCTGGGCCATGGACTGAGCAATGTTTTTTAATGAAAAAAAAAAAAAGTCTGTTAATAGTTAAAAAGAAAGAAAAGAAAAATTTCAAATAATACTTAAGTTTGGAAAATACTTAGTGATTTTTGTTTTGACAATATAGTGGTCCAAAAACTCTCAGCACAAGTTCCTTAAAATTCTGATTAAGAGATAAAAATCCCCCCATCCCCATCCCCAACATCTTTCAAAATGCAAAGCTCATTGTTAAGAAAGGAAAAGGAAATCCTTTTCCCAAAAGCAGGAATTCTGAAAGTCAGTAGGCCTTGGAAGCCAGAGAATGCCCTGCCTAGCTGTGGTAACAGTTTTCAGTGCTCACATAGGAGGGATAGAAAATAAACCTTAGACCTGCCCAGACTTGGGAGTTGGATGGCAGACCCATGTGTAAAGCCAAGATCCCCTAAACGACACGTTTAGCAAAAGAATGAAATAGAAAATACCTCAGTCCTTAAAGTAAGAAAATAAGGAAACTTGATCTTGTTGGAAGGTGTATTAGTCAGGGTTCTCTAGAGGGACAGAACTGATAGGATATATACATATATAAAGGGGAGTTTATTAAGTATTAACTCACATGATTACAAGGTTCCACAATAGGCCGTCTGCAAGCTGAGGAGCAAGGAGAGCCAGTCCGAGTCTCAAAAATGAAGAACTTGGAGTCCAATGTTCTAGTTGGGGAAGCATCTAGCATGGGAGAAAGATGTAGGCTGGGAGGCTAGGCCAGCCTCGTCTTTTCATATTTTCTGCCTGCTTATATTCTTAGCTGCGCTGGCAGCAGATGAAGTGTGGGTCTGCCTCTCCCAGCCCACCGAGTCAAATGTTAATCTCCTTTGGCAGCACCCTCCCAGACACACCCAGGATCAATACTTTGCATCCTTCAGTCCCATCAAGTTGACGCTTAGTATTAAGCATTACAGAAGGAAACAAAACCAATCCAAAGAGGGTTTAGTTTAAAGTTGTCCTGGTATAAGAGTGACCACAAACTCCTGGCAGAAAAACATAAGTCCTTCTGGAGTGAGAAGCTACGTTCTGAATGAATCAGTGAACAGAAAACATGAAAAAGGTTCACGGAAGCTCTGGATTGAGATGTTAGACCCCAAATACACTGCCTTTGCCTCTCTCCCAAGGTCTCATTTAAGTATCCCAAAGTATTTTTTTTTTTTGAGACAGTCTTGCTCTGTCACTCATGCTGGAGTGCAGTGGCGTGATCGTGGCTCACTGCAACCTCTGCCCCCCGGGTTCAAGCGATTCACCTGCCTCAGCTTCCCAAGTAGCTGGGATTACAGGTGTGCACCACCGTGTCCATCTAATCTGACAACACATCATTAGTGTTTTGTAGTGTAGTGCGGAAGGCATTAGTCTATTTCGGACAGGCAGGAGAGGAGTTTAGGAAAGGAGTGATGGGGGGTGGGGGACGTTTTAGCTGTGTATGGTCTTGTTTAATTGGCTTTTAATTTCAGGCTGCATGAGTTGTCATTGGAGGGACTAGATTTTATGGAGAACAGACTTAAAGAAACTCAGAACTTGGCTGGGTGCAGTGGCTCATGCCTGTAATCCCAGCACTTTGGGAGGCTGAGGCGGATCACCTGAGGTCAGGAGTTTGAGACCAGCTTGGCCAACATGACGAAACCCTGTCTCTACTAAAAATACAAAAAGTAGCCGGGTGTGGCGTCGGGCACCTGTAATCACAGCTCCTGAGGAGGCTGAGGCGGGAGAATTGTTTGAACCTGGGAGGCAGAGGTTGCAGTAAGCCGAGATTACGCCACTGCGCTCCAGCCTGGGCCACAAGGGTGAAATTCTGTCTCAAAAAAAGAGAAGAAAAAAAAAAGAAACTGAGAACTCTGGTATGGAAAGATGAATGTGGAGAAAAGCTGTAGTCAGAGTTCAAATCATCTTTAAAGTACACATGAACTCGCTTGCTCACTAAACCCAAAGATGGTAAAATAGGCAGTATTTCTTGAAGCCAAAGGAGTGGGTTTTTCAGGTTATCCAAGAATGAATCAAAGGCTGGAACTGAGGTGATCAGGGGTCAAGCGCGGACTTTGCTTGGCCATCTCTTTTGGATGGTGCACTCAACAAGGGCACTGACTGTTTACAAAGTGTCCTTCCTCTAGCATGTGGTGGGTATACCTGGTAGTCTAGGAACCTTCCAGGTATCTGTCCAAGGCATAGGGCACAGCATCCCTGTTTCAGCCATCTCTCCATCCATCTTCTTCCCAACACTGTGATTTTTTTTTTTTTTTTTTTGAGATGGAGCCTCGCTCTTGTTGTGCTGAAGTGCAGTGGCGCGATCTCGGTTCACTGCTAACTTCCACCTCCCAGGTTCAAGTGATTCTCCTGCCTCAGCCTCCTGAGTAGCTGGGACTATAGGCACCCACCATCACGCCCGGCTAATTTTTATATTTTTAGTTGAGATGGGGTTTCACTATGTTGGCCAGGCTGGTCTCGAACTCCTGACCTCAGGTAATCTGCCTGCCTTAGCCTCCCAAAGTGCTGAGATTATCGGCATGAGCCACGTTGCCTGGCCTCAACACTGTGATTCTTTTTTTTTTTTTTTTTTTTTTTTTAGATGGAGTCTTGCTCTGTGCCCAGGCTAGAGTGCAGTGGCGCAATCCCGGCTCACTGCAAGTTCCGTCTCCCAAGTTCACGCCATTCTCCTGCCTCAGCCTCCCAAGTAGCTGGGACTACAGGTGCCTGCCACCACGCCTGGCTAATTTTTTGTATTTTTAGTAGAGACGGGGTTTCACTGTGTTGGCCAGGATGATCCTGATCTCCTGACCTTGTGATCTGCCCACCTCATCCTCCCAAAGTGCTAGGATTACAGGCGTGAGCCACCGCGCCCGGCCTCCAACACTGTGATTCTTTATGGACCTATCTCCTCTACTACTTCATGAAGTTTTGAGGGACCAGGTCTTATTGAAGTTTTTGTTTTGTTTTGCTTTGTTTTCATTCTTACTTTTGAATGATTAAAACTGAAAATGGATCCAATTACTTTAGACAGATGCTTTATAAAGGAAAATCCTTGGTGCATGCCTCATACCCCTACTCCGGGATATGAGAAAGTAGGTTATGTTTTTAACAAACTTTTTTGATAGACATATATGGAAAGTTTGTATAATTTTGAAGATGTATTTTCTCTCCATGTAATTATGGCTGGAAATAGCCGGAGAGAGGAGCAGAGTGTGTTTTCAAACCTGGGAATGTGTGGGGCCTGCTGTTTCCCATCCGGCATTCTCCCACGGTCATCATTTAGTTGAGTGCGGCCACCAGGCTGCCCCTACACATCTGTCACTGACTTGTTCTTCTGATCACTGCAAGTGCCCACGTTTGAGAAGGCTGATGAGGGTTAAGGCATTTTCTAGAGCATCAGTGGCTGGTTAACTTGGGGTTAGAACTTGTGGTGTCAAAGGCATTAACTAACAGTGATATTTCTGTTTCTTGAACACTCACTGAGAGTTTTAGGCTTATGCTCAGTGTTTGCATTATTTCATTGAGTCTTTTTGACAATCGTAATTAGATTTGATGATCCCTGTTTCTTAGGGATATGCAGATGTGGCCCTGGAACTCAGGACTTTACAGCTCCAGGCTGTATTCCTCCCTCTCCATCCTGCCAGAGACAAGTCCTGTGTCTGGAGTTTCCCTCTGATCTTGTCACTTTATTTCTTATTAACAGAATAAAGCAGGTCTAAACTTACTTTCTACTTGGAAATGGAATGGTGAGTTAATATTTGGATCCCTCAGAGTCTGCCTTGTGAATAAAGCTCCTTGTCTTGAGTAGTCTTGGAGCCACTTTCGTTGGAACCTCACATAAACATCTGGGCCCTGAACTTGGACTTCGTGACTGTGCAGCCTATTGAAAGATTAGAACAAAGATGTGCTGATTAATATGCCCTAAAAGAGCAGCAGGTTGGAAATGAGTTTGGGGATTTCATCTCATTTCAAGATTTCCTGAGGATCTTGGCCTAGCTTTGCCAGGGACCATTTTGTACTCCCCGGCTCCTTGTGCCATAGGTGCCTGTGTCGACCAAACATGGCTTTGTCCTGAGGCTCTCTGGGCTCATGGCTTCTCAGTCAATTGTCTGCCTAGTGCCCAAAAGCAGTTGCGCTCGAGCTTTTCCCATTAAGGAACCGTTTTAGGGCTTTAAAGTGATGTCAATTCCATTTGCAATGTAGTATTTATCATTTGACTTCTTATTACACTGAAATGATAAGAGGAATGAAGTAATATTATTACTGATCATAGTATTATTTACAACCTTTCATCTTAGATAGGTTCCATGAAAGAATCAATGGGAGTTCTAACGCATTGGTGGCCAAGGCATGTGACCTTCCCCGGCTGTCACCTTTATTTTAGATGGTGACCTCTTTACAGGCACTGGCTAAGATCAGTATTCGTCTTCTCTGCCCCCTTCTCTGCCCCAACATCTTTGATCATGTCTGGCACATAGTGGGTGCAGCTGAAGGTCTGGGCATTTCCAGATTTGTGATGAAGGCGTTAAGTACCCCCACCTCTTCTTTTTCTTTTTTTCTTTTCTTTTCTTTTTTTTTTTGACATGGAGTTTCACTCTTGTTGCCCAGGCTGGAGTGTAATGGCACAATCTTGGCTCACTGCAACCTCCGCCTCCTGGGTTCAAGCAATTCTTCTGCTTCAGCCTCTCAAGTAGCTGGGATTACAGGTATGCACCACCACGCCTGGCTAATTTTGTATTTTTTAGTAGAGACGGGGTTTCTCCATGTTGGTCAGGCTGGTCTCGAACTCCCAACCTCAGGTGATCTGCCTGCCTCGGCCTCCCAAAGTGCTGGGATTACAGGTGTGCGCCACTGCGCCCGGCCAACCCCTGCCTCCTCTTTACAGTCCTCTTCCACCCCGTCCCTGGCTGCTGTCCTCCAGCACTGGGGCTTCTGTTCGCTGCTGTACTGCACACTCCTGGAAAGGGACAGGCCATGTCCTACTCAAATTTGAATATTCACGGACCATAGACCTAGACAACAACTTCTAGATGAAAACATAGGATATCTTTGTGACCTCGGGCAAAGATTTTTCTCAGATGAGGACATAGAAGGCACTAACCATAGAAGAAAAAGCTGATAGATTGAGCTACATCACAGAGAAATGCTTTTGCTTATGAACACTCCCTTAGGGAAATAAATCGGCAACAGACCGGGAGGAAATATTTGCAAAACACATATAACTAAGGACTTGCATTCAGAATATATACAGAACTCGTACGACTCAGTAATAAAACAAACGATCTAATTTTAAAAACTGTCAGAAGATTTGAACAAGCGCTTCACAAAGGAAGATATACCAGTGGCCAGTGATCATATGAAAAAGGTTCAACATCATTAGTTTTCAGGGAAATGGAAGTTAAAGCCACCACAACGTCTAAAATAAAAAAGACTGATATCCTCATATGCTGGTGAGCAGGTGATATCCTCATATGCTGGTGAGCAGGTGATATCCTCATATGCTGGTGAGCAGGTGGAGCAACAGGGATTCTCACACATCGTCGGCGTCGGCATGACCTTTCACTGTAGGAAAAGTGGGGCTGGCAGAGATCCGATATGTAGGTAAATTGTGTGGGAGACACAGAGAAAGGACATTATGGAGTCCAGCATGGTTAGGAGAATTTAGGGAAAGAAGCAGCAGCTTCCCGCTGAAGGGCATGAGGACCAGCTTCTTGGAGAGGGTGGCATTGGAACCGAGTGTCCAAAGGGAGAGCCAGATGTGGCTGTGGAGGCATTGCAGGAGCAGAGAGCCTGTGTGCCCCGGCGGCGTCACCTAGTACAGCCTGCCTCATACGCTTCCACCCATGATTCTATGTCAAAGAGTATTTCATTGGACTTAGAGCAGCTATTTTGTTTATTTTTTCATTGATTTATTGTCATCCTCCCCACTGATTCTAAGCCAGGGGACTAGCCTGTCATTAGCATGGAGGCCCCCAGGGGTAGGAGTCTTAGCTTGTTTTGCTCACTGCTGTATCCTCTGCCACAAGAGTGGCTGGCACCAGAGTAGGGGTTCAGTAAATATGTGTTGACAGAATGAGAAAACAAATGAGTTAAAGTTGTTCAGTCTGGTGAGGTCATAGGTAGGCAGTGGGGCCTCGAATTTCCAGAGCAGGTTGGGGCTGAGGAGGGCCTGGCATGCCCGTGAAGGCATTTGGGCTCCATTTTACAGTCCTGAAGGGGTCTAGTGGTTTCAAGATGGGGATTGTCTTAGTCCGGTGAGGCTGCTGTCACAAAATGCCACAGACTGGGTGGCTGATAAACAATAGAAATGTATTGTGCACAGTTCTAGAGGCTAGAAGTCCATGATCCAGGTGCCAGCATGTTTGGTGTCTGGGGAGGGCCCACTTGCTTGTTCATAGACCGCCGTCTTTTCTCTGTGTTCTCACATGGTGCAACAGGTGAGCTAGCTCTTTAGGGTCTCTTCTTATAAGGGCACTAATTCCATTTGTGAGTGCTTCACCCCCTGACCCAATCACTTTTTAAAGTCCCCACCTCCTAATTCCATCACCTTGGGGGCTAGGCTTTCAACATGTGAATTTTGGGGAGGCACAAACATTCAAACCGTGGCTCGGGTGATGGGCTCTGAGCCATGTCTCAGGAACCTAAGTCTGGCAGGGGTGTGTGGACAGGTGAAGGAAGGTCGAGAGGTGGTAGGAAGACAATGCCGATTCCTCTTCCAGATGAGGGCTGACGAGGGCCCCATCGAGGCCATGGCAGTGAGCGCGGAGGAGAGGGGATGGAGGGAGGGTTTGGAGGCCCAAGTTGGAAGGGCGTTCAAGCTAAGGCTCTGTACTCACAGAAACATCAGGGAAACATTCATCGTCCAGGGCAGAGGAGGGAGAGAAGCGCTTCCTTAACAGTGCTCCTGGAGCAGCAGAGTGGGCTCTGCCTTCCTTCTTCTCTGAAGGCGCTGTGCAGTGGGCAGGGCCCAGGCCCAGAGTCAGGTCTTGTCCCTGATACTTCTTGGCTGTGTGATTTTGCACAGGTGATTAATGTGTCCCTGAGCTGTTAATGTCCTTATTTGCCAGCTCACAGGATGCTTGTATTGAGTAAATCAGGTACGTTAAGTCTGCTGCCATACAGTAGGTGCTGAAGAAACAGAAGTTGTTGGCTGGGCGTGGTGGCTCACACCTGTAATCCCAGCACTTTGGGAGACTGAGGCAGGCAGATCACCTGAGGTCAGGAGTTCGAGACCAGCCTGGTTAACATGGTGAAATCCCGTCTCTACTGAAAGTACAAAAATTAGCCAGCATGGGGGTGGGTGCTTGTAATCTCAGCTACACTGGAGGATGAGGCAGGAGAATCTCTTGAACCCGGGAGGTGGAGGTTGCAGTGAGCCAAGATCGTACCACTGCACTCCAGCCTGAGTGACAGAGTGAGACTCCGTCTCAAAAAAAAAAGAAAAGAAACAGAAGTTATGATTGCTACACTACAGGGTTGTTGGGAGGATTCAGTTGGGTCTTGGATGAAAGAAAACTTTTGTAAACCCTGAAGTCTTAAGTCTGATATCAGTGGTATTGTTAATAATTCATTACCCAGTTACATGATTCTGTGTCTTCTTGTGTTTTAAGAATTTTTGTGTTTGATGAGAGACCTTGATAAAATCCTGTTGTGTAGATGAACTCTTGTTCCTTTTCTTTTCTTTTGTGAAGGAACTTAAAGTAGAGGTCTCAGATTTGTAGCAGGTACCTTTGTAGCAGAGAATCTGGGCTTTATCAGCAGGAAGATGGGCTGCACCTGCAGCTGTGGCTGGGGAAGGTCTGAAGCCACCTGGGGCCTGCGCCATGCGCTGCTCACCAGGCTTTCCCTCTCCTTGATTCTCCTCGATTCTCCTCAGGTCTTTGTTTTATGAAGAGACATTTTTAATGTGTGCTTCTTTTTTCACTTATACGTTTCTTTCAAAAGCTTTTTACTTTCTCTCTGTGCTTCAGCTTTCTGAGGAAGAGAAAATTCAGCGCTACAGCATCCTCTCCGAGCTCTATGAGCTGATCGGCTTCCATCGCAAGTCTGCGTTCTTCAAGCGCGTGGCCGCCATGCAGTGCGTGGCCCCAAGCATCGCGGAGCCTGGGTGGAGGGCCTGCTACAAACTCCTCCTGGAAACGCTGCCCGGCTACAGTCTGTCGCTGGATCCCAAAGATTTCAGCAGAGGTACTGGAGTCCCCTTGCTGGCGCTAAGGTGTTGCTTTCTGTCTGATGGTCACATGCTGTTTCAGCCCCTGCCCTGAGTGGCAGACATCGTGGTTGGTGCTGGTGGCTCCAGAATGACTAGATCCCTGCCCTGGAGTTGGGTGCCTGCTGTAATCCGATTATAGGAAAAAGTACTGGTGCTTTGCCTTGGGGCTCGGATTCTTGAATCTTTATCAGTGGGAGTCAGAAATTGCCTTTGAGTTCATTGGCATGGTGTGTCATCATCAATCAAACAGTGGAAGTACCTAATGAATTTTACTCATGAGATTTAGTTAGTTTAGCACAAATCAATGAACCCAGAATAAATATCCTTGGGTATATGTGTATACCTGAGCTATGCATTCAGCAGTAAATTCTTATTCTGAAATATTAATGCAGGGTAATATGTATTAAAAATAAAGCTATCAATCTAATAACAAATATGTACAAGGATAATGCCCAGTATTAGACAAAGTCTGATTAGAAGGAGAAAAAACATTTTTGGGGGCCAGGCACGGTGGCTCACTCCTGTAATCCCCAGCACTTTGGGAGACCAGGGTGGGCGGATCACTTGAGGTCAGGAGTTCATGACCAGCCTGGCCAACATGGTGAAACACTGTCTCTACCAAAAAACAAAAATTAGCTGGGCATGGTGGCGTGCGCTTGTAGTCCCAGCTACTCAGGAGGCTGAGGCAAGAGAATTACTTGAACCTGGGAGGTGGAGGTTGCAGTGAGCTGGGATCGTGCTACTGCACTCCAGCCTGGGCGACAGAGAAAGACCTTATCTAAAAAAAACCCAAAAAAACAAAAAAAAAAACATTTTTGAGGGGTTACTTTTAGATAGGAAACATACACTTTTTCTTTAGTTCAAGCCTAGAGCTAGTGAAGGTATAGGCTTCTAGACAGGAAAGAACTGTGATGTCATCTAGGTTAATTTCCCACCAGGGCAAAAATGGGTTCTTCGGCATCCTTTTTATTTTTATTTTTTTTCCTGAGACAGAGTTTCACTCTTGTTGCCCAGGCTGGAGTGCAATGGCATGATCTTGGCTCACTGCAGCCTCCAACTCCTGGGTTCAAGTGATTCTCCTGCCTCAGCCTCCTGAGAAGCTGGGATTACAGGCACGTGCTACCACGCCCAGCTAATTTTTGTATTTTTAGTAGAGATGGGGTTTCACCATGTTGGCCAGGCTGGTCTCAAACTCCTGACCTCAGGTGATCCGCCCACTTTGGCCTCCCAAAGTGCTGGGATTACAGGCATGAGCCACCATGCCCGGCCTCTTCAGTATCTTTTTTATGTGGTCATGTCCATCCATTTCACTGGCCTCTGCTGACTGAAGGTGCTCATGGCTTTATGATGAATCCAAAAGTTCTGCTTTTGGATAATTCTGATAGTTAGGGCTCTCCCCAACGTTGAATTAAACATTATGTTTCTCCTTACTTTCACCTGCTAGAATATCTGAAGACATCTACTGGACTTTTTTGTACATTGATTCAACAGGTAGTTCGTTATACTCCTGCCCCCATGCCATGCAGTGTGTTGGGTGAGTGATGCGATGGCAAAGGAGACAGTTTCTGCCCTCTACAGTGGAAATAAACAGGTGCCTCTCACATGTGACAGCTTCCCGGTGTTTGCACAGAGCTCTCAGGTCCTTCCAGAGCCTGCTTCTAACTTACGTGTCTGTGGTTGCTGTGACAGTCACTCCTAAGTCACACTCCCCAGACTTCTTACTGTTCAACCATCTTCCCAGGCAACACTTACATTTGATAGAACCTCAAATCCGATTCTCAGGATGCATTCTGGTTAGCTTCGAGCAGGGGTCAGCAAATGTTCTCTGTAAAGGGCCAGATAGTAAATATTTTAGGCTTTATGAGCCACACGGTCTGTGCGGAAATGACTGGACCCTGCTGTTGTGGTGTGAAAGCAGCCATGGACGGCACGCACACCATGGAACTGTGTTTACATTAGTACATGGTGGCCAGATTTGGCATGGCAGCTATACTTTGCGAAATCCCTGGCTGAGAACACTGTGATATTTGAAATCATTTATTTATTTTTATTTTTTAGAGATGAGGTCTCGCTGTGTTGCCCAGGCTGGCCTCAAACTCTTGGGCTGAAGCGATCCTCCTGCCTCATTTAAAAGGAGGGCACTGGGTTTGGAAGAGAAAACGCAGACTGAGTGAGTAATATAGCAGGAGGAGAGTCAGGCGGGCAGTGAAGGGGAGTGAAGGGAGGCTGGGATGGAGTGTACGCAGCACTTTAGCCTCTTATTTCTCTTCAGGGAAGAGAACTAGACCTGGGGGGTGCTTTTGCAGTCTGGGGAGGGCACTTCTGCTCTGGACTGCTGTGGTCTGGCCAGAAGCTATGCCAGGAAGAGCTAAGGCCCTGCGTGAAGCAGATGTGTTCAGGGTTGAAAATCCCCCAAGTCCCATCAAGTTCCCCATATAAATCCCCAGTTTTTATGGGTTTTTGTCTTTAGAGCCTAAGATATCCTGCCTCTCTGGAGCCACAGGGGCAGGCGGAGCGCTGATGACCACTCTGGGCAAGTGATAAAAGCCTGTCATGCTGTCCACTCAGGTGAGATGGCTGAGATCTGGCAGGGAGTTTGGCACTTTGTGTGTTCACCCTCAACATGTGAATGGTGTCCAGCACAAAGCAAGAACCAAGACGTCCCTGCGGAATAGAAGGCCTGCTGGAGAGGGTCCTGAACTCTGCTCTTGACCTCTTGCACTCAGTATCATCACAACGGCTAAGACAAAAGCAAGGGATAAGATCCAGCTTCAAAATGAACTCCACCAACAGTATGAGTCCAGTCATCAGCACAGCCAGCACAGCCAGATGCCAAGTCCCACGTTTAAAGAAACCCCAAAAACCATGACGGGGTGCAGAATAGAGGAGACCTGGAGAGGTCATACACAAAGATGGATAAGGTGTGCTCTGAGACGAGGTTTATGATAGTTTTTCTTCACCTGCCCTTCCTTTCTCTAATTTCTTTTTCCTCGGTGTTCCCTGGAGGGATAGGATGGAACCTGTCTCCCCACCCCTTATTTCATGATTGACACCTTTAGATGGACCATGAGGATGTGTGAATTGAGGCTGATGACCCACTTACCTCCTGCCCTTGCAGACGCACAGACTTCCCCACTGTTAACACCCCATACCAGGGTGGTACATTTGTTGCAATTGATGAACCTATGTTGACACATCATCATCACCCAAAGTTCGTAGTTTACATTAGGGTTCACTCTTGGTGGTGTACATTCTGTGGGTTTTGACAAATGTGTAGTGATGAGTATCCACCATTATGATATCATACAGAGAAGTTTCCCTGCCGTGAAGATCCTTTGTGCTCTGTCTCCTCATCCCTCCCTCCCTATTTATTACCTTCTGGCAACCACTGACCCTTTTACTGTCTCCATAGTTTTGCCTTTCCAGAGTGTCATATAGTTGGAATCATACAATATGTAGCCTTTTCAAATTGGCTTCTTTCTCTTAGTAATATACATTTAAGTTTCCTTCATATCTTTTCTCAGCTTGATAGCTCATTACTTTATAGTGCTGAATAATATTCTACTATCAGAATATGTCACAGTTATTTATACATTCACCTAATGAATCTTGGTTGACAACTTGGTTGCCTGCAAGTTTTGGCAATTGTAAAGCAGCCATAAACATTCATGTGCAAGTTTTTGTGTGGATATAAGTTTTCAGCTCATTTGAGTAAATATCAAGGGGCATGGTTCCTGGATGATATGGTAAAAATATGTTTACTTTTGTAAGAACCCGCCAAACTGTCTTCCACAGTGGCTGAACCATTTTGCATCCCCTTCAGCAATGAATGAGAGTTCCTGCTGCTCCACATCCTTGCCAGCATTTGGGGTTGTCACTGTTAGATTTTGGCCATTCTAATAGGTGTGTAGTGGTATCTCGTTGCTTTACTTTGCAATTTCCTGATGACATATGATGTTGAGCATTTTTCTTATGCTTATTTGCCATCTGGATACCTTCTTTGGTGAAATGTCTGTTCAGATCTTTTGCCCCCTTTTTAATTAGGTTGTTTGTTTCATTGCTGTTGACTTTAAGAGTTTTTTCTATGATTTGGATGACAGTCCTTTATCAGTTGTGTCTTTTGCAAATATTTCTTCCCAGTCTGTGTCTTGTTTTCTCATTCTCTTGATATGTCTTTTGCAGAGCAGAAGTTTTAAATTTTAACGAAGTCTAGCTTATCAATTCTTTCTTTGATGGGTTATACCTTGGGTGTTTTATCTAAAGATATAACATTAGTATACCTAAGGTCACCTAGATTTTCTCTTGTGTTAACTTCTGGGAGGTTTGTATTTTCTCATCCTGCATTTGGGTTTATGATCTGTTTTGAGTTAATTTTTGTGAAGAGTGTGAGGTCTGTGTCTAGAGTTATTTTTTTGCTTGTGGATGTCCAGTTATTTCAGCACCATTTATTGAAAAGACTGTCTCTGCTCCATTGATTGCCTTTGCTGCTTTGTCAAAGACCAGTTGACTATACTTAGGAGATTCTATTTCTGGGCTGTCTCTTTTGCTCCATTAACCTATTTGTTCTTTCACCAGTACCACACTATCTTGAGTACTATAGTTTTATAGTAAGCCTCGAGATTAGGGATATTTTTATTTATTAAAAAATTTTATAATAGAATGATTTATATTTCTTTAAATCATTCTATTATAAAGACACATGGACAGGTGTGTTCATTGCAGGATTATTCACAATGGCAAAGATATGGAATCAACCTCAATGCCCATCAGTGATAGACTGGATAAAGAAAATGTGCTACATATACACTGTGGAATATTATGCAGCCATAAAAAATGAGATCATGTTCTTTACAGGGATATGGATGGAGCTGGAGGTGATTATTCATACCAAACTACTGCAGGAACAGAAAACCAAATACCACATGTTCTCACTTATAAGTGGGAGCTAAATTATGAGAACACATGGCCACATAGAGGGGAATAACATACACTGGGGCCTTTTGGAGGGTGGAGGGTAGAAGGAGGGAGAGGATCAGGAAAAATAACTAATGGGTACTAGGCTTAATACCTGGGTCACAAACTAATCTGTACAATAAACCCCTATGAAACACGTTTACCAGTGTAACCTTCACTTGTAGCCCTGAACTTAAAGTAAAAGTTGAAATAAATTGTCCTTATTAGATGTTACAAAAAATTGATTGTTCACAAAAGGTGATTGTTCCCATTTTCTTCTCTGTTTCTTGGTATTTTAGGTGACATACCTGGAGCAGCTGCTGTGCTGGGCAGGGTCGCCGTGCAGTTGCAGCCTGTGCGGGGTGCTGGGCCCTGCTTGCCAGCCATCTGCAGCTCAGAGCTGGGTGCATTCAGATGAAGGGGCGCTGTTGTCTCCTGTAGGGACCTTCTGGGCATGCCTTGCTAAGCCTGGTGCCTGCAGGCTGTGTTTGCCTACGGGGCATCTCTTTCTAATCCACGCCAAGGCTAGCTGTGGCCTCATGGTAAATGGCTTCACATGCGTAACCTCATTTCTTACAGCCTGGTGAGTGGAGACCACGCGTTCCACGTGCCATGTGAGGGACCAGGGCAGGCAGGGCACAGTGTTACTCCTGAGGTTGCACAGCTGGTGGGAGCACAGGACGCCATTACTGACCAGCTGTGGGATGCTGGCCGTGTCCCTGAGTCCTGTGTGCCCACTTTCTCATCTGTAAGTGGGCCACTAGTTTACACTCGTTTACTGGTAGAGGTTGTAAGGATTGAATTGGTTAGTCCTTGTGAGGTGCTTTGGACAGTGCTCAGCAAATGTTAGTGGCTGTTTGTCAAATGAGATCTTTGGTCAGGTCTAGTATGCTTCCCATAGCATCCCCTGAGGCCAGCGTGAATGGGGTTTGCAAGGCCTGTCCCTCCCTGGCTCCCCCAGAAAGAGTGTGTGTTGCTAGGGCAGGCCCTCCCTGGCCTTTGGTTGCAGATGAGGGCCAGGGAGGGGTCTGCCCTAGTCACACAGTTAATTTTGGACAAAATAACTGGACAAGCCCTAAAACTTGTAGGATTTACATTTTAAAAGGCTAAGAGTGGCCAGGTATGGTGGCTCATGCCTGTAATCCCAGCACTTTGGGAGGTCAAGATGGGTGGATCACTTGAGGTCAGGAGTTCGAGACCAGCCTGGCCAACCCGTCTGTACTAAAAAAATACAAATTAGCCAGGTGTAGTGGCGCATGCCTGTAATCCTAGCTACTCAGGAGGTTGAGGCAGGAGAATCACTTGAACCTGGGAGGTAGAAGGGTTGCAGTGAGCCGAGAATGCACCACTGCACTCGAGCCTGGGTGACAGCGAGACTCCGTCTCGAAAAAAAAAATGCTAAGAGTTACTGGTGGAGGAGGAGAGATTAGACCTCAGAGTCTTAGCACGGGAGAGTTGGGTGTCTAAGCTCATTTAGGCTGGATTCTGGAGAAATTTAATTGGGAAGGAGTAGTGTTTAGGAAGAAGAAAGTTTTTAAAGCAATCACACTATTGCTTTGTAGAGTGATAAGAAAGTGTATTTTAATAGATTTCTATGTGCACTTGTGAATGGAATTCCCATTTGCTGTGCTTTTGAGAGACTTCAGGCAAGATTTAAATTGCTTTTCGGTTCCTTTTTTTTTTTTTTTTTTTTGCATCCTTTGAATATAACTCCAGGCTGGCTTCAGGGTAAAAGCAAGCCTCCTGGGCTCTATGCAAGTTATCTTAGGAGTGGTCTTCATTTTCTTTTTTTCCTGTCCCGGGGCCAGTTATCTGTAACATTTAAGACTGCATCAGTCTGAGGTCTTCTGATGCCTCTTGCCTCCTTCGGGGACACTCTTCCCTGTCCTTCCTGCCTCACTCCCGGTCATCCTCAGGTCACAGCTGGATGCCATTTCTTCGGAGAGGTCCTCAGTGGTCCTTTCAGCCTTAAGTGGAACTGTTTTATTTTTCTCTTTCATCGAATGCCGTTTTCTCTTTTCCTTGAATTCTGTTGTTCTTCCTTATAACACTTCCCATGATTTGTAAATACATTTGAAAAATGTTTGGGGCCGGGTGCAGTGGCTGACGCCTGTAATCCCAGCACTTTGGGAGGCTGAGGCAGGTGGGTCACCTGAGGTCAGGAGTTCGAGACCAGCCTGGCCAATATGGTGAAACCCCGTCTCTACTAAAAATTCAAAAATTAGCCAGGCATGGTGGTACGTGCCTGTAATCCCAGCTACTCGGGAGGCTGAGGCAGGAGAATTGCTTGAACCTGGGAGGCATAAGTTGCAGTGAACCAAGATCGTGGCATTGCACTCCAGCCTGGGCAACAAGAGTGAAACTCCGTTTCAAAAAAAAAAAAAGACGTTTGTGTCAGGAGGAGACATTTTCCATTATTTTGTGAAAGAGGCTAGAGAAAGAAGGTGACTGGCTGAGATTAAAAATGATAAATGTCAGCTGGCTGTATGTTTAACAAAACACAAAAGTCACTTTAAACCCCATCTCCACTGTGGCTCTGGACTGCTTTAAACATCTCCCAGAGAATTTAATGGAAGTCTACTAACACCCTGTACCTGTAAATAAAAGGCAAATTGTCTGTATTCTCAGGTCCCAAAATGTATTCTTTTTCTTGAAATGAACATTTGCACTAGCTGGTTATAGACGGTCGAGGAAGGAACACTGATGTGTGCTGTGTGTACTTGCCGGCTTAAGGGGCCGCTTAGTATCATTTAAATCTTATTTGTGTTGCTGTATATGAAGATTTTTGATCATGCCTTTTCCTGGACGAGGGATTAAATTTTGCCCAGGAACTCTTATGAAAGAAAGAGACTGCTAAGGCAGATGGATTTGCTAAAAGGCAATAGTTCATATACAAAATAAACCTCCAAATTGGTGAAATTTTTGATTACAAGAGTATTGAAAATTTTATCACTGGGTCATATGCTGCAAATCTGCCTTCAGAAAAATAATTCACATTTTATAGGGAGAGCACTTTGAGCCACATAGAAATTATGACTTGTACACTATTTACTGTTAAGAAAATGTATACTCGGTCTTACTCATAATCGCCCGTGGTAGGAACTGGATCATTATCTATTTTTAAAAGAATCAGCAAAGTGATATTTGCCCAATTCTTATGTGAGAAAACCTTCTGGATATGGTAGTGTTGAGATTAGTTAAATTGGGTCTTTCTGAATTCATGGCTAGGTTAGTCATGACATTGATTTCAGCTTCATAATCTTTAAAAAAATCTCTTCTTCATTTTGGCATTTGGTCTTGGCTTCTTTTGACAATGTGGAATATTGCAGGGACTCGTCTTTCTCTCCTTTCCTGCAGTTGTATGAGAAGTACTACCATTTTATATTCCAAAAGATGTCGGGAAGATAAACTACTAAGATATAAAGTAGTGTTTTTTTTATTTTTATTTTTATTTTTTTTTAAGTGTGTGTATGGTCAGCTCCAAGGATTTCAATGAGAAGTTATGGAGAAATACTTTAAATATATACAAATTAGAGAGGATAGAATAGAATATTGTGTCCATTGCCCAGATTAAATCATTATCAAAATTTGACCACATTGGCTTTATTTTTACTTTATTGGTTTTTTTGTTGAAGTATTTAAAGCAGATCCTAGAAACCACATCACTGTACTCCTTCATAGCTGTATGCACGTCCGCAACATGGGAGGGTTTCCTTTCACCAGCCTTACGTCTTGATCCACGTGTGTGTTAAGTACCAACTTTGTTATCAGGCACCCTGCCAGGCATTAAGGACACTTGAATGGATAAGACATAAACCTGCCTCCCAAGGAAATTAAGGATTGATGAGAGAAACAAAGACATGAGATTACAGGTGCCTTATGGTACCTGCCAGATAACTCCTGTGGGCTGAAATTTGTGCAAAATACAGCGGAAATACAGAAGAGGGACTGGTCAGCTGTGCAGGGCAGAGTGCTGAGGGAAGAGCTCAGGAAGGGCTGTGAGCGGTGGAACCCTTGGAGCAACGTCTTCAAATATCAATGGGCAAACAGAGAAAGGTTAGGATAGAAGGAAGGGCCCCTGCTATTTGCGTTAGGGAGGAGGCATCCCTTCTTGTTCTGTTTGCTCGCCAGTCAGCCTCAGCCGAGCGCCCAGTCTCACGTCAGGCCCTGTCCTGGGGATGCAATAGTAAGTAACGCACAGTCTTCAGGTACAGGAAGTCATACCTGAATGGGGGATTTTGACACACAAGCAGGTAATTTTACTTAATAAATAATCTCAATAGGGATTTAAAAAAATGGAGGACTCATTCTTAGTGAAACAGTGGAACAGGTTGGATCATTAATCATGTCACAGCTAGAGTCAAAGGTTGACCTGTGTGTTAACCACATTATATTCATTGAATAATAATATTAATAGCAACTAGCATTTATTGAGAACTTATGATAAATAAACTGCTGAAGTGCTTTAAATGGGTTATTGCACTGAAGCCTTATAACTTTAACTTGTACTCCGACTACTGTCTCCGTTTTACAGTTTGGCGTGGCCCCCTTCTCATCGAGGGTTCACCCCAGATGTCACCTCCTTGCCCACCTGCCCTGGCTGACGCAGCATCTCTCAGCCCCATCAGCCCTCACTATTACTGTTTGTGTTCGTCCCAGCATCCACCAGCATGCTGTTTCCCAGGGCTGAGGCCTGACTCTTCCCACAAGAGTGTCAATGGCACGAGAACCTGCCCTGCACAGTATTGTGTTCTCAGTAAATACTTGTTAACCAACCGACTGTCGTGAGCTATTACGGACTTTCAGTGCGTGGCAGTTTTGTCAGAGTTTGAATGTGCATTTATGCGTTTTTTCATGGTCTAAGTTTTGGATCAGCTGGAGCAGTGATTAGCCAGTCTGTGTGGTTGGTTATCAGAGCCATTGGCAGGGTGTGTGTGTTAACACAGATTGGCTGGGAGCAGTGGCTCATACCTGTAATCCCAGCACTTTGGGAGGCCAAGGTAGGAGGATGGTTCTAGGTCAGGAGTTCAAGACCAGCCTGGGCAACATGGGGAGACCCTGTCTCTACTGGAAAAAAAAAAGTAGTTGGGCATGGCGGTGTGTAACTGTAGTCCCAGCTACGCAGGAGGCTGAAATGGGAGGATTGATTGCTTGAGCCCTGGAGGTCCAGACTGCAGTAAGCTGTGATTGCACCACCACACTCCAGCCTGGATGACAGAGAAAGACCTCATCTCTTAAAAAAAGAGATACTTTTCAACTGTCTGTGCATCCAGATTTCTCCGTCTTTAATTCAAAGATGCTAAACTGTTTTGGAGTGAGCAGCTGTAGAATTTAACTTTTTTTTTTTCTAATTTAGCTATCTACTTTTCTTCATTTTTCTTATATTTTAGAGAAATATTATATTTTTGATTTAATGTTGTTGGTTGTTGATAATGAAGGCCCTTCAAATATGAGTATTTTCTTGGAAAAAAAGTATGTCTCTAGCTCAGATATATGAAATCCATCTTTTGTTCTAAGCTTATTATTTCGAAGCAGGCTATTTTTGAAATCAAATCATGTCTTTGCAGAGAGAGAAGCTATAGTGTAATGCCTGTTTTTGCTGTATGAAAACCATGCCAACTTTAAAGTACTTTTCCAGGGTCATTAAAAGCAGAGGAAATATTTTTTGTTGCTCTTGGAGTTTGGTGGTTGAGGCATCTGTCTTCAAATTGCCAAGTTTTACAACTTAGATTAACCGTATTTCCTGTACCCTCTCCAAGCACTTTTGTGATGTTTTGTAACTTCCATCGCAGGCACGCACAGAGGCTGGGCTGCGGTCCAGATGCGTTTGCTCCATGAATTGGTCTACGCCTCCCGAAGGATGGGGAACCCTGCCCTCTCTGTCAGACACCTGTCCTTCCTTCTACAGACCATGCTGGACTTCTTGTCGGATCAGGGTGAGTGAGCTCAAACCACAATGTTTTTTTTCAAGGAACTGTGAATGAGAGCACTTTAGATGCTGGTTCATGTAAACCCTGGGCTTGGGTTTCAGTGGGTGGAAGATGCTGCCCAGCTCTTCGTCAGTGACAAGGTCCCTGCCCCATGCCTTGGCTCCCTCCTTCCACACTCACTTCTCTGGGACACCTGTGCCACCTCCTCCCGCCTTCACGCCATCTCCTCCTGCTCCTCGGCCGCCACACTCCATGGCTTTTCCCTCCACCTCTCAGGCTTCTTTTCAGCCTCCTGTGTTGCCTCCCATTTCCTTAGCCTGCCTTTTTAAAAATATAAATGTCAAAGCATAACATTTACATAGAGGAGTGCACGACTCATAGGAATGTGGCTCAGTAAATTCTCACCAAGTGGCCACCGCTATAATCAACACCCAGATCAGAGACGGGCAGGAACAGAACCCAGGGCCCCTCGTGCCCCTTCGAGTCACTGGGTAACTCCATCCCCCCTTCCAGAACCAAAGATGAGGTTTGCATGTGTTGGCTCTCATGGGGCCACGCGGTGTTTCTGCCCCTGTTTCAAGGTTGCCTTTCTCCCGGGCTCCTTTCTTGGCCTTCATCTTCTCTTCTTACACTGCTCCTGGGTGCTATCTGCTTTTTGAGTTTTAGTCATGACCTGTTTCCCTACGCGCTTGGGGCTCAGCTGCCCCAAACCTGCCTTCCTCCTTGTACCCCTGGCCCTGGCCCAGTGTGTGGTGCCAGCTGGGTTCTTGGGGAAGTGCTGTCTGCTGGGGAGACTGATGTGTGCAGAGTGTATTGGGACGTACTCATGGGATCAGCCCCGTAGAAGGGAAGAGATGGAGGCGAGACTGGACAGTGGGAGAAGCTGGGCCTCAGTGCTATATGGACACAGGCCTCAGCTGCACGGGGAGCCCTGCACTGCCGTGGCCTGCAGACGTGTCCCATGTTGTTCTGAGGGGGCCGGGCCATTCTCCTCCCTCACTGACCAGCAGTTGAATGCAGTCTACCCTGGGTGATGTGGTTCTCTTCAGCAAGGAGACAAGGCTTCTGCTGACCCAGCAGGGCCTGTGCAGCTGGGAAGCCGTCGGAGAGATCTCTGGCGATGGGAGGGCCGGGGCTTCCTGTCCCCGTGCCAGGCCCTGGGTGCTCACTGCTCCCAGGAAAGGGTAGGGTCTTGATGAAGGGCTCTTGCCCGTCAAGGACAACTTCTGGGGAGGCAGCACTCTCCCCTGGGGAACGGGCCTCTCCTCCCTGCAGGCCGTCTGGGCGACTCATTACTGCCCCCTGCAGTGCTGTGCCGTCACTGCTGCTGTCCAGGTGGCGACCCCACTCCCTCAGTCTCATGTCCTGGCACCTCCCAAATTTCGTGCTTCTCTGTTTTCACATTTCTAAAAGCAGCACATCTTTCTCTCCAGCCCTCCACCCACTGCTTTCCCCTGGCTGTTCTCTGTCTTTGAGCAGGCTCTGGCTCCAGGGTAACGTGGGGTGTGCATCTCTGAGGGTGGTTGTGAGGTTTAAATGCACTAATTCTGGCCGGATGTGGTAGCTCATTCCTGTAATCCGATCTCTTTGGGAGGCCCAGGTGGGCGGATCACCTGAGGTCAGGAGATCGAGACCAGCCTGGCCAACATGGTGAAACCCCGTGTCTACTAAAAATACAAAAAATTAGCCAGGCATGGTGGCAGGCCCCTGTAATCCCAGCTACTAAGGAGGCTGAGGCAGGAGAATAACTTGAACCCAGGAGTGGCGCTTGCAGAGAGCCAATGTTGCGCCATTGCACTCCAGCCTGGGCGATAAGAGTGAAATTCTGTCTCAAAAAAAGAAAGAAAGAAACCTAGTATACATTAAGCAGTCCTCATAAAGCCCATCTTCTCACTGCACCTGTTGAAACACTAGCATTCTTTAAAGGAAACATTGATTTCCCTACAGTGATTTCCACGGCCATCTCTAAGAGAAAGGAATTCTCCTTTCGTGAACCCCTGTGGTTCTTTGTTGCCAAGGTTCTGAAGGCACACACCACTTATTGTGGCCGTTGGCATCCTCGTGTGGAGTAGCTGTTGTTTTCTGTTGAGGACTTCTGGTGACCCAAGTGAATCTCTGCTCTGACCGGGGCCCCTGCGACAGCCGTGCAGCTCCTTTTCTGCGTGTATTGGGTCGCTGTTGCTTTTGGGGCTGCATTTGAACTGTGCTTTTCTTGATTGTACCTGCAGAGTGAGCAGGTGGCCAGCAGGGCCACCGTGGAAGCTGGCTCCATGGCCCATTTGCACTCCGGCGTTTCGGTGACGGGAGGGAGCAGCAGGCCGAGGCAGAGCTCCCAGAGCCACCCGTGTCTCCTGCTGGGGTGACTGTGGCTCAGTGGCGGCTTGGGCAGTGGTCTGGTGTTACCTGCTCGAGTGAATGTTTGCTCTCCCCAGCCCCTGGGAGTGCTGCCCACCTCCCCTACTCCCCTGGAATTTCTTGAGCCTCCCCGTGATCCAGCAAATCTAAAGAGGTAGTGCCTGGACTCTGTGTAGGGGCTTAGAATCTCGGGTGCCATCCCTGACCCATGGCATGTCCCTCTGCCCCTGTAGCCAGGACTCTGTTCTCTCCTGGTGGCAGTGTCCCCACATACCTCACCTCAGTAAGCACAGTCCCCACGGTTGGTGAGTTGTGGTGACACGGCCCTGAGCCCTTCGCCTGAGCCGTCAGTGTCACTCCTTCGCCTGCTGTGTCTGCTGCATCTTGAACTTCTTCAGCACACACCTTCCTTCCCACAGCAGGGCCGGTGCACCTCCCCTGTCCCCACACCCTGCCCCTTCACCATGTGACTCCTCTTGGGCCTGGCCTCCTCTTGAAAGCCTTCACAAGTCCCTAGCTAGACCAGGGACTCTGGGCCTCTGCTCTCTTTCTTCCTGCACTTGTCGGTCATCAGTTACGTATTTAGTTGGTCCATGCTTGTCTCCCTCCATGGGAGAAAACCTCATTCTGCCTGCTGTCTACCTGGAGCTGGACCTGGCAAAGGCTAGATGCCAAGTGCATGGCTGCTGAGGTGTGAGTGATGTTGTCACAGCCCTTGCCTTCATCGTGATTGCTTATGGGGAAGTTGATTCTGACTTGGGTCCTCAGACATTTTTCAAAAGCACATTCTTGGCCGGGCATGGTGGCTCACTCCTGTAATCCCAGCACTTTGGGAGGGTGAGACGGGCGGATCACCTGAGGTCAGGAGTTCGACACTAGCCTGGACAACATAGTGAAACCCCATCTCTACTAAAAATACAAAGATTAACCGGGCGAGGTGGTGCACGCCTGTAATCCCAGCTACTTGGGAGGCTGAGGCAGGAGAATCGCTTGAACCCGGGAGGTGGAGGTTGCAGTGAGCCGAGATCATGCCACTGCACCCCAGCCTGGGTGAGACTCCAGCTCAAAAAAAAAAAAAAAGCACATTCTTTTTACAAGGAACACATGTGTGTTTGTACACTGTATGTGTGTGTATACGTATGCTGCATCGTGTTTTTCTGTTGGAGTTTGTATTTCTCAAGGGCATGGGCCATATCTTCCCCTTTGGGTACCCTGCGGTTTCCATGGGACATGGTGAGATGACTGAGCGTGTATGCAGGATCAATAATTGGAGTGACCCATTCCACTCTTCTGTGTCAGGCTGATGAGCCGACTGTCTCCACTCCAGACATGTGAGGCCTTGTCTTATTTTGATGACGGCACTGAGAAGTAGATTGTGTTTCCCAGCCCCACGTGCTCGGAGGTTGATGTTTACACGTGTGTCCATGAAATGGCCGCCGGGAAGAACAGAGAGTGGACGAGCACATAGGGCTCTCTGTTAATTGCTCTGTTGCTGTGTTTCTTTTTTTATTAATAGCATTCATGTATTGTTGATGAGCATCCCCGTGCCTGGGAGTGGTGGTGGGTGTGTGCCTGCCTATCTCCCCTGCCCTTCCTGTCCAGAACTCAGTGTCAGCGTTTTTCTCCAGGTGGCAAAGAAAACCTCTACAGGAAAATACAGCGAGGGTTCTCATTGATGCTTTAACCTCTGCCTTCCCCACCGTTTTTTCTTATCCTGTTTATATTTTTAAGCTTTGTTCACTTCTAAGCCTATTGTGATAGTTGTACCTTTTCCTCATGTGATCTTTCAAAAAGGGTGATCTGTATGCTATATTTTTGAGTAATTAGACATTTTATAACAGGTCACATTGGAGGCTCTTTTAATATATGTGTGTAAAATATGTAAATGTGAACTCTTATTGAAACGACATGTTTAACCACAGCCTGTGGTCTTCACCAGCCCTAAGTGAGGACGGAGGCTTCAAGTTGGATGTGGCTCGCCCATTAGACTGCTTGTCTCCCTCACATGGTCACGACTGGCCATTGCTTTTATGGCCAGAGCCCTTAGTTAATTCCCCCCCAGTGCTGTGATCTCTCTTCGGTGTATCTTCTCCATGCTGGAATCCTGAGGATAGTTTCTTTTTTTTTCTTTTTCTCTTTTTAAGGTCTACCAGAAATACTGGAGGAGAATATATGTTTAAAATCTGAGTTTGAATTAGTCATGGTAGGAAGTTTTGATCCATGGTATTTGTAGAGTGAGTTAGGAGAGATTCATCATCTCGGTTTGGATGACTGACAAAGCTGCAACCAGACTCAGCTAGATTTCAGATCAGGCGGTTGATGGGAAAAGAGAGGAGGAGCTGTGATCATGATGTACTTCTAAGGTCTGCTTTCTTTTGGTGGATTGTTAGTTCCCAGTGAGAAAACAGAGAACGAAATCACTATGCTTCCATATGGGCTGTGTTTCCATTAGATATAAATTGCGTTTGATTTTTGATGAAAAGGCAGCATAACCCTCTAGAGGTGTCAGGTGCCCCTTGTCCTGGGAAGGGGACGCACACTGTGATTGATGGGGTCCAAGCTGTATGTTTTTAGGTGACAGGAAAATTTGTTTATCCATGAAATGCTGATAGTGTCTTATGGTTATTTAAAGTCATATTAATTAGTGATTTAAAGACACTTAGTTTAAAAGGAGAAGAACTTGGGACACTTGATACTGTTGAACAAATAACAGTCTCTTGAAAGACCTTTATATAATGATATTTGGTTAATTGGAGTCGTCTGAGAAAAGGACAAAAGTCAGGAGGTCTGAGAGGTTCTTTCCACTCATCTCAGCCTCTAATTACTGTAACCTCCGATCAATAATTACATTCTCCCCAGCCTCCATTTTCTCATTTGGACAGCTGGGTTGTGCAGGGCTAGGTGGCGGTTTGTTATTTTTAATGATGGATACTATAATTTATTGGATGGTCTTTTTTGCTGAAGAGCTCATGGTGCTATTCACAGACTTGATAACTAACATTTCTAAATTTTGCTGCATTGAAATAAAGTATGGAATAGAAGAGCAGCCAGGAATGGAAAAACGTGACCCCAGGGTTGAAGAGGGTCTTTCTAGCTTTCTTGTCCTTTGTGAAGCTGGACTGGTGATGTGCAGTTGAAGACAGCATCATCGGGGGCCTTCTGCTCCATGTGTACCCTCCAGTATTTGCAAAAGATTGAACCTACAAGATACGTTATTAGGGCAAGTATTTACATGGAAAGGCTCTGAGTTCTCCAAGACTTTGGTCATTTTTTACAAGATGATGTACTACCCTGATGATTTGTGGAATCTTCTTAGGAACCGTGACTGTGTTGCTTTTCTGATCATGGGTACAGGGCCATCTTTGTTGAGGCTTCCCATGTGTGTGGGCACAGAGCTTCTGTGGCATTCCAGCAGTAGATTAATGGAGCTGTCATCCTCTGAAGCCTCATGGGTTGTGCATGCAAACCTGGTCCTGTGAACTGCATGGGAGTCTCTTAAAAGGGCAGAGGGATTCCTTCCTTTGTGAAAGGTTTAGAATGGCACATATTTGTAATTTCCAGACTCATCTTTTCCCACTCTCACATTCACTCTGTATTTGGCCGTACTAAATTGTTGACAGTTCTCCAAATACAACAGCATTGCTATTCTGCTGCCTTCGTACATGCCGTTTCCATTACTGTCACATTGTCCAGGAATTCATCCCTGCCATGACTGCAGTGCCCCCTCTGGGAGCTCCCCGTGCCCTGTGCCTGCCGCTGTCAGAGCTTCCAGCATGCTGGGCTGTGGAGGTGTTGGTCTGTTTGCCCACCCAGCAAGCCTCTAAGCTCCTCAAAGACACCAACTGTCACGCATATCTGGAGCAGCACCTGGTACCTTACGGGTCCTTAAATGCCGGCTGAATGAATGATGTCTTCTGTCTCTTTAAACCCACCTTCTACTATGCTACCAAATGGATATTTCTTCTAACTGGCAATTTTAAAGATCCTGCTGTGGCCTTTGGTCAGGCTTTTGAGCAGGGTTTGGCAAACCGTGGCCTATGGACCAGGTCTGGCCCGCGGCCTGATGGTCATCCTTGCGCTGGCCGTTTCAGGATGAATTTACAGTTACTGACACCAATTCCTGTGGAAAATAAAAAAGACTCGCGGCTTTCACATCACGTAGCTTAAAAAGGGAACACGGGGAAAAACTAGTTAGGTAAACTGTTTCAGGGACTGGGATCAAAAGCCCCAGGTGAGCGAGTAAGGTTCAACCATATGTAGGCTCTGCTACTGTGAGTGAAGTGCGGTTATCAATACTTACGAAAAGAAGGGGAAAAAATGCATACTATAAATAGGTCATATTAATGCTACTGTGAAAAGACTGAGGAGTGACGAAAGGGGGGGGTCCCATGAGATGGGAGGGGGCCAGTGAATGAACCTGTGTTAAGGATGTGCCTTATTTCACAGCATTTCTGCTGTTGGAATGACTTTACCAGGTTAGGATGGCAGGGAGTGTGATGTTCTCACGCTAGAGTATAGATGGTTTGCGTTGCACATGATTTCCTGGGCTTGGTCTTGTTGGGATCTGAAGTCTTTTGGTTTACCTCTTCTACTGTGGTCCAGTGTCTTTCTGGAGGCCTCTGGGTAGATGGTGTTTTCTCGAAAACCCTATCTGTGTCTTGGTTTTTGCGTCTACCTTGTGGGATTGTTTTAAGGATTGGAGATGACACACCTGAAGTGCCTAACAATGTCTGCTGCCAAGAAGTGCTTAGTAAATATCATAAGATGGCACTGTTTTCCTTCTGGGGGACCTGGACGCCAGCTCCTTGGTCAGACATTAGTGGTTCTTTTGCTCAAGGTTACCTTAAGAAGACTCGGAGAGAGAAATAGGGAACAGCAGAATCACCCCAAAGGGCTGTCAGATGTGGATGTGATTCTTTTCCAAGATGTGCTGCTGTTATAATTTGTCTTATAATATTGTAATTAACTCTAGCAGTGCTCTGACTGGCCTGGGGAAGGGGTGAGTGGGAGGTGGAAACAGAGGAAGAGGAGCAAGGGAAAGGAAAGGATGGTGCCACCCAGAGGTGTTCTTCAGGCAGGGAGCGGCGGCCAGTGTAACCGGGGATTCAGTGCATGCTGTTTCCCCCGCGTTTAATGTTCAGCCCAGTCCTAAGGTGTTGGGAAGGTGGCCTCTCCACCTCGCCCTTGAAAGTGTGGATCAAGATTAGGCTGCCAGTTCCTCGTTCAGCGGAAGTAGCACAGAATCCCAGGTCTCATGGTATCCAACACGAATCTGACTTGCTGGTAGACCTTGAGGTTGTTTAAGCATCTTAAACTTCCGAAACAACTGTCGCTATGCAGTGCCTCTCTCCCCATAGCTGCTGTCATGCTTTACCTACAAGAAACCAAAAGTCTTACTAAAATAAAAGAAGTTTTTGAGAGCTAACTCATGTGCCCTACAATTTATCCATCTAAAGTATATGAGAATGCTCACAGGGTTGTGCAGCCACACCACAAGTGAACTACTCATCCCTGCTGTGGTGTGGATGATCCTTTAAAATGTAATGCCAAGTGAAGGAAGCCAGGCTCTGAATTCCACACACATGTTTTATGATCTCAATTATTTGAAATGACCAAAATAGACTATAGGGACAGAATGGATTAGTCTTTCTTAGGACTGGGGGAATGGGGGACTTTGTGGGGGCGATGGCTAAAGGGTATGGGGTTGAGGCGGTGAAGGTATTCCAATAGTACATTGTGGTGGTTGTTGCACAACTGTGTGATATCCTCAAAACCATTGAATTGCACCTTTTAATGGGCCAACTGCTATGTGAATTATATCTCAACAAAGCTGTTACAAAAGTTTTTAAGAGTCTCTAGCAGACCTCTCTGTCTCATTGGCTAGAACCAGATCATGTGGTCATGCCAGCCCACTGTAAGCGTGATGGGAAGCACAGTCATCCCTGAGTATTGGCAGGGGGCATTGGCTCCAGGCTCTCTCTTGGATACCAAAACCTAGGGATACTCAAGTCCCTGATATAAAATGGCATAGTATTTGCATATAACTTATACACATCCTCCCATATAGTTTGTTTATTTATTTATTTTTATTTTTAGCAGAGATGAGGTCTCGCCTTGTTGCTCAGGCTGGTCTTGTCCTCTTGGGCTGAAGCAGTCCTCCTGCCTCAGCCTCCCGAAGTGTTGGAATTACAGGCATGAGCCACCACACCCAGCCTCCTATATGGTTTAAGCCATCTCTAGATTACTTGTAACACTTCATACAATGTAAATGCTACCTACATAAGCCATTATTCTACTGCATTGTTTAGGGAAGGAAAAAAAAAAACTACACACGTTCAGCACAGATGCAATTTTTTCCCCCAAATATTTTCAATCCTCGGTTGGTTGAATCCATGGGCTCAGTGCTACAGCTAGGAAGGGCTGAATGGATTTGGCCGTCTTTGTCTCTAGGGGCAGGCAGCGTGGGGGGCTGGAGGGGTGCGGGGAGAATGGCAGCACAGTCAGCGACTAGCGTGGGCCTGTGTCTCTCATCCGTTGTCGCTTCTCCTTCCTCATCCTTTACCTGACTACCCACGCGGTTGTTCCGGCCCAGCCCTGGAATCACCTTTTCTGCCATCCTCTCCCCTCTGCACCTTGGATTCGTTGAGAGGCCCAGCCAGCCTGCTTCTGCTTTCTCGCCCTGACTGCCTTCGTTCTGTTTAATTTGCCGTCATCTCCTCTGGAGCCTCCTGCCCCTCTCCCTTGCTCCACTCCAGCCTCCCATTGCTTCATTCTCCGGACACCCCTCACAGTTACTGTTTAAATTGCAAATCAGATCCTGTTTTGTTGCTCCTGTAATAAAACCCAGGACTCAGTGTGGCCTGCAGGTTCTGCCCCCGGCCCTGCCCTCTCTCCCACCTTGTCCCTTACTTTCTCGTCTGCTCCCGGTTCCAGTTCCTTTGGCTTCCTTAATTAATGCTTACGTGCCAAGACTTTTCCACCCCAGAGCCCCACATGCCTGTTCCTGGGCGATCTTGAACGGTGCGCTTCTGCATGAGGGCTCACCTCCAGTGCCGTCTTCTCCAGGAGACCACCGTGACCCCCGGCTCTTCTGCATCATACCCGCCGCTTTGCGTTTCCCAGTCTTAACGTGAGAGGCTAGCAGACCCCATCTGCCTTGTCCTGGGACGGCCTGGAACACAGTAGGTGTGAAGAAATACTGTTAAATGGATGGACAGCCTCCCTTTGATATTTACCTGCACACCGCTTTGCCACTGTCCCTGTCACATTGCGATGGCTGTTTAGGAGAAGTCTAAATGTCACTTCCCCATCTGGTTTGCTAATGGGACTTGCCTGGGGTGGCCACTGGTGATTGCACCTTGCAGGTCACTCATCTTGTCATGGGCTGCTTGTCTCTATCAAAGTCACCTTGATGGAGGGTGGAAGTGGCAGCAGACGTCGCTGAATACAGGAGACCAAAAATAATCACTGCAATTATTTTGAAAGAAAGCAAAGTTTGTTGCTTCAGAAAATGTTATTTTCAGAGCAGAATTCAGCATCTCTGCTTCTAAACCTTAGTGGGCATGTTTGCTGGAAAGGCGCGTCTTCCTAACCAAGGCTGCCGCAGATCCCACTGTTCCCTCAAAAGGTGCTTCTTGACTTTGTGGCAGAGGGAACCAGTTATGTTAGATGATTGTGAAGACGTTTTTAGAAAAGGGAGTTAAGGGAAGGATTACTTAATCAGAGCAAGGCTTGGTTACTCACTTAGAGGATGTAAATCATCTGCTGACCGTGTAGCTGAGTGAGAGAGGCATTGCTGGGCAGAGGTGGCTTCTGCAGCCTGACACCCTGTGCTACCGTTGCCGGGCTACCTGGACGTGGTGGCAGCCCGTTACCCTCATCAGGTCTTCTTCACCTTCCCCAATTCCCGCCCCTATTCTTGGTGCAGTGCCATGCTTTAAGGGGCACTGCTGGAAGGGGGCGGATGTTGACTTCGCCAGGCCTGGTGTCTCATTGGAATGTTGCGGAAGGGCCGCAAAGCCCATGGCACAAGCGCTCATGCCCTCCTGCCCACTCCGTGTTCCCCGCTCCCTCCTGCCGCCTCCCTCTCTCCCACCCCACTGGCTTCCCTGTGTGCAGACATGCCGTAGTTACCACGATGTGCAGCTCAGCTCAGCCCAGCCAAGCCAAGCAACCTTCCGCTCTGAAGCGGAACCTCTGCCAGGGTCGTCTGCCTTCCCTCGCGCGCCCCCTTCGGCCCCCCTGTGTGCCCTTCCCTCGCGCGCCCCCATCGGCCCCGCTGTGTGCCCTTCCCTCGCGCGCCCCCATCGGCCCCGCTGTGTGCCCTTCCCTCGCGCGCCCTTCCCTCGCGCGCCCCCTTCGGCCCCCTTGTGTGCCCTCTCCTTGCGTGCCTCCTTCAGCCCCCTGGTGTGCCCTTCCTTCGTGCGCCCCCATCGGCCCCCCTCTGTGCCCTTCCGTCGTGTGCCCCCTTCGGCCCCCTTCTGTGCCCTTCCCTCGCCCGCCTCCTTCGGCCCCCTGGTGTGTCCTTCCTTCGTGCGCCCCCATCGGCCCCCGCTGTGTGCCCTTCCCTTCCCTCGTGCGCCGTCTTCAGCCCCCCCGCTTGCCCTTCCCTCGCACGCCCCCCTTCAGCCCCCTCTGCCGGACGTCCCTCTCCTCTCCCTTGCCAAGGTCACCAGTTTCCAAAGCAGGAGTCATTTCCTGTCCTCTTTTTCTGTCTGTCAACAGTGTTCTCTCAGTCCAGTGCTTCCTCTACACGGTGCTTTCTTCCTTTTCCCAGCTCATCCTGGAACTTCCCCACTTCTGATTCCCGTGTGCTGGGCGCTTGCGTCAGGGCTTGGTTCTGCCTCCGCTTGTCTCTTTGCTCCCAGTGTCTGGTGATTCCCCTCGGCCTCATGCCTTTAGATGCCATTTAAAATGTACACTTCAGCTTTTTGGCATGTTCACAGATATGTGCACCTATCACCACAGTCAGTTTTAGAACATTTTTATCACCTCCAAAGGAAGCCCCACACCCTACAGCTAGCTAGAGGCACATGTTGGCAGTCACCTATAGTTGAATGCATTAATAATACATGCTTTTTTTTGTTCCCTTTCTTGCTTGCTTTTCAGGTTGTTTTTGGTACTGTTGATAACACTGTGGTGAACATCTTTAGGTCTTTGGCTTTTTTTTTAGCAGGAGAGAGTTTTCATCAGGAGGGGGCTTCCTGGGTCAGCCTTTTTGAGCGTTGTGATTGCTGTTGAGACACTGCTGGATGCAGCCAGCAGCAGGGCTGCTAATTGAGTGTGTGCAGAACGCTGCCTTACTCTTCTAATTTGCGTTTTCTTGGTGACTTGCAAGGTTGGATTTTTTCTGCAGGTTTGTTTGTTGTATCTCTTTTATGTGAAGTTCTTTTCCAGTCTTCTGATTGCTTCCTCCCTCCTGCTCATTTGACTATCACTGAAACTTAGTTGGGATTTGATGGGGCAGATGGTGTCCTGCCATCGTGCTTTGTGATGTGAATGAAGTGGTCTGCCCACAGTCACCCAGTTATCCAGTCAGCTGTGAGTGGCAGAACAGCAGGACCCCTGGCGTCCCAGCGCCTCGGAAAGGGGGAAACACTTGCCATGGCACCTTTGACTGACATTTTTGTTCAGTTGTCATCTGAGTGAATGCCCTTCTTAGAGCTGCTGGAGTTGCCGATGGCAAATTCTTCTCAGCCCAGTGCTCCTGGTCCCTGGTGGTGGGGTGATGATATATGTTTATGTTTCTTTGAAGGAAAAGACACCCATTGAACATTGAACCTGGAACAATTTCAAAACAGCCTTTGACCAGAGGACTTATGGAAAAGGAAGAAGTACCACCTGGAAAATTATGAGACAGCTATAAAAATCACTGTATTCATAACAGTTCTAGAGACATACATGTACACCATCAAAGAGAAATTATTCCGACACTTGTTAAAATGGTAAGGAGAATTTTATTTAAGACTACTACAGTAGGAGTCAACTCTATTGCAACAGAGGAGAGATTGAACTCAGCTCTGAATACAACAAGGCCAAGTGGGGCTTTATAGCCAATGAGCAGAGTGAGGGGGTCAGTGGATGGAAAATTACTAAGAGGAGAGACATTAAGTGTAGGGGATTCTTGCTAAACTTGCCTAACAGGGAGGCCCAGGATGACTTCCCGGGATTCTTGTTGAAACTGGGCTAGGCAGGCTGAGGACAGGGCTGAAGGATGAGGCCTCGTTGGAAAGAGGACTCACAGGAGCTTGTCTGAAGTTTGGTCAAGGAGAGTCTTTGTCAGTGCACATGTCCATACATATGCACACATAGATAGGATTTCTTATAGGGGATTGGGCTACGTGCTGTGGGAGCTGGCTACCCAGGCCTGTGAAGCATCGTTTCGGTGTCTGCTGCTGGATCCAGAAGGCCTGAGGCAGGCAGGTGGCTGGGAAGGGAAGGCGGATGTGAAGGGAGGGAAGCAAGGACAAGCTAGGAACTGTGGGGCTGAGCTGGACCCCATGGGGATGGCCTGGAGCCCATGTCAGCTTCTCACCACCTCCCAGCCTCCCGCTCTAATGGTGGGGGCTCCTGGAGGAGAGGCTGGTGCCCTTTGCGGCCGTGCTAAACATGCGTGCCTGGCCCAGAGCTGGAGGAGCAGAGGAGCTATGGGTGGGATGCTGCCCAGTCCACCAGTGTGGGTGTGTGTCCTGCCCTGGGCCCCGGAACCGATGCTACCCCGTGCCTCTGCCTCAGACATCACTCCATGTGCTGACTCAGCTTCACAGCGAGGGGCTGGGAAGTGTCATTCCAACTCAGCCGAGTGGACACAGTGGTGACGATTTTAATTTCTGGTGTGAATCTCAAGTCCACTTTTAGGAAGCAGGAGATAAATCCCCATCAAGAAAAATCATTCATTTTCTTTGCATCTCTCTCTAGCATATTTGATATTTGATTGAAATTTTAACACCTGAAACAACTTTTTGTTTTGTTTTCTCTTTGGCAAGTCCATCCTTACAGGTGTAGTTAGATGGGTTAGACAGGGATACTAATAATTCTCCTCCTCCCTCTTCCCATCTTGGATAGAAAAATATTGATCTGATATTATGTGAGGCTTTCTGAATGAGAGTGAATTGGACAGTGAAAAGCATAAGAAAAAATAAAGTAACTAACTCCTTTAAAAATCTTGGTTTTTGCATGTAAAATTGTGGTGTTTGAGCTGAGCATTTAATTTTAGTAGACCCTCAGGACTCCAAAGGATGTGTTTGACGGGTTCTAGGAGTACTGTTCGGATAATAAGGGACAAGGAGGAGCTGGAAAATCTGCACAGGAGCAGCCGCTCCCTTTACATCCTTTCTGCAGGTATTTGTGGATCATCTCGCGTAAGTTGGGTACTGTGCGTAATCCCAGCAGTGTGAGGGGCACGCAGTTCCTTTGGGGATGACCTGGAGAAACTGGCTGGGGAGATGGAGCAACTGGGAGAAGCCGAGGTTGGCTGCTGCTTCCCACACCCTCACCCTCCCCAGCCGATGCACTCCAGGCAGTTTCACGTGTTTCAGCTTCCTTAGGTCGAAGGCTCGGTTTCTATTTGGTGCCATCCTACCTTGCATGTCTGAGTATGGATTTGGAGGTGGCAGAGCTGGCTTTGAACACTAGGATGTGTTTGTTTCCTTAACTCTTCCAGTCCCGTAAGCCCCTTTGGGTTGTCCCCTTGCATCTGCCCCAACCCCAGGGCTGTGTCCAGCCTTCCCTGGGTCTTCAGCTGCTGTCTCTCGGTCTCCCCGGATGTCCACGGTGGCCACATCTCTGTGCCTCTCCATTCTGTCAGCGGCCCAGGCCCCAGGTGGTCCATCTCCAGGAGTCTCCACCCCAGCCCCGTTTCCCATCCCTTCCTGCTCCCGTGACCCCTTCCGTGGTGACTGCAGGAACCTGAGGTCTTTTGGTAGCTGACTCCTGCATTTCCTCATCCTCTTCCTCCCCGAGTGTTCCCTTAACCTTCTCATATGGAGTGAGTGGCTCTTCAGCAGGGAAGTTTGGAAATGTGTGGGAGTGTTTCTGGCATAACTGTGACTGGGGCCTGTCGCCAGCATTTAGTCGGAAGGGACAGGGAAGTGAAATGCAAGTATAGCCCAGTGCCGGCCAATACATATCTGTCCCACTCACAATGCCATCCTAGCAATCCGAGGAGATGAGAACCAGCCCTTTTTTTGGCCTGCCTGCCCTGCTGTTCTCTCAAATGCATGCTGGTTTTTCTCCTCTGCCCCCAGGACCTCAGGGCCCAGAGATGGGACGGGCATCATTTTCCGTTGCTACTTCCAAGCAGTCCTCCTCAGAACACTCCAGCTCTTTGGGAGGGTGTACCATTAGGATTGATGGCTCCTGCCTTTCCTTGTGTTGTGGTCATTGCCAGGTGCACTGGCTACTTCTCCTCACTCAGTACCTGGCCTGCTCTGTCCTCAGCACCTCCACCCCATCTCTGTTCCTGGTGGCTTCACCACCCACACAGAGGACCTCCTCAACCCTGCCTGCTCTCCCACTTCTGCATGTTCTGCTGGGGGATCTCACCTGGCCCTGGGGCTTCAGGAATGGTCTTTGCATTCATGGTGCCTGTACTTCTTCCTTCTGGGGTGCTGCAGGCCTGACTGTCGACCCGCCCACCCTGCCTTCGCTTCCCTCTCAGCACAGGGCGCAGGGTGCCCCTGCCCGCCCCACTGCTTGGGCAGAAACCTTGACGCTGTCGTGGCTTCCCCGCCGTCAGGCCCCACGTCTAGTACATCAGGAAGTCCTGGAGGCTTCACTGCCTCAGCACATCCCAGATATGACCACGGCTTCACGCCATAGCACCTTTCTGCTTCAACCTCCCTGGTGGCTCCCAGGACACGTATCAGGAAGTGGAGGGAAAGCCGGGTTATTTTTGGAGGCCTCCCAGGTCCACCTGATGTTTCTCCTCAGTTCTCCTTGCTCACCTCTCTCCAGTCTTCTGCACATTCACTCAGCACCAGCCAGGTTTGTCTTGTTTCTGTGTCTCTGAGAAAACAAACTTGATTTCTGGCTCTTGTCCGGGACCTTGCACTTGTTTTTTTCTGCATGAACAGCTTCCCCCTGGGTCTTGGCATGGCTGCCATTTCTGTGCACCTCAGTTCTGAGCCAAACGCCCACCCTTCTCTGCCTGGCGCTACCATCAGTCTCCCTCCTTGCTAGATGGAGGCTCCTTGAGGGCAGGCGTGCCACCGTCCTGCGCAGTCTCTGTGGCTTGGAGCACTGTGTGACAGGGGCTCAGCAAATGTCTGTTGACTCCCCGTGCAGCAGGGGAAAGTCATGTAACTTCTCCCCACCTCATTTTCCCCATTTGGAAAAGGGGCACAAGAAGGACCCACCTCCTGGGGTGCATCTTTACTGGTTGCTTTAACAAAATACTGCAGACTAGGTGGCTTATAAATAAGGGACATTTACCTCTCACAGCTCGGGGGGCTGGAAGTTCAAGACCAGGGTGCCAGCAGATTTGTGTCCTGTGAGGGCCACTTCCTGGCTCAGAGACATGCTGGAAGGGGCGAGGGAGCTCTCTGGGATCTCCTTTACAAGGGAACTCCTCCTATCATGAGAACTCTACTCACATGCCCTGATCGCCCCCACAAAGGCCCTGTCTCTTAATCCCATCACCTTGGGAGTTAGGGTATAACGTGAATTTGGGGGGACACAGACGTTCAGACCATAACAGGGTGTGTGTGAGGATTAAAGCTGGTTCCATTTCCACCGTTCCCTCCACTCTGTCTCGGCTTGGGAAGCTCAGACAGCTGTTAGTTCCTCTCTCCCTCTGCCCTCCACACTCAGCTGGGTGTGGATTTGGTTATTTTGTGCAAGTAAGACTTAGTTCTCAGGGACAATGCTTTTATTTTTAAAGAAAATCTTCAGAATTTACAATGCCAGTTCCAGGGCCCCATTCCTATCAAGTCAGAATCCCTGGTCCAGGACCCAGGAATCTGTGCTTTGCAGGGACCCCGGGGAGGCCAGGACAGGAGGTGTGTGCCAGGTCTGAGACACAGGCTTTGACAAGTGGAAATTACTAGTGGGGTATTTTTAACTAAGGGCTTCTGTGGGTCTTTGTCTGTTTCTGAAAACCAGCCTCCCTTCTTTCCCCTCCTCACTTATCGTTTGACTGGTTAGGAAGTGAAATGTGCAGAGTCACCTTTGCTGCCTTGTCACCCCTAGAGGAATTCTGCGTCCTTTCGCGGCCCTGCCTCTGTGGGTGGCAGTATTTCCCAAGTCAGATTCACGACGTGGCCCAGTGAGATTTCTCATGGCTTGTAAACTTATATGTTTGAAAAGTAATGCAAAACACTGTATCACCTTTGGTTAAAGATTTAGTGAAACACTTTTAATGAAAAGAAAAATGCCGAGGCTGATATGCATGCCATGGGCTTCAGCCCAGCAGTCATCCTTGGAGAGTGAGGGTTGAGGCCGCAGCCCAGCACTGCTGGGCTCAGGACCACACAGGGCCAGAGCCACCCCTCCATTTCCTACCCCATGCTGGCTTTTCACTTATGAGGAGTTTTCAATTGTGATGTGCTTTTCTGGTCATCTTTTATCATCTTGGATATTTTAATATATGTCCTTTATATTTTTTGAATTTCAGTAAATTCTAAAATAGTATTAAAACAATAATGTGTTATTTTTGCTGGATTTTGGAATTTTGCTAGAATTTGGCCATAGTGATCGCAAGCTTCCCATTGTATAGATTAACAGACTAAAATATACGGGGTTCGGGTTGAAAGCCCTACGTGTCGTATGTTGATGTCCTATATTGTATTTTGTTCCCATTGTGAAGTATGCAGACTTCACATTTGAGTTTTTGTCCCTTAGCTTCATATAGCAGAGCATAAAGAGCTAAAATACGAACTCTGGCCAAAAATGAATGACATGATTTTTTGTATTGCCAAGGATATATGTATATATATTTCCTATTTTTCATTCCTGACATGCGTTTTTCCCCCTTGCATTTTTTTCTCCAGATGGCTTATGTGGTTTCTTTGGACCTTCGATTTGCTATATTTCATTTTTCACTGGGCTGGGGAGAAGGTATGCATCTGCATTGCTGTGTTACAAGGAATCCCAGTGGGAGTTTGTCAGTAAAGGGGTATAATTTGTTTCCATTGCAATTTATGCAATCCCTTTTGTTTGTTCAGAACTAGAGAGAAGGGATTGAATAAAACCCCAGCAGAAATGAAGGGAAGCTTTTGATGTACTTTTAGTTGTATGTTGAAGAGATAAATATCATGTAGTACAACATAATAAGTACCTGCTAATAAAATGCCTGCTTGGTAGAGAAACCACACATGTAAAATAGTGAGGTGAAGAAAAACTATCAGTACTTCAAAATCCCAAATATATTAGTGGATATACTAGTTATAGGAAAATACTAATTTGCCAGGTTTTAGGTGAACCAAAATAGAACATCCCAGGGTGGTATCGAAAGGGACCTTCTGCAATGTCACGAAGGATCTTGTCTCTGTGGGACAACGTGGCTCCAGGTGGTGTCCTCTCCCCAGCAGTGCAGTGCAGTCCTGCTTTCCGTTTGCCCGCCCACCATCTGCTGCACAGAGTGCCAAGACACCATTACTCAGCCTGGACTCTGCCACTTCTGGTCCGGAATATGGCAACTCATCCTGAGGGACCTCCTGCCTTCCAGATCCGCCCTTTCTTTCCTGTCCTCCACCCCTATGATAAAGTGATCTTTCTTTCTAAAGCAGGTGTTTATCTGCAGCAATCTTCTGCTGAAATAGTGTCAGAGGCCAAAGGCCCCACACATTGTGCACTGCTCTTTCAGTCTGGCCCAGGCCGCCTCCTTAGCTTGGGAGAGAGACTTAGCTGCTGTGCCCAGAGCAGAGGCTCTACACACACGTACTGTGAGTTTCTTCTGGCTTTTCACTACCCAGAATGGAGCACTAGCCCCCCTTCCCGTGCTCCGTGCTTCCCTCCAGCCCCTTTCCTTGACACCTTTTGGTAGAAGAAAATTTTTTTCTTCCCAAAGTTTTTTTTTTTTTTTCCCATGCGTATATAACAATGCTTATCACATTTGTGAACATGAGTTCTCTGAAAAGGACTTTAGAGGGGAGACTTTATTCTGGGGAATAGTTTACAAACTGAGGAGAACAGCCTTTGATGCAAACTGAAGCTATCCATTCCAGAGAACAAAAGAAAGGTTTGTCTTTTACAGAGAAAGTTCCCGCCCAGGTTCCCACTCAGGTTCACTTATGTACTTGAAGGTTTCAGACTTGCTGAGTTCTGATTGGTTGTTGCAGGTCACAGTCTATTGATGGCATGAATGGGAACAGGCAGCTATGTAGGCCCCTAAGTTAAGCAGACACGTGGGTTTTCCAGGAACTCAAGGTCTGTGTGTGACCTCTAGTCAACAGATGGCTGCTTGAGTCTAACTTGAATGTAGGTCCCGTTAGCCACTCAGGATGGATTCATCCTGTGGAGCTGGCTTTTTCAGGGCCTACACATTAATTTTTATATTTCATATGTATTAATTTTTAGTTTTCATGTCTGTGGACTGAGGTGTGAGGTGGGACAGCTGGAATGTAGTCTTTTTGTGTTTTTAATCCCAGCCTAATCATAGAGGCTCAATAAATGCTTAATAAGCCCAGTTGCCTTTTTTTCCTCTGCTGTTGTTTCCTCCTCAGTAACATGAGGATGAATACCTATCTTCCTGTGCTGTCATAAGGATTAGAAACAGTGTATATAAAGAACCTGTTCTCAACCTGTTCTCAATTGAGAACCTGTGCTCAATATATAGTAATTGTTGTTGGTTACGTGGATTTGTTCGTGACTTCCAAAGAGTGTTTCAGCATATGCTGCTCTTAAAGAGTCTCACAGTTTTCTATTTTGATGAGGTATGCATATCATTCATGGGTATTTGAGTGGCCTTGGGGAAGATGCTGACTGCCCCTGGGCCTGGGCTACTGCATGTGTAGGAAGGGGACGATGATGCTTTAATTCAGCAGAGGACAGTAGGGGCTGTGATCTTTAAAGTCAGGCAGAGCTGGGTTTGTATCCTGGCTCATGTACTTTATCAAATGTGACCTTTGACAATTTACTGACTTTACCAAGCCTGTTTTTCAACTGCAAAAATAAGAAGATTGTGCCTAGTTAGGTGGAGGATTTATCAGAAAGAATGTGTCAGCTGCCTGGCATTGTGCCTGCCACAGTGGGATTTCAACAGTGCTGGTGTGTTTGCTTACTTCACCCACTAGGCAGGTGGGCAGTTTCCCGGGTGAGGCTGTACAGTTCTTTCTAACTTAAGAGACCTACATATTTTTACTTAGGTCTCTAAGTTAGAAAGAAAAGTTTCTATCTCTCTGGTGAAATGTTAGGCTTTCAGTGGGTATTATTGAAAGTTTTAGCAACAGAGTAACGAGCTAAAGTTACCAAAAGATTGTTTCTCTGCAGGTGATTGTTACCCAAAGATTGTTTCTCAGCCAGGTGGGAACAGATGGGGGAGCCTTTATTTTTGACTGTGTCTGACTCTGACTCTAATCTTTAACTGACCAATTTAGTTTAAAAAATGTTTATCTTGGCTGGGTGCAGTGGCTCATGCCTGTAAATCCCAGTACTTTGGGAGGCTGAGGTGGGTGGATCACCTGAGGTCAGGAGTTCGAGACCAGCGTGGCCAACATGGTGAAACTCCCTATCTCTATGAAATACAAAAAATTAGCTGCGTGTGGTGGTGCACCACGCCTGTAATTCCAGCTACTTGGGAGGCTGAGACAGGAGAATCACTTGAACCTGGGAGGTGGAGGTTGTAGTGAGCTGAGATTGCACCACTGCACTCTAGCCTTGGCAACAAGAGCAAAACTCAGTCTCAAAAAAAAAAGTTTATCTCAGTGGTATGTTGCAGGTACTTAATGCTAAGTGTGACTTCAGTGATGAAAATGTAGGCATCTCTGTATCAGGACCATGTGAGAATAAGATAAGCAGAATTTCTGATGATTGAATTGAAGCCATAGTGAAGTGGTAGGGTTTCATACGCAGTATTGGATCTGGAAACTGGAACGAACTGGAAAAGGGCATGCAGGCTGGATGCACAAGGACTATGGGTCTTCCTCAGGGTTCGGCCTCGTTTGTTTGTTTGGACAAAGGACCAGATGAGGAGTTGGGAGGTGAGACTTTATCCTTAGCCTTTCCACGTGTGAACTTCTCTTCTCCCTGGCCCTCAGTTTTCTCCTTTATAAAAAGTGTAGGAATTGGATTAAATAAGCACTCATATATGTTCATTCACTTGTCAAAGATCTCTGTATTAGATACTGAATCTCAGATTTGATTGATAATTTCAAGCCGATTAGTATTTTCTGTCACTTCAATGTGAAGTGACAGAGAATAATTATTAGATACTGTAAAAATTAATCTTGCCATATGTTTCACATACTGCAAATTTGTTATTCTGGCCCCAAAGGCCAGAGATCTGAAATGCAGATGTTGGCGGTGCTGGTTTGAAGCCTTTCTCTTTGGCCTGTAGGTGGCTGTAAGGCCAGAGATCTGAAATGCAGGTGTTGGTGGTGCTGGCTTGTTTTGAGGCCTTTTCTCTGGCCTGTAGGTGGCCGTCTGGTGGCGTTGGTTTTCTCTGAGCCGTTTCCCGTCGGCCTGTAGGTGGCCGTCTGGTGGCGGTGGTTTTCTCTGAGCCGTTTCCCGTCGGCCTGTAGGTGGCCGTCTGGTGGCGTTGGTTTTCTCTGAGCCGTTTCCCGTCGGCCTGTAGGTGGCCGTCTGGTGGCGGTGGTTTTCTCTGAGCCGTTTCCCGTCGGCCTGTAGGTGGCCGTCTGGTGGCGGTGGTTTTCTCTGAGCCGTTTCCCGTCGGCCTGTAGGTGGCTGTCTGGTGGCGGTGGTTTTCTCTGAGCCGTTTCCTGTCGGCCTGTAGGTGGCCGTCTGGTGGCGTTGGTTTTCTCTGAGCCGTTTCCTGTCGGCCTGTAGGTGGCCGTCTGGTGGCGGTGGTTTTCTCTGAGCCGTTTCCCGTCGGCCTGTAGGTGGCCGTCTTCTTGACAGGTCTCCACATGGTCTTTCCTCTGTGCCTGTGTCCTAATCCCCTCTCGTTATAAGGACGCCAGTCATATTAGCTTAGGGTTCACCCCAGCAAAACTCATTTTACCTCCATTATCTCTTTGAAGAACCTGTCTCCACACACGGTCACATTCTGAGGTGCTGGGGGTTAGGACTTCAATATACGAATTTTGCGGGGAGGGGACACGATTCAACCTGTACCATGCACCATGGTCTCGTCTGTCCTGTCCCATCCTAAGGGACGCTGGTCGCTATCCACTCAATTAATTTTTATGACCTGCAAAGGAGGCCACAGTGACTGACAGTACATTATATGCTTGTGTTGCTCTTTTGGAAGTGGTAATGGAGCGGACACATATGAAATGTCAGCTGAAGACCTCCCCTGTGCCTCCTTTGCCCACTGGTCCATATTTGTGGGCTTTGCTTATACGTATGGCGTGGGGACAGAATACAGTTATTTGGCCCATGCAGCCACCCAGTCTTGCTGGTGTCCACTTCGGTGATCTGAGAGAGAAAAATAAGACTTTTCTGGCTGTCATTTAAAAAAAGACATTGAGTTTAATTCAAATTAATAATTTTTTTTAGCAACTTCTAAGTGGCAGGGATCTGTTTTAGGGGAAGAAATGGCATATTCCTTGGTATAAAATAAAATACGGAGGCCCTCTTTAGAACGTTCAGGATTTATCTCCTCCTGGACTGACTGTCAGACAACCCCGTTTTGCAGGGGAGAAGACTCTCTGCTCAGTCCACTGGGGTCCAGCCTGTTCTGGAAGGCCCCTCCAGAACACCTGCACCAGGCAACAGGGTGCCCGGCCCGTGGTGCTTGCTTGGCTGTTTGTGCACAGCCCTGAGGGCCTGAGGGTTCATCTCGCAGCCCTCTCAGTTATTATTAACTGCCCTCCTAAGCCTTGGCTCCACCTCCCTCTGTTCCCACAGCCACTCTCACAGCACCGCTGATCACGTGCCCATCTGACACCTAGGCAGCCCATTTTGGTGGGGGAGGCAGCAGGTTCAGGGCAGGTGGATCCGGTACCCGCACCCACGTGCTGCATGGCAGAGCCGGAGGGAGGCGCATCTGGATGAGTCGCAGTCCGTTTGTTCTCTCTCTTGCCGGTGACCTTGTTCTCTATCTCTGCTTTCTGGATTGACAAGTCCTGATCCTCTCTGTCTGTGGCTCATATGTCACAGTCCTGGCCTGCTCAAGCTTGATTAATTAATTTTCTCACTCACCCAGCCAGTATTTATCTTCTTAGAATGTTCTTCCTGTTTTATCTTTCCTCAAATGCAGCACCTTCTGGATGTAGAGGAACAGTGACCAGCCTTTGCCTGCAGTCTGTTTCTGGGTCCTGTGAGAGTGTGTGACAGGAGTTGTCACACACCTCTTGTGTGCTGGGCCTGGTGTAACATGTGCCTTCATGTGTGTGAACTCCTCTGATCATCATGGTTAGAGGGATCATTGCAGGCTGAGATTACGAGGAGGAGGCAGTAAGGCATGGTGGGCTTCCGCGGCTGCGTGTGCGAGCTGGGATTACAGTTCCGGGCGCCTGGCTCTGGAGCACATGCCTGACCCCACATCCTGGGTCACCTGCAGCCAGCTAAGGACACTTACTCAGTGGTTGTTGGATCTCAGTGTCCGACACTGACAAGGGGCTGCACCCACTAAAGACTGTACCAGCCAGCATCAGACACCAGTCAAGGGTGTTGCTGTTTTCTAAGTTTTGGAAGCTTACAGCTTTTGGAGTCATCCTTAAATTGTCTTACCCCATATCCTGTTAATCGCCTGGAAGACTCATTCTAATGCTTGAGTTTATCACATGTGGAATTCGTCTTCTTCCTTCCATCGTCACGGCCCTGGTTAGACTTTCAACACTGATGACTTCCATTAGTTTGTTTCTGTACCAAGGAGGTTATCTATCAACTTAGATACAGTTGTCATTTGTTTGAAAGACAAGGATTGGATGAGATAGAAAATGTCAGAATGTAATTTATTCAGCTACCCCTTCATTTTGTTGCTTGCTCATTATTTTGCTACTCAGCCCAAAGAAAATGTGTTAAAAGTTTGCCATCCATCAGTGTCAGAGTAGACAGGGACTTGGTTTGGATGAGGGTGTGCGTTACTGGGGCCTTGATCTTAGTGAGATGGACCTCGCCTCATTTTACTGTGTTTCTTGGGGCTGGGGAAGGGCAGGAAATGAAAGAAGTGGTGCATTTTCTACATATTTCCAGTGGCCCTCAGTTTTGGTGTTGCCTTTCTTTGCCTCCCTGTTCACATCAGCTGTCTCTCATTTGCCGCAGAGCAGAGCGTGGTGCAGACAGAGGCAAGCCAGGGTTGGGAATCTCGGCTGGCTTGCAGCCACAGACTATACACAGTAGGAATATCTGTTGAACAAAATCTTTTGTTGTTGTAACTGTGATCATTATGTCATAAATAAACAAGGGGCTTTTACTGTAATTGTTAAGTCCCGTGACCTCAGGGACGTGACACACAAGTATGCTTCATCATGGGGGAGAAAACTGAGCAGATGGAAAAGAAATTTTGGTTTCAAAAATTATGAAGTTAGTTATACATCAAAAGTAATAATTTGAGTTGTGAAAAAAAAAGGTTCTTAAAAATAAGGAATTACACAGTGAGTCATTGAGATTATAAAGTTAAAAAATATTGTTGGCCAGGTGCGGTGGCTTGCACCTGTAATCCCAGCACTTTGTGGGGCCAAGGCGGGCCTACCACTTGAGGTCAGGAGTTTGAGACCAGCCTGGTCAACATGGCGAAATCCCTGGATCTACTGAAAATACAAAAACTGGCCAGACATGGTGGCGGGAGCCTGTAATCCCAGCTACTCGGGAGGCTAAAGCGGGAGAATCGCTTGAACCCAGGAGGTGGAGGTTTTGGTGAGCTGGGATCACGCCACTGCACTCCAGCCTGGGTGACAAAGCGAGACCCTGTCTCAAAAAAAAAAAAAAAAAAATTGTGAAGACTTATGATGGGACTTAAGAGTGAAGCTCTTGATATATTCAAAATATAACAAAAATTTGCTCATGATTTCACATGGTTATATTTCCACTCCTGACCTCTGAACTTCAGTTTCCCAATGAAGGCTGGATTTGTCTCCTGAATGTCTCATAGGATCCTGCGGTTACCATATCCTCAGCTGAATTCATTCTCTTTTCCTTCTATGTTTCCCGTTTGAGTTAAGGGTGTTGGCATTTTCTTAGTGTGGGAAGCTTAAAACTTTGTCAGTCATCCCCAAGTTGTCATACTTATCCTGTATCCTATTAATTGCCTGGAATGCCCATTCTAATGCCTGAGTTTCTCTCATGTGGGGATTTCCCCTCTTCCCATCGTGGTCATGACTGTGGTTCAGACTCTCAACACCTATACTTGGAATAGTGCAGTAGACTCTTGACATCATGGTCCTGTTCCCTGGCTTTGCTCCTTCCAGCCTGTGCGTCACATTGCGGCCGGAGTTACCTCCTTAGAATGCAAGCTAAATCACATTCTCTTCCTTAAGAATCTGCAGTGTCTACCCTTTGTCTATCTAGTAAAGTCTCAACTCTTTCTCAAGGACATTCACGATTTGATTCAAACCATCTTTCTCAAGGACATTCACGATTTGAGTCAAACCATCTTTCTAGGCTCATTGCATACTTTTTCTATCCATGTAACCTATACTTCAGATACACTGAACATTTTTTGCTTTTTAAGTGTATCACATGGTTTTTCATGCTGCTTCTATTGTAGCATGCTCTGTTCTTGTACTTTCCCTGTTTCCTGTTATTAAGAAATTAATTTATTCCTCTGCACCTCCTTATTATCTTGCTTAGTTCTCAATTCAGCATCATTTTATTATACCTTCAGAATAATTTACCTATCCGATTCCCTCACTAGATTACAGACTCCTTGGGGACAGGGATCATGTCTGTTCACCTTTTATCTTTTATCATTTTGGGCAATGCTACTAGAAAGTAGTCAATACATGTGGAACTTATTTATTTATTTATTTATTTATTTATTTATTTATTTAGTGACAGAGTCTCGCTCTGTCGCCCAAGCTGTGGTACAATGGCACGATCTCGGCTCACTGCAACCTCCACCTCCCGGGTTCAAGCGATTCTCCTGCCTCAGCCTCCCGAGTAGCTGGGATTACAGGCATGTGCCACCACGCCTGGCTAATTTTTGTATTTTTAGTAGAGATGGGGTTTCACCACGTTGGCTAGGCTAGTGTCGAACTCCTGACCTCAAGTGATCCTCCTGCCTTGGCCTCCCAAAGTGCTGGGATTATAGGCGTGAGCCACCTTGCCGAGCCATGGAACTGATTTAATTTCACATTGCCTTTCTCAAATTATTTCCTAAAATGTATCAATTGAGACTCCACCAGGCAGACAAAGGAATTACGAGATTTTGCTGTTGTGCTTGAAGATGTGGGACTCCAGTTGAGCGATTTAAGATAGGCTTCTTCCTTATAGAGGGTGGATATTCAAGATTTGTTTGTCAAATGAATATGAAGTGAAATATGAAATAGTTTTAGAATAAAGGGAGATGGCTGAGCATATTACACATGAGAGATTGTGGTGGAGAAGTAGAAGGCACACTGAACTGAATGGGGGTGAGTTCTTTCTAAGCTTCAATTTCTCTCATCTGTAAACAATGGCACTTTTTTGGTAAGGTTTTGGGAATCATTTAGTAAGGCATATGTAAAGTGCTTGGACTAGTGCTTGGCATGTAGTAAGACCTCATTAAATGTCAGTTATCAATGCAGCTGTTGTTTGTAAAACATCTGTGTTACACTGGGAAGGGCTATAAATTCCCTTACTTTAAACTTCCACCTTTGTGGAAATGAAGGAAGTTCAAAGTTTTCTTATGCCATTGACATTTTATGATACTATGTTCTTCACTCATGGGGCATTTATAAACAAACCCTGATTTTTCGTTGTAAAACCTTTTTGAAAATTCAATTTTGAGCATTTAAAATATAGTTTTTATGGCCAGGCGCGGTGGCTTACGCCTGTAATCCCAGCACTTTGGGAAGCTGAGGCGGGTGGATCACCTGAGGTCAGGAGTTTGAGACCAGCCTGGCCAACATTGCAAAATCCCGTCTTTACTAAAAGTATAAAAATTAGCTGGGCATGGTGGTGGGTGCCTGTAATCCCAGCTACTGAGGAGGCTGAGGCAGGAGAAGCTTGAATCTGGGAGGCGGAGGTTGCAACGAGCTGAGATCGCACCATTGCACTCCAGCCTGGGCGACAAGAGTGAGACTCCGTCTCAACAACAACAACAAACAAAACAAAAACCTATGTATCTATATCTATATCTACATCTATATCTATATCTAGCTATCTACATATATATAGTTTTTATTATACAAGTAATATATGCTTCCTTTAGAAATCTTGGAAAACATAAACAGGAAAAAATTATGCATAATCCTATATAGGCAAGCCCTGTTAACATTTTAGTGTATTTCTTTTGTATTGTTTTCTGTTATTTTAAAAATTGGGTTAATTGCTTTCTTTCTTTTCATTCTTTTCTTTTTCTCTTTTTTTTTTTTGAGACAAAGTCTCGCTTTTTAGCCCAGGCTTGGGTGAAGTGGTATGATCTCGGCTCACTGCAACCTCTGCCTCCCGGGTTCAAGTGATTCTCTTGCCTCAGTCTCTGGAGTAGCTGGGACTACTGGCATGTGCCACTGTGTCCGGCTAATTTTCGTATTTTTAGTAGAGTTGGGGGTTTCACGATGTTGACCAGGCTGGTCTTGAACTCGTGATCCTCCCACCTGGCCTCCCAAAGTTCTGGGATTACAGGTTTGAGCCACTGTGCCCAGGCGGGTTAATTCCTTACATCGAATTTATTTTGTAAATATAATTCTGTATCCTGATTTTCCATGTGACATAACATTTTCCATATTGTTGCAGTCTTTATAAATGTCATTTTTAATGTTTGCATAAATTTGCATTATGCTGCTGTACCATAGTTTATCTAACCATTGCTTCATAGTTAGATGTGCAGATTCTAATAATTTATTATCTTTATTTTTTTAAAACTTTAAAATTTTTTATTTTAGTATTTTTAATTGATACAGTAATTGTATATGTTTATGTGGTACTGTGTAATGTTTTGATACACGTATATCATGTGTAATGATCAATTCAGGGTACTTTGCAAATCCATCTTCAAACATTTATCATTTCTTTGTGTTGGGAACATTTAGAATCCTCTCTTCTAGCCAACTGAAAATACACAAAAAATTGTTGTTACTTTTAGTCACCCTACAGTGCTATAGGACACTTGAATTTATTCTTTCTGTCTAGCTGTAATTTTGTCTCTGTTGACCAACCTCTCCCTATCCTTCCTTCCCCCAACCCTTCCCAGCCTCTACTCTCTCCTTATGAGATCAACTTGTTTAGCTTCCACATATGAGAGAGAACATGTGGTATTTGCCTTTCTGTGCCTGGCTTATTTTACTTAACATAATGCCCTTTAGGACATTAGGTTCAACCATGTCATAGTGAATCACAGAATTTCATTCTTTTTTTATGGCTGAATCACATTCCACGGTGTATATATAGCACATTTTCCTTATCTAGTCCTCTATTGATGGTCACTTGGGTTGATTCCATATCTTGGCTACTGTGACTTAGTGCTGCGGTAGACATGGGAGTGCAGGTATCTCTTTGACATCCTGATTTCTTTTCCTTTGGAAATCCCAGCAGTGGGATTGCTGGATCATGTGATAGTTCTATTTTTAGTTCTTTGAGGAACCTTCAAACTGTTTTCCATCATAACAGTACTAATTTACATTCCTATCAACAGCACCTAAGAGTTCCCCTTTCTCTGCACCCTCCTGTATTTGTTATCCTTTGTCTTTTTGATCACAGCCATTCTTGCTGGGGTGAGATGATCTCTCACTGTGGTTTTGATTTGCATTTCCCTGATGATTAGTGATGAGCATTGTTTCATATACCTGTTAGCCATTTTGTATGTCTTCTTTCGAGAAATGTCTATTCACGTCTTTTGCCTGCTTTTTCATGGGGTGGTGATGATGATGATGATGATGATGATTTTTTGCTGTTGAGTTCCTTTATATTCTGGACATTGGTCCCTTGTTGGATGAATAGTTTGCAAATATTTTCTCTCATTCTGCAGATTGTTGTTCACTGTGATGTTTCCTTTGCTGTGCAGAGGTTTTTTAGTTTGATATAATCTCATTTATCTATTTCTGTTTTTATTGGCCTGTGCTTTTGAGTCCTTATCCATAAAATCTTTGCTTAGACCAATGACCTGAAGTGTTTTCCCTATGTTTTTCTTCTATTAGATTTGTAGTTTTGGTTTTTACATTTAAGTCTTCAATCCCTTTTGAGTCAATTTTTGTATATAGTGGCACATAGAGGTCTAGTTTCATTCTTCTGCATACTTATATCCAGTTTTCCCAGCACCATTTATTGAAGAGATTGTCTTTTTCCCAGTGGATGCTCTTGACAACTTTGATGAAAATTATTTGACTGTGAAAACATGGGTTTATATCTGGGTTCTTTTTTTTTTTTTAATTGGTCTACAAGTCTGTTTTTATGCCAGTACCATGATGTTTTGCTTACTATAGCTTTGTAGTATATTTTGAAGTCAGGTAATGTGATGCCTCCTGCTTTGTTATTTTTTGCTCAGGATTGCCTTAGCTATTTGAGGATTTTTAAGGTTCCATATGAATTTTAGGATTTGTTTTTCTATTTCTGTCAAAAACATCACTGGTATTTTGATAGGGATTAGTTCTAGGATATCTGTGTTTTCTTTGCATTTTTTCATTTTGGGGCAGTCTGGGTGGGCAGCGTGACAAAATGAAAAAAGCAGAAAGTTTGAACTTAAAGCTTTGAGTTTGAATGTAATCTAGCAATTTATTACATGAATAGCCCCAAGAAAGTAATTTGAATTTGTAGATTGCTCTGGGTAGTACAGGTCTTTCTTCTTAATATAATTTCTTCTTCTGGGCATTATGTTAAGATCTCTAGAGATGTTAAAAATTTTTCTAGGCAGTGCTTGAAATAGATGTTTTTATAGTGACCTGATGGTTTAACACAATTACCTTTCATTTTGGTAGAACATGTTTATAAACCTGAAAGGAACAAGGAAAAATATTCAGTCTTTTGGTGCACTTGAATGATTGTTCATCAGGGCCTCCAACTGGTCACTCTGAAAATTAAGTGACTAGCAAATATGAAAAATTATTGACAGGAGGCAGTTAATGTGGCTCACTGCAAATTTATCTAAGTTAATCCACACTCTGTTAAGGAAATGCCTTGTTTTCTTGTTACATGACAGATCTTCTTCCATATCTCCTGGTTTGTCATATCATTAATATTTATAGTGGTGGCATGTGACTTTTTCAGCCTTTCTAGGTAGACCATTATGCTACCTGGATGTATATGCAGAATGAAGAAAAGCTGAGTTGATTTCTCTTGCTCTGTAAGATGCTTAACTTGCTGGACATGTTGGAGTGGCAGTTTCAGGATATCAGTCACATTTTGGGGCAATCTCGGTGGCAAAGTGACAAACTGAAGAAAGCAAAAAGCGTGAACATATAGCATTGAGGTGTTTTGTTTTGTTTTGAGACTGAGTTTCGCTCTTGTTGCCCAGGCTGGAGTGCAATGGCGCAATCTCGGCTCCCTGCAACTTCTGCCTCCCAGGTTCAAGTGATTCTCCTGCCTCAGCCTCCTGAGTTAGCTGGAATTACAGGTGCCCACCAGCACCTGGGTAATTTTTGTATTTTTTTAGTAGAGACGGGGTTTCACCACATTGGCCACGCTGGTCTCAAACTCCTGACCTCAGGTGATCTGCCCGCCTTGGCCTCCCAAAGTATGATTACAGGTGTGAGCCACCATGCCTGGCCGGTATTGAGTTTGAATATAATTTAGCTTCTTATTACCTTAATAACCCCAGGAAAGTAACATGACCTTTCCAAGCCTTAGATTCCGAAATGAGCACAAAAATGCCGAGGAGGTTGCTTAATATGGTAGAAAGAGCAATAGATTCAAGAAGCCTGGGGTTAAAATCTCAGCCTCACTTACTAGCAGTGTGGCCTTTGAAAAGATTTATAATATCTCTGATTTTCACTTTTCTCTTCCCTACAGTGGGGCTAATGATAATATTTGACTCACTGGATAAATGTAAATATTAAGTAAGGCAATGCAGGTGAGCCTCTAATGCAGCACTTGACTTCCAGACCGTTGTCGTGTGTGCTTGAAATGCCATGTGCTCCCTAGGAGACGAGCCATCGCTTTGTCTGCTCCTGTCCCATTTTTAATTTGTTGCTGCTGGGTTCCTGCATGGATGAAAGTTTTTTTGAAGGTCACAAATGACCACTTAACTCTCACGTATGGTGATCCCAACAGATGTTTCTCTCATATCCACCCCCATTTCTTTTCTTTCCAGAAGATCTCACCTTTTGGCCTCTTGAGTCTCATCTCGAACCTCTAGCATTCTTTCCAGATGTGTTTCTCACTGCCCCTCACCTCTGTGTTCCCCAGGATGTCATCCTTGGGCCCTCTGTTTTTCTTTGTCACCTTCACATTCTACCTGGGAGTGTTACCTCTGCTGATGTTCATGGTGCTCAGGGGTCCGCTTGTGCCCGGTATACTTTCCTAGTTACCCTAGTCTGGGTCTCTCCACCCTCCGGTGCTTTAGACTCAACCTGCTGGAGCTGCTGTCTTCCGACGAGCTTGCCCTGCCCTTCCTCTGACCTTGGGCTTCTGTCTCGGCCAGTGGCTCTCCTCCACCCGGTCCCCAAAGCCGTCACCCTCAGTGCCAGTCTTGTCTCTACCTCCTTCAGTTTCTGTGTCCAATCGAGCATCAAATCCTTTCACCCTAATTCGTAAATTATAACTATGCTAATTAGACTGTGGCCTCCTTGGTCATAGCTAAGCATCTCTAAAGCTCCAGGACCTTTTTTTAAAATTAAAAAAAAAATTATTTCCATAGGTTGTTGGGGAACAGGTGGTATTTGGTTACCTGAGTAAGTTCTTTAGTGGTGATTTCTGAGACCTGAGCAGTATACACTGAACCCAGTTTGTAGCCTTTTATCCTTCACCTGCTCCCACCCTTTCCCCCTGAGTCCCCAAAGTCCATTGTATCATTCTTGTGCCTTTGCATCCTCATAGCTTAGCTCCCACTTAGGAGTGAGAACATATGATGTTTGATTTTACATTCTTGAGTTACTCACTTGGAATGATAGTTTCCAGTCTCATCCAGGTTGCTTTTTATGTAAAGCTCCAGGACCTTACACCACATCTGACACATAACCATGCCTCAACGATTGATCATGTACGTATTTTGTTAGATTTCTACCTAAGTATTTTCCTTTTTTTGAGCTTGTAAGTGATACTGTTTTATTTTAAATTATTGTTATTAATTAATTAATTAATTAATTTTGTTTTTGAGACGGACTTTCGCTCTTTCGCCCAGGCTGGAGTGAAGTGGCATGATCTCGGCTTACTGCAACCTCCGCTCCCTGGCTTCAAGCGATTCTTCTGTCTGAGCCTCTTGAGTAGTTGGGATTATAGGCACCCACCACAATGCCCAGCTAATTTTTGTATTTTTAGTAGAGATGGGGTTTCACCATGTTGGCCAGGCTGGTCTCAAACTCTTGACCTCAGGTGATGCACCTGCCTTAGCCTCCCAAAGTGCTGGGATTACAGGCGTGAGCCACCGCGCCCGGCCAATTTTAAATTATTTTTACATTGATTTTGAAAACTGTGGTAAGATATACACAACACAAAATGTACCCTTTTAACTGTTTTAAGCGTAAAATTCAGTGGTATTGAGTACATACATTCACAGTGTGATGCAACCATCACCGCCCTCCATTTCTAGAACTTTTTCGTCACTCCAAACAGAATCTCTGTACGCATTACACAATAATTCTCATTCTCACTCCTCTGATCCTCCTGGCAACCATCATTCTACTTTTCCTCTTGATGAATTTGCCTATTTTAGGTACCTCATATAAGTGGAGTCATACAATATTTGTTCTTTTGTGTCTGACTTATTTCAATTAGCATGTTTTAAGGTTTATCTGTATGATAGCATTTATCAAAATTTCATTCCTTTTTAGGGCTGAACAATATTCCATTGTAGGGATAGACTACATTTTGTTTATCTGTTCATCAGTCAATGGACATTTGGCTTGTTTCTACCTTTTGGCCATTGTGAATGCTGCTGCTATGCACATTGGTCTGCAAGTATCTGTTTAAGTATCTATTTTCAATGGTTTTTGGTATATATGTAGTGGGAGTGGAATTGCTGGATCATATGGTAATTCTATGCTTAACTTTTTGAGGAACTGCCAAACTGTTTGGCACAGCAGATGTACTATTTTACATTCCTTCCAGCAGTGCATGAGGGTCAGATGATTCTTGTCTTGTCGTGTCTTGTCTTGTCTTTTTTTTTAGATGTCCTGTCGCCCAGGCTGGAGTGCAGTGGCGTGATCTCAGCTCACTGCAACCTCCGCCTCCCAGGTTCAAGCAATTCTCCTGTCTCAGTCTCCCGAGTAGCTGGGACAACAGGCTCACACCACCATGCCCTGTTAATTTTTGTATTTTTAGTAGAGACGGGGTTTCACCATATTGGTCAGGCTGGTCTTGGAACTCCTGACCTCAGGTGATCCGCTCACCTCAGCCTCCCAGAGTGCTGGGATTACAGGCATGAGCCACCGCGCCCGGCCTGGATGATTGTTTTTTGCATCACTATGTCATGTTTCTTTTTTGTGACCAAAAGAGAAAATAAGTAATATACATTTTATTTTATTTTTTTGAGACAGGGTCTCGCTCTGTCACCAAGGCTGGAGTTCAGTGGCACAATCAGGACTCACTGCAGCCTTGACCTCCTGGGCTCAAGTGATCCTCCCACCTCAGCCCTCAGAGTAGCTAGGACTACAGGCACATGCCATTACGCCCAGCTAATTTATTTTTTTTTTGAATTTTATTAGAGACAAAGTCTCGTGTTGCTCAGACTGGTTTTGAACTCCTGAGCTCAAGTGATCCTTCTGCCTTGGCTTCCCAAAGTGCAGGGATTACAGGCGTGAGCCATCACACCTGGCCATAATGTACATCTTAAAGTCATCATTGATGATGTTTGTCTGAGTGAAGGGGGAAAATAAGTTGTTGAGACATTAGTATGTCAGGAATCACTGGTCATGGTTGCAGAGCATTGTAGGTGGTGGCAGGCAAAGCGGGTCCTTTGATCATGGTGGGGGGATGTAAAGCATTTCTAGATCACTGCTACTTATGAGGCACATAGGCTACCTGTGCACTATGTGGCCTGCCTCTGCATCACCAAATCCAAATATGACAGAGCGGAGCACAAGGCAGAGTCACCAGGGAAGGTTCCCCAAAAAGTAATGACTGCACAGGTCTTTAGGTGCCTTCCCTGCAGTAACCCCCAACTTCTTCTTCTTTTTTTTTTTTTTTTTAGTAGAGACGGGGTTTCACTGTGTTAGCCAGGATGGTCTCGATCTCCTGATCTCATGATCCGCCCGCCTCGGCCTCCCAAAGTGCTGGGATTACAGGCATGAGCCACTGCGCCTGGCCAGTAACCCCCGACTTCTTAGAAACTACCCGGATTTCCATTTGTATATCAGATTTCCATTTGTATATTTCCATTTGTGTATCCATTTGTATATCAGCTTCTTTAATAAAGATATACAAATTGCAGTTTTTAAAAGGCTTCGGTGTACTCTTATTGTATAGTGCTTTGGGGGTGCCAGCTGAGAACTCATGGTGTTTTTGGGGGGGTCTCTCTTCCTCAGTGGATCCTGAATGCTGCTGTTTATCTCTTTAGTTCTGTGAGACTGCTGAAGACTCCATGCTACTTTTACTGTCTAAGTTTATTCTTTTAGTTATTTGTCAGGTTTTGGTGTCAGGGTTGTGCTGGCTTCATAACACAAGTTGGGAAGTATTCGCTCCTTTGTTTTCTGAAAGAGTTTGTATGAGATTGATATTATTTCTTCTTTAAATGTTTGACAGAACTTACGAGTGAAGCCATCTGGGATGGAAATTTTTGTGGGAGTTTGGATTACAGATTCAACTTCTTTAATAAATACAGGACTATTAAGATTGTCAATTTTTTCTTGTGTCATTTTACCCCCAAGGAGTTTGTCTATTTCACCACATTTGTCAAATGTATAGGCATATGGTTGTTTATACTGTTCCCTTATTATCCTCTTAATGAGCGTAGGATCTGCCTCCTTTTTATTCCTGATATAGATGATCTGTGTTTCTCTTCTAGGGGTTTATCATTTGTTTTCAAAGAACCATTGACTTTGTTGATTTTCTTTATTGTTTCCTGTTTCCTATTTCATTAGTTATTTTCTTTCAACTTTATATTTAATTTTATGTCTTTTTCTAGCTTCTACAGTGCAGACTTAGATATTGGTTTGGGACCTTTGTTTTTTTCTAATATGAACATTTAAGGCTATAAATTTCCCTCTAAGCACTGCTTCAGGTACATCTCACAAATATTGACCTGTTGTGTTTTTATTACCATTCAGCTGGAAATATTTTTAACATTTCGCTTTTGTTTTTATTTTTGACGTGTGTATGCATTGCTTACTTTTCAGGTATTTGCAGCCGTTGTGGAAATGGTATTGTTATTGATTTCTGTTTTAATACTGTAATGGTCAGAACATATTCTGTGTGATTTCAGTCTTTTAAAATGTATTGAGATGTGTTTTATGGTGTGGCATTTGGTCTGTCTTGGTGGATTTTCCGTGAGTACTTGAAAGGAACTTATATTCTGCAGTTGAGGGGTATAGTGTTGTATGAATGTCAGTTGAAGAAGTTATTTAATAGTTTGTTTAAATCTTCCTTATCATTGTTGTCTATTCTTTTACTTAAAAAGTTTTTAAATTTCACTTATTTATTTTTGAGACAGGGTGTCCCTCTGTTGCTCAGGCTGGAGTGCAGTGGCACGATCGTGGCTTACTGCAGTCTCTGCTTCCTGGGCTCAAGTGATTTTCCAGCCTCAGCCTCCTGAGTAGTTGGGCCCATGGGCACGTACTACCATGCCCGCCTAATTTTCTTATTTTTTGTAGAAACAGGGCTCACCATATTGCCCAGGCTGGTCTCGAACTTCTGGGCTCAAGCAATCCTCCTGCCTTGGCCTCCCAAAGTGCCGGGATTACAGATGTGAGCCACGATGCTTGGCCTCTTTTATTTATTTTAACAAAGGGTTGTTAAAGCCTCCAACTTTAAAAAAATCATGAATCTTTCTGTTCTTATTTCTATCAGGTTTTACTTCATGTATTGTAAAGCTCTGTTATTAAGTACATACAAATTTAGTATTGTATCTCCTTGATGAATTGCCTTTTTCATTTTGAAATGTGTCCATTCATCCCTTTGCTTACACTGAAATCCCCTTTGTCTGATATTAATGTTGCCACACCAGGTTTATTATGCTTATTACTTGTGTTCGTGTGGTATATCTTTTCCCCCCCATCCTTTTATTTTCAGTCTGTGTCTTCATATTTAAAGGTTGTTTCCTGAAAATCAAACATCGTATGTTCTCACTCGTAAGTGGGATCTAAGCTGTAAGGATGCAAGGCAAAAGAATGATACAACGGACTTTGGGGACTCCGGGGAAAGGGTGGGAGGGGGTGAGGGATAAAATACTACAAATTGGGTACAGCGTATATCGCTAGGGTAATGGGTGCACCAACATCTCAGAAATTACCACTAAAGAACTGATTTATGTAACCAAACACCACCTGTTCCCCGAAAACCTATGCAAATAAAAAAAAATATATTTTTTAAAAAAGTTTGTTTCCTGAGAGTATAAAGTATATATAGTTGGATCTTGGGTTTTTTATCGAGTTTTGTGTGGATGGGTTCAAGTCTACCATCTTGTATTTGTTTTCTGTTTGTCATATCTGTTTTTTTCCTCTTCTTTTTTCTCCTTTTATGCCTTTATTTGGGAGAATAAAATATATTTTGTTCTGTGGAAAAACACACTCAAAGTGTTTTTTCTGTTCTCTCAACATGACAACCAACACAGAAAATTTCTGTGACCTCTGGTTGCCAAAATGTGTTTAAGGATTTCTTCCCCTTAATAACCAGTCAGTCAGTTTTCCAACAGATACCAGCTGGGTGTCCTCTAATTTACTTCTGATACCGTCTATCTGAAGATAGTGTTGGATCCCACAGATTGAGAGTCCAGTTCCATGAGACGGTTCCCCGCCACCCTTTCAGATACCCTTAGAGGGCCCCAGGTTATGACCTCTGTTTCTGATTGACTGTCTGTGAATCAGAGATTCTACCGCCTCCTCCTTGGGTTTGAGTAATTTGCTAGAGCAACTCTCAAAACTGAAGGAAACACTTATGTTTACTGGTTTATTGTAAAGGATATTACAAAGGATACAGATGAAGAGATGCCCAGGGCGAGGTGTGGGAGAACGGGCTCAGAGCTGTCATGCCTCTCCAGGTGTACCACCCTCCAGGAGCCCCTAGCTGTTATTTGCAAGCTCTCCAAACCCTGTCTTTCTGGGTTTTTATGGAGGCTTCATGACATAGCCATGACTCGTTAGACCACTGGCTGCTGATCAACTCGACTTTCAGTCTCTCTCCCGTCCCCCGTGGTGGGGCTCTAATCATGCCTTGGTCTTTCTGGTGACCAGCCTTATCCTGAAGTTGCCTGGGGACTGCCAGCCTTTGGTCAACTCAGTGCACAAACATACATCACTTTGGAGATTCTAAGAATTTAAGGAGTTGTATGCCAGGCAAGGTAGTCAAAGGCCAAGTAGATATTTTACGATATCATGCTTGTATTCTACTTTGTCTTTTCTGTTGGCTTTTTTGTTTTTTGAGACAGGATCTCACTCTGTTTCCCAGGCTGGAGTACAGTGGCCCGTAATCATAGCTCACTGCAGCCTTGAACTCCTGGGCTCAAGCAACCCTTCCACCTCAGCCTCCTGCATAGTTGGGAATACAGGTGCACACCACCATGCCTGGTTAATTTTTACATTTTTTTTTTTTTGTAGAGATGGGGGTCTTGCTACGTTGCCCAGGTTGGCCTTGAACTCCTGGCCTGAAGCAATCCTCCTGCCTCAGCCTCCAGAAGTGCTGGGAACACAGGTGTGAGCCACCGCATCCGGCTTCTGTTGGCTTTTTAAGCCATATCTCTATTTAAAAAGTGCTTGCTCTGGAGATTATAATATGCATTTTTAACATAACCCCCTTCAAATATTGTACTACTTCCTCTTTTGGACTTGTATTAAAAAGCATAAAGTAAATATTTACCCTCCTCAAAAGGCTTGCCACCAGGGGGGTGGGGCATTGCCAATCTGATCTGCAGTTGAGCTGGGTGTAGCCTTGGTCCTAGCTCTCCTTGGGGTCATTTCATCTTTAGCTTCAGGTGTTTGGTCAGGATTTGACCTTCTGTTGGCTTGGGGTCTGGGCACAGAAAAGACTGGAGTTTGGTTTGCAGCCAGTCACCAGCTTTCCATCTTTGTGCTTTGAGACTGGATGCTGGATTTGTGGGTTTGGGGGAGTTTTCTCTGATCTCCAGCCCTATCTCTGGCTTTCTGCATTTTGGGGGCTCTCTCTTGGTCCTGCCCCCAGCCTTCCACAGGGTACTGCCTTGCACTCAGTGAAGGGTCCTGATGCCTTGGAGGGGTTTCTTCAAGCTTTGCTGCTTGGCCCTAACCTTTGGCAGCCATGGTCTTGGAGGAGGAATCTCGGTTGTTCTCTTGTCTACCAAGCTCAGCAAGCCTCTGCTTTGTGCTTGGAGAAAGCATAGTGCCCCTCAGGGCATCTGCCAGCTCTCTGCCCTGCCTGGATTTCTGTGGCAGCTGCCAGGCATCTAGGGGAGGTCCTGAGTGCCTGGGACTGTCCTCCTAGCTGTCCTGCCTGCCCTCAGCCTCAGTGTACTGCACGTTGCCCTCTGCAAAAGCCTGCAGGAGGCGTTGGAGAATGGTAGATTTGCCCATGGGAGTCTACTCTGTTGCACCCACCTACATGCAGGCGGTGAAAGTGTCTTCCAAGTTCAGCCCTTTTCTCCTTCCCCCGTTCTCTGCCCAATTCTCCCTTCTCTTGCTCCTCTGCCAGGGACAAAGCAGCTGTTGGGCCCTGTCTCCTAGGAAGAGCTTGCTGCTTCCTGGAATTTAGCTCATGCCTGTTCCTTTGCATCCTCAGCTCTCTGATGGATTTTTCAAGAAGCCCCTTTTACAGCTTATGCATCTCATTCTCATTGTTAGTGCGCAAAGGCCATCTGGTGCCACTTTTTAGAGTTGAACAGCAACTCTGCTTTTGAGGCAGTCTTGGATGGACCTGGCAGCCTTCCGTCCTGCGGAGCTGAATGGGAACAAGCGAGGGGGAGCTCATGCTGAGCTCCGGGTTCACTGTCACTACTCCTGGCTCCTCCTGGCACCTGGCTCCTCAGGGTCTGCCTCACTTGGTGGCTCCAGCCCCAGCCATGGCTCTCCTAGCCCCATGAGACTGCCTGGAGCGCTCTGCCGGCTTCTCTGCCGCAGGCAGTGGTTCTCCCCTGTTGAGAATCTGCACCACTCCCGGGGTGAAGTGGTGCCACAGGCAACTGTGCTCCTCTCAGCGAGCTTCCCTTCTGTCTGGAATCTTGCAAGTCCTCCATGTCTTGGCCACTCTCCAGTGCCCCCTCCTCTTTTTGACACTTTATCTGGCTCTTTAAGTTACTGATGGGAGTGCTGTTCTGCTAGAAGCTGCTCTAGAAGTGGAAGTTGCTACAGGTGTACTCGTAATGGGCACTTAATGGGATAGTAACCTTTTCATGACAGTGGGATGCTATTGGATGTACAAGGTTAGTGTAGAAAGATCGTGAGATGTAGGGTTTGTAGAGGGCCTGACTTTGAGATCCAGCTTCACAGATGACTGGTTTTCTGACTTTGGGCTAATCACTTCCTCTCCCTAGGCCTCAAGTATGCCAGTAATAAAATGGGGATAACAATGACACCGTATTTGTTAATGGAGAATAATACTCTTCACAAACCCTCAAGCCTCTTTTGTAAGAAGGGAGTTTGGCTAGGTAAATGTGGAGAGGCAGAGTGACTTATCTGATTGCTGTTGGTCCCGATAACCGGGTGCTGGATTTGACTTGGCTGGGCCCTGCTTGGTCTTGGGAGTTCGTTGGTCACAGAGCCTGAGTTCCCGTCTGCAGCTCTGTGCTGGACGTTTGGCGTGGCCTCCCCTGAGTGGGGCTAGGGGTGACCAGTTCAGTGCAGCCTGTGTCTGGGAAGGAAGCTGTGTCTGCCCAGTTCTTGGTGTTAGTGAGGAATTTCAGTTTCTAAAAAACCTTAGGTCATGTCCTTCAACATAGCCTGTGTTGGTACAAATAAAGATGCGTCAGCTCCATCTTTTCCTTTTGTTTTGTTTTCCACTTATGTAGACACCAGGGGACAAAGCCCTGCTTAGTGGAAGCCTCCAAAGAGACCTCAGCATTGTTATGTTGAAAGATCAATATCATTATTCCTAAGAAAACCATTCAAATACTAACTGTGGTATTATTTCTATAAGTGAAAGTACCAGAATCGATTGTGAAAATGTAACTTCAGATATTTGATCAAATCACACCTGTACTTTTTCCTCCGTGTTTTCTTTTTCCTTCTTCCTTAGGTTTTTCCTTCTGGATTTAGAAAAAAAAGATGTACTTCTTTCCCCTCTTTCTATTCTCTACCTGTTCAGAGTACCATAACTGACTGAATGCAAGCCTGGTTGTCTCCGATTATTACTTAGCAGAGACAAGAATAACTGTGAAATCGTGATGCACTGGTTTTCAAGCCAGTGTCCATTTAAATGGCCGTAAATCATTTCTGATCCAAAGTTTTGGTGATCATATTTTCTCCTTCTGTAAGAACAATATAGTTAAGTAATAACTAGGCTTTCATTAAAAATGTTCTGTTTGGGCCAGGCGTAGTTGCTCACTCATGTAATCCCAGCACTTTGGGAGGCCGAGGTGGGTGGATCACTTGAGTCCCAGAATTCAAGACCAGCCTGAGCAACATGGCAAAAACCCATCTTTACAGAAAATATGAAAAATTAGCTGGGTGTTGTGGTGCACACCTGTAGTCCCAGCTATCCGGTAGGCTGAGGTGGGAGGATCGCTTGAGCCTGGGAGGTGGAGGTTGCAGATCGCGCCACTGTACTCCAGCCTAGGCGACAGAGCAAGACCCTGTCTCAAAAAAAACAAAAAGTTGGCCGGGCACGGTGGCTCAAGCCTGTAATCCCAGCACTTTGGGAGGCTGAGGTGGGCGGATCAGGAGGTTAGGAGATCGAGATCATCCTGGCTAACACGGTGAAACCCCGTCTCTACTAAAAATACAAAAAAAATTAGCCAGGCCTGGTGGCGGGTGCCCGTAGTCCCAGCTACTCGGGAGGCTGAGGCAGGAGAATGGTGTGAACCCGGGAGGCGGAGCTTGCAGTGAGCCGAGATCGCGCCACTGCACTCCAGCCTGGGCGACAGAGCAAGACTCCATCTCAAAAAAAAAAAAAAAAAAAAAGTTCAAAATAACTTTCAAGGGCATTAGGTGCTCTAATTTGACTAAAATCATTGTTGGATAATCTGATCAAAAATGGAAGAAGATGGATTGATTTTTAGTGACATAAGTTGAGGAATCATCACCTCCCACTAACCAAATCATATGCTGTGAACATGTCAAATTTTTCACAAGCTTTTCTCCAGCTTGGCATGTGGAACAGACATCAGCAGCCACCACGGCCTTGTGTCCTTTTATTCCTCTTATGGTAACACTGGGTATATGTGGTCAGGCTTCATATTTTGGAACAGGAAGACTCGGTCAACTCTTGATCTGAATCCTAACTCTGTTCCTCTGTATGACCATGAGAAAATAATTTCAGTTCTCCAAGCCCATTAAACTTTATTGCTGTGTCCATCAACAGATGAATGCATAAAGAAAATGTGGTATGTACACACAATGGAATACTATACACCTGTAAAAAGGGAAGAAATTCTGTTATTTGTGACAACATGGATGGAACTGGAGAGCATTAGGCTAAGTGAAATAAGCCAAACACAGAAAGACAAATACTGTATGTTCTCACTTATATGTGGGATTCAAAACAATTGAACTCATAGAAGCAGAGAGTAGAATGGTGGTTAGCAGAGGCTGGGAGGTAAGTGGAATGGGGAGATGATGGTCAAAAGGTAGAAAGCCTCAGTTAGACAGGAGGAGTAAGTTGACTTTTTTTGAGATCTGTTGCACAGCATGGTGAATATGGCTAAGAGTTGAGTGCTGTACATTTCAATATTACTAAAGGAACAAATTTCAAATGTTCTTATCACAAAAAATGTTAAATATTTCAGGTGATGGACATGTTAGCTTGATTTCGTCATTTCACATTGTATTAAAAATCATAACACTTTGTATCCTATAAATACATGCAATGATAATTTGTCAAAATATAATAAAAATTATTGCTATGAAACATTTTCAAACATAAAGGTAAAAAGAATTGTAAAATGAATCCTCATATATCCATCACCCGGATTCAGTGGTTATCAAGACTTTTACACATTTACTTCATCTCTTGCTTTTTAAATTTGCTGAATTATTTTAAAGAAAATCTCGGAGACATATCATTTCAGACCTTCATACTTTAGTATGCATTGCTAAAAAATGAGCATTTTCTTATATAACTACAATATTATACTTAAAACATTAATAATTATTTTTTGGTGACATTTGATACCAATCCATAATCAAATGTCCAGGGTTGTTCCTGAGTTCATCTTTATGAACTTTAAAAGGGGGATCATAATGCCTTTCCCCACTTCTTTGGCAGGTATTTTGTAAGAGGGTATTATATGCCTATTTTGGATAAAAAATAATGAAGTTTGTTATTAATATATACCAGAATCCCTTGCCTTAAAGATTTTATAGTCTAAAGAACATAGTACAATATTTGGCACATCGTAAGTGCTCAGTAAATGTAATTGTGGGTAGGGACATGACTTTCTTCCTTTTAAGGAGCTTATAGTCCAAATCTTTTATTTTTCGTTGTTAAACTTAAAAAAAAATTAAAGCAGAAATCACTTATAATCTTATCACTGTGAAAACTTTGTAAGTTGTCCTGTCCTTTGTAAAGCCCTTCAGAGACCATGAGAATCCAGTAGCAAAGAGCACTTCTAGCCTCTGGGTTTTAGTCTCTAAACACTTCTTTCCACTAAAGGGAATGAGAGCTCCTTGGAGAAGTGATTTAATTCTAGGCCTGGGGCTGGATATGAACCAGAAACAAAGGGATCAAAGAATAATGGGACCTTATCCAAAGGACACAGGAACCAACCAGAAGGGACTCCCACTGGCCAAAGATGGTGCCTACATCAAAAAAGAAGAAAGCTTTCAAATAAACAGTCTAACACTGCATCTTAAGGAATTAGAAAAACAAGAACAGACTCAACCAAGGTTAGTAGAAAGAAGGAAATAATAAAGATCAGAGTGGAAATAAATGAAATAGAGATGAGAAAAACCATACAAAAGATTAATGAAATGAAGAGCTGGTGTTTTGAAAAGCTTAACAAACCTTTAGCTAGATTATGAAAAAAAGAATAAATGTCAAATCAATAAAATCAGAGATCAAAAAGGAGAAATTTACAACTGATAACACAGAAACATAAAAGATCACAAGAGACTATTACAAACAATTATATGCCAACAAACTCAGTGACCTAGAAGACGTGGATAACTGCGTGGACACATACAATCTGCCAAGAATGAATCATGAAGAAATAGAAAATCTGAACGACCAAAAACGAATAAGAAAATTGAATCAGTAATAAGAAGTCTCCCATCAAAGAAAAGCCCGGGACCTGAGGGCTTCACTGCTGAAACATTTAACAAAGAACTAGTACCAATTTTTCTCAAACTACTTCCAAACTCATTCTGTGAAGCCAGCATTACTTTGGTATACTAAAACCAGAGAAAGACACACCATCAACAAAAGAAAACTAATCTCAAAAGACAGATATCCCTGATGAAGATTAGATGCAAAAATCTTCCACAAAATACTGGCAAACAAAATTCAACAGCACATTTGAAAGATCTTCCACCATGATCAAGTGGAATTCATCCCAGGGATGCGAACATGGTTGAACATAGATGTGACATATCACATTAACGGAATGAAGAACCAAAACCATATTATCATTTCTATAGAAGCAGAAAAAGCATTTGACAAAATTCAGCATCCCTTCATGATAAAAACTCTCAACAAATTAGGTGTTAAGAATACTCACAAATAGTTTCCAAATTCTGGAAGAGTCAGGTAGAATGAAACAAATATGTTCTAAATTTTGTTCATAGGAGTACACTCAATCATTAAAAGCTGTTAATAGCTCAAAAGAAAAGTTTCCTTGACTCTGAAAAAACAAAGGACCAGCAACGTTTTAAGCAAAAAATCAAAAAGATTACTTCAGTCTTGTATTAGTTCAGTCTGTAGTTAATTCCCATTCTGCTTGATATTCCTGAACATTTCAGTTCTCCATGAGTCCTGAAAGTTTTTCTTCTATTCTGATGTCACAGTCTCCAAAGTTATCAGAAACTTGTATTCAACAGCACCTGGTAGAGTTTTATAGCTGATTATAAAACCACCTTCTAAAGACCAAAACAGACAACAATTGTCTGTGGATGACAAAAGGTTTTAGGGCAGCCATAGTCAAAGATACAATCCATAAGGAAATTTGTTACCTCTGTGGCACACAATAATTTAACATAACAATTATAATTATTACTGATAATGTACACTAAGTCATATCAGAATTATAGGAGTTTCCCATGATTTTGGAACACATACCAATAACATATTTGTGTAAATATAGCCTAAAGAAAACTAAACACCATTTCATATTTGACAGTGTTTCCTGTGTAATTTTTATACCAAATAAGACAAATTATGTCACTTTTGGACTTTAGGGAACCTAGTATCTTAAAGGATTAATTAGTTCAGAAAAAGATATAATTTATAATTTGATTTTGGAAAGGTCAAAGGTTTAAAACACTTATATCACAGATCATTGTAAAATAAGTCATTCATTTGACCAAAGTAATAACTCAAGGATTTTTTTAGAAAGGTGAAAACCTTCGTTCTTTGAGAAAGAAGCCTTAATTTTCCAAACAATATTTCCTAATAAAATAGCATGAAACCAATTAAATTTGTTTTTCAAAATTTTATAAACTATAAAATTTTAATCTTGAACACAAGATATAACTTTCATAAGCTTTTTATAATCTTTATAACCTTTACTAAGGAGTTGGTTAATGCTTCAAGAAGACCTTGTTAATCTGACACAGGGGCTCATATGCTGGTCTTGCATCAGTGTGTCTTTGACAATAATGATTAATTTATAGAGAAACTGAACTTATTTTATCTCTCAAAATCAGCCCTTAAATCTCACATGCCCACCAAAAAAAAAAAAAAAAAAAGACATACAAATGGCCAAAAGATGTATGAAAAAATGCTTAACATCACTAATCATCAGGGAAATGCAAATGAAAACCGCTATGAGAGATCACCTTTCTCCAGCTGGAATACCTATTATCAAAAAGTCAAAAGATGAAATGTTGGTGAGGAGGTGAAGAAAAGGGGTTCTTTACACGCTATTGGTGGGAATGTAAATTAGTACGGCCATTATGTTAAACAGTATGGAGGTTCCTCAAAAAACTTAAAAATAGAACCACTGTATGATCTTCCATTCCGCTACTGAGCATATATCCAAAGGAAATGAAGTCAGTGTCGAAGGGGTGACTGCATGCCTGCATTTATTGCAGCACTGTTCAAATAGCCAAGATACGGAATCAACCTAAGTGCCATTCAGCAGATGAATGGATAAAGAAAATGTGATATAGATACACAGTGGGATACCATTCAGCCATAAAAAAGAATTAAATCCTGTCATTTGCAACAACACAGATGGACCTGGAGGGCATATGTTAAGTGAAAAAAGCCAGGCACAGAAAGACAAATCCCTCATGGTCTTCCTCAGGTGTGAAATTTTTAAACGTTTGTCTCATGGAATTAGCAGAATAGAGGTTAGAAGAGTCTGGGGATGGTTGGGAGAAGGGAGATGGGGAGAGGATGGACAGTGGATACAATGCTCTAGTTAGGAGAAGTAAGTTCTGGTATTCTAATGCACGGTTGGGTGACTATAGTTCACAAAAAGGTATATTTCAAAAGATCTAGAAGAGAGGAATTTGAATGCTCTTATCACAAAGAACCGATAAATGTTTGATGCAGTGGATACGCTGATGACCCTGATTTGATTGTTATACAGTAAATGCATTAAAACATCATACTGTACCCCAGAAATATGTGCAATTATTATGTATCCATTAGAAATAAAAAAGGATGTGATAACAATCAATGGAAACATCAAAGAGATAAAAATCCATAGGTATATAATGATACTAAACAATAAACAAAACACATTGGTCATTACTGGAGTTTCACAGGGCAATAGTTTTCCACTCAGTAAATAAAGGGAAAGACTCAACCGTTTATTAATGTCTGTGTTGTCTGCGTTCCAGGATAACCAAATGATTGATGAGGAAAAAATCCTTCCTTATAAACAAATTCTAGCTTCTAAGTGCAGAGGAATTAGAGAATTAGAAAATCACCAGTTTGTAATTCCTGATGAAATAATAGATCTGGCAACAATTTATAGCCGACACTTGAATCCTTTAGGAGAAGGTGGATGGGGCCTTTGCACTGGATGGGCCATGCTGACAATTGGGCATAAGCGTTTGACTCTAGAAACCCCACTGAAATGGCGATGGGGTCATATGGCAGTAGGGGAAAGCCAAGAAGCAACCCCCATTCCCTGTCCCTAGCAGGAGCACCACACGGCAGTAGGCGCTGCTGAAAATCATTTACAATTGATTACATATCCGCAGATCGCTTCTGCCCCTGCAGCTGGCGACGGTCCCTTTTCCACCCCAGCAGAAGATTAGCATTTGACTCCCTTCAGGGAGTCAGCAGGCACAGCGGAGAGGTGTGCCCTGCTACGCTCATGGGGAGTAAGTGAATATTGAGGCATCCCCAACCTGGCCTTCCACAAAGCTCTGAGAGTGCTCACAGCCAGGCTATATCCCTACATAGGACATTCCTCCACAGCATAGTGACCAGACCTAAAGCACAAACACGGGGGTTCTCTAATGAAATGGCACAGCCAGACCACGCTGCGGTGAAGCAGCCTCCCCTGTGCTACTCAGTGTGTACGTTATTTTCTGTCTAGAAATGCCATTCAGAGCTTAGCCGAGTGATACACTGTGGTGCCTTTCCTTTCTTGGATAACGGTGCAAGTGGCATGAGGCACCACAAATAGATCCCTTTATTTCAGCAGCATTTACCGAGAGTGTGTATGGGGTGGTAGAATTCAACTGAATAGGATACCTCAACCATAAGTGCTCTGCCTAACATTAGGCAAATTAGATAATATACATGATATCAGCTGGAGCCCTTTGGGAGATTTTTATAGATTGAGAATGATTTGGTTATTTAAAGGCTTTTTTCATGTTTCAGATTAACATTGTTGTGTTGTATTCAAAAGTAATTCTGGTCACTTTTCTGCTCTGCTCTCTGGCTTCCTAAGAATGAGGGAGGCTGGGTGTGATGGCTCATGCCTGTAATCCCAGTACTTTGGAAGGCCAAGGTGGGGGGATCACTTGAGCCCAGGAGTTGGAGACTAGCCTGGGCAATGTAGTGAGACCTCATCTCTACCCAAAATTAAAAAATCAGCCAAGCATGGTGACACATGCCTGTAGTCTCAGCTGCTTAGAAGGCTGAGATGGGAGGATTGCTTGAACCTGGGAGGCGGAGGTTGCAGTGAGCTGAGATTGTACCTCTGCACTCCAGCCTGGGAGACAGAGTGAGATCCTGTTTCAAAAAAAAAAAAAAAAAAAGAAGAAGAAGAAGAAGAATGCGTAGGCACAGAAAATTCCTATGGTAGCAGTTTAACAATTAATACATGTGCCTGAGCTCTATGAAGCCCTTGCCTTGATATTTATTATTTATGGTCACCAGCCTCAGTGGAGCACTTGGCTTCACTTTACAGCTACTTACCTGCTCTTTGTCCACTCCAGTGCAGCTATATGATAATGATGATAATGGTTATTATCATTTCAGTTTATTCAGTGCACCGTATCTGCCATTCACTGCTTTTTTAATGTATTATCGCATTTATCCTTAGTAATTCCTGATATAGGCACTCCTCTTACTGCAGGCAAACAAGATGCAGAAAGGTTGAAGGACTTCCCCTAAGGTGGTAGCACAGTAGATAGGGAAAGACCAAGGCATCTCCTGGAGTCGGATCTAACTTCGCTGTTCTAGGTGTCATCCCTGGCGATCGTGTCCCTCTGCTGCTCTTCTCTCCAAGTCCTCTGTCTTCCCCATCAGCAGTCACTTTGGTATTTCACAGAGAAGCTAGATGCTGCAAGGAGGGACTTCCTTGTTCACACCCCTCCCATAATCCCATCCTTTCCTTAATTCTTTAAAACACTCTAGGGAGAAAACCACAGGCCTTAGGCCAAGTACATGGTCTTTGACAAGCTGCTTAATTTCCCTTGGTCTCAGGTTTTTCATCTGCAAAGTGGGGACAGGAGTGCCTGCCTTCCTGAGCCAGCCTGAGTCCTAGAGCACAGCAGGTGCTCCTGAGCTCTGTCATGCTGTGGGTGAGAAGGGGTCTGTGTCCGTGGCCTGTCTAGACTGTGCCATGGACAGGAAGCGGACATGATTATCACCTGTGTCCTCTTTTCCTCCCTCCTTGTGAAAGGGATGGGGGCAGGATGGTGAACAACAGTCTTTTCTCACAAAGCTCTATATTTGCATCAAAAATGTTGATTTGTAATTATTTGCCTAAGTGTCTGTCATACAGATAAATTACAAACTCCTGAGGGACAGACAGGTCCTGGCATTTTGCTTGGTAATTACCTAGTAATTGCTGAAAAAGTATGGTTAAGTTATAAAATATACTGATTCTCTAGTCCTGCCTACAGACTTTCTTGAAATTTGATAAGGGTTTATTTTCTTGGAAAATGGAAGTCTCCTGGAGGATACTAACTTAATTTCCCTTTTATCCACAGGCCCTTAAGAGGAGCAGTGCCGGTGATTTTCGAATAAGTGGAATATGGCTTCTGCTTTGTTCTGGTCTCTTTTGCTCACTGCCCCTTCATTTCTGTCAGAAGATTGGACTCACTGGACTGTCATGAAATGCCCCAAGTAAAATGAAAGCCAGCCACTTTGACTTTTGCCTAATACATCTTTATTTTGTTTTCATCTTCTCTTCAGAAAAGAAAGATGTGGCCCAAAGCCTAGAGAACTATACGTCCAAGTGTCCTGGGACCATGGAGCCCATCGCCCTCCCTGGCGGCCTCACCCTGCCACCGGTGCCCTTCACCAAGCTTCCCATCGTCAGGTGAGATGGGCACTGCAGAGCCGGAAAGGCAGCTGCCCTCTGGGACACCGTCCTCTAGTCTGATTGTGAATAGAGATCTTTAGAAGAGTTCCCATTTTTGTTGGCTGTGTATCGGGTTCATTATCTCATTAAACTTGAAAGCAGCCCTATGACATGGAAGTAAGTATTTTAGAGATGAGAGAGTCAGGGCCAGCGACATTCTGTAACTGCTGCAATTCCATGCCCACTAAATGGCGGAGTCACGTCTGCACCCAGCCTTGCTTTGTTCGAAAGCCTGCCTTGCGACCACTACACCGTGGTGGAAACCAGTCTGATCACATCGTCTTCTCCTTGGAAGTTTTCAGTCATTTCCCTTTCCGCAGGCCATGCACCCCAGCCACACGGGAACAGGGCAGCTCCTCGCCCACACAAGCACTTGCCAGCTCCCACCTTTGCTCTGCACTGCCTCTGCCTGGCAGGCTCTCTCCTCTCCTGGCTTCATTCTGTCTGTGCTCCCTTGTTCCTTCATGCTCATCCTCAGCCCCATTTCCAGGACACCTTTCCTGAGAGGCGAGCTCCCTGAGTTTCCATGGCACCCATTGCTCACTGCTCTCCCAGGATTTGCTGCCATGTGCCGTCCTTTCTGTGTGACTGTCACTCCTAAGAGTGTGAGATTTTAGAGTGGAGACCTTTTGGCACATGCAAAGTGGGTCCTTGCAAAAGGTTTTTGTTTTTTCTTCACCACTCAAGGCTTAGGACCTGCAAAAGGTTTATGAACTGATCTTGTGAGGTGATTTCTGAATTTCTGAAATATTTGTTTGAAGACCGGAAAGAAACAGTTGAATCTGACATTTTGCTGTCGAGTGGAAGTGCTGTCACCTTAGGATTCAGTGTGATGAAGATGCTAAGTATCTTTAAAACGCTCTTGGCTTGGCTATTGTTCCCCAGCTTCACTCGGTCTTGCCATGTACTCGCTTTGACTCACGGGCCTGCTGCATTCCATGAATGAGTCACTCAACCTCCGGGGTATCAGTTTGCTTATCTCCCCACTATGCCCCCAAAATTAAGAAGAAAACCGATAGCATTAAGCTATTATGAGAATTCAATGAAGTAACATGTAAAAGCATGTGTATGGTGCTTAAGAAATGTTAGTTTTCTTTCTCCCTGCATTCTTTGAAGGCAAGTATAGTACTGCCAAATGAAATGGTTTCTTTTTGCCAAAGAGTTGTGTGCTCCCGAGAAGTGGGGGCAGAAAGGGTCGCTGTGCATTGCAGCCCCTGGCAGGCCACACTGGAATTTTAAGGTGTTCTGAAGAGCACTGCTGAGATTGTTCATCAGGCAGAGCTGCAAGGGGCAGCATCCAAAAGGCGTGGCTGTGGCCTGAGAAGGTGCTGTGGCTGCTCCTCAGAATGTCCAGAGGGACTTGCAACACCGCTGTTTGGAGGGCCCAGGAAGGGCGTGGCTGCTCTGCAGTGCCCAGTGCTTGCTCAGCACTCAGGCAGGCTGTGGAGCAAAGGGGCCTTTGAGGCTTTTCTATGACTAAGACTTAGAGCCGAATGCATTTGACTTGGGATTAAGGGCATGATTCATTTTTTAAAGATTAAGGTCTAGAAAAGCCTTTCTTAATAATTTTATATTTACATCATGACTTGAATCATTTTTAAATTTAGAAAACCTTGCCTAGTAGAATGTTATGAAGCTTACAGAACATTCTGGGTGTTTGGTGCTGTGTGTAGATATCCAGGAGCTGAGGCTTCTTGTCCCTGAAGCTGGGGATGATCGGTCCTTGCAGGTCATTGGAACCAAGGAAGAAGCGTGCTTGTTCTCCTCACAGCCTGCCAGGCAGCCCTGGAGTTAAGCGAGAGGCCCTGGGTTCACTCTCACTTGTGTGTGGCCGTGGTAGAGAAGCAGTCTCTTTACACTTCGTTTTCTTCATCTTTAAGCCGGGCTTAAAAATTGCCCCACACAGAGTGGTTTGTTTTGTTTCAGCTGAGCAGAGGCACACAAAAGCGCAGAGCAGCATGCCTAGCGCCTAGGAAGCGCTCAGTACATCTTGGTTTTCTTCTTGGAGACATTTTTTCACCTGTGTTTTCAAACAGTACATTGAAAAGTACTGTAACATTCACATTTTAGTCCCTCGGCTGTTGAAACATTAGAAAAGGCAGATTGGGTGAAAGTGTAACAGTCTACCGTTTGGGCAAGTGCTGTTTTCCGAACCTTCTGTGCGCGTCCCTTTCCTGGGCAGTGTGTCTCTTTCTCTGTTAGGGTCCTGAGGCTCCTGTGGCAGAGCTCCCTGCGAACAGTTAGCTGAGTCTTGCCTGGCATCCTGGTGCCATTGTTCTTGCCCAGTGTGGTCATGGACTGTTTCTTTCTTTCTTTTTTTTTTTTGAGTTGTAATCTCACTCTGTTGCCCAGGCTGGAGTGCAGTGGTACGATGTTGGCTCACTGCAACCTCCACCTCCCGGGTTCAAGTGATTCTTCTGCCTCAGCCTCCTGAGTAGCTGGGACTACAGGCGCATGGCACCACGACCGGCTAATATTTGTATTTTTAGTAGAGACAGGGTTTCACCATATTGGCCAGGCTGGTCTCGAACTCCTGACCTCGTGATCCGCCCGCCTCAGCCTCCCAAAGTGTTGGGATTACAGGCGTGAGCCACTATGCCTGGCCATGGGCTGTTTTCAAAAATCTAATTTTATGTATGACCCACCATCTGCATAAACATATTCGTGATGATTTTCTGAAGACTTTAGCTAGAGAAGTAACCCCTAAGTGTCCTGGTGACTCCTTCCTCACGTGGATCGTACCTGGTCTCATTGAAAACTGGGAAGAAGAACTGCCTGAGATTCAGTGTGGTAAACCCACGGAACCTCAGTACGACCGGTCAAATGAAAGGGAAGGTCTTTGGAACATTTGGAGAGCCGGAGTATCTCGTAGCCTACTCTGCTCCCCACCGCTTAGAGAACAGACTCTAATGTACTTGCTTTGCATGGCTTGCAGGGCCTCTGTGGCCTGCCCTGTCTCCAGCTTTGATTGTGAGCGCCCTATTTCCTTGGTCCTACGCTCCTGCTTTCCCTTGTGGGAATACTTAGAGTGGGCCAAATGTGTGGCCGGTTTTGTTCCTTCGTTGAGGCTTTATCTCTGGCTTGGAATGCCTGTGCTTCCCTGCTCTGCCTGATGACACTTAGTCATCTTTCACGATTTTAGTTCAAGGATTATGTCCTCTATAAAGCCTTTTCCAGAGCCACCCAAGTAGAAATGACTATACTTTCTTTGTAAGTTAGGAATTATTTCAGCTGTAAAGAACAGAAGACCTAATAGTAGATAGTCAATAGGAAGATATTTTTCTAGTTTATTAAGAAGCCGGAAACAGGTGGCCTCTCTGTAACTCTGTCTTTACCTCAAGATTACCAGATGGCTGCTGCAGCTCCAGATAACACATCTACATCCAAGGCAGAAAGAAGGGAGACAGGGCAGGTCTAGAGATGTCTATCTTTTGCTTAATAGGGAAGCAAAAATGTTCTTGACAGATTCGAGTAGGCTTCTGCCCCAGTCTCATTAACAGGAAGTGTGTCTCATGGCCATCTCTAATTGCAAGACAGGCTGAGAAAATAAATATTTAGCTTTCCTAGAATCTGTGATATAGGTGGGGAATGGAGAATGGGGTCAGAAATTCGTGCTTGGTCAGCCAGCCAACAGTGTATGCCATATCTTTCTTCTGTAGCGCTTATGGAACTTGACTGGACATCTTTGTTGACATTTTGGGTCCTTCTCTCTTCTTTGTCTTTGTAGCCCCCAGGTGACCTTGTGTGTTGAATGAGTAAATAGTTGGATCCCTTAGAATATTTTGTAATAGCAGCTGATAGAAACCAGGCTAACTTAGGCAAAAATAATTTATGGCACATATACCTGGAAAGTTCAGGGAGGAATTCAGGTAGGGCTGGAGTCAGGGCTCAAACAACCTCATCAAAACTTGGTTTCTTTCCCTCTGAGCTCTGTCCGCTGCAGTGTTGGCTTTAGTTGCAGGCCCCAGGTGCTATCAGAGTGGCTCATCACCTCCAGGCCTCACATCCTCTTGCTACTGTGTCCAGGAAAAGAGAGCAGGTGCCTTTTAGTAACACCTGTAAAGGAACACTGCTTTCTTTCAGGGGGACAATGTCCTTTTGCTTTTCACTGCCCCTCATGGAGTTATGTACTCAGATCGGACCGAGTCCCTGCAAACCACATGGCTGCAAGGAGACCGTGTGTAGTTCCCCTAAAGCAAAACCTACGAATAGCTGGGCACAGGAGAAGAGGCAAGTGGGTGTTGGGAGGCAACAGACAAGGACACAATAGCAAATGACACCCAAGGCCCACTCATCCCACCACACTGCTTCAGATCAAAAGTCCTGGTTTCGGTTTGTGACCTGTAATGCCTATGAGTCAAGATAATGCATTGATGAATATCTGCCCTTCCCAAGTCAGAAAGCATACCTTGGAAAAGTGCAACCTTGAAGCAAGTGCACGCTTTATGAACTGCATGTTCTCTTCCTTGGACTTGTGGCACTTTCTGATGCAGAGGGCTGGTTATATGCTTCTCTTCTTACTAATAAATAGGCTCATGTTTTATATGAGACTAATTTTCACCCATAGATAAAAATGTGCACGCTTTAATGTGCTGTCCAGATTCGCTTTTCATGCCTTTCTTCTAAGTTTTTGCCATTTGAAAGTAGGGAGAATTAGGACAGATGTGATGTCCTTGCTCCATATAATTCTTCTTCTTTTTTTTTTTTTTTTTTGAGACAGAGTCTTGCTCTGATGCTGAGGCTGGAGTGCAGTGGCGCAGTCTAGGCTCACTGCAACCTCCGCCTCCCAGGTTCAAGCAATTCTACTGCCTCAGCCTCCGAGTAGCTGGGACTACAGGTGCGTGCCACCATGCCTGGCTAATTTTTGTATTTTTAGTAGAGACAGGGTTTCACTGTGTTCGCCAGGCTGGTCTCAAACCCTTGACCTCATGATCCACCCGCCTTGGCCTCCCAAAGTGCTAGGATTACAGGTATGAGCCACCACGCCTGGTCTCCATAATTCTTTAGCCTCCAGCACTTTTCTTTTTCTTGTCAAAGCAAGATCTTTTTTCCCCCAAGATATGCCATGGGCCATACTTCTAGAAAAGACTGTATGCCACTTCCTTCTCTAAGACTGTCATGATGATGTGTGAGGGATACTGATGTGTACGCATCTCTGTAGGTTTCAGAAAGGAAGGATAGTAACTAAAATGCATTGACATATTTATGCCAAGCACCAATAAACCCCCTTCATGTAAAATTGGAAAAGCCACTGGCTTTTGTTCAGTAGTCTTGTATTCCTATCCCGCATTCTGCAGTTAGCTGTGTGACTTTGAACAAATGATTTAACTTCCTCTTCTTGAACTGAGGTTGATGAGACATACCTCCCATGCATGGATCAAATGAAATGTTTGGGAAATTGTTTTATAAGCAGAAAAGCTCTTTGCAGACATGAGTTCTTATAGAGGTTTCAGGGAATTTTGCCTCTAATTAGATGTCACCTTACCATTCCCTGTCAGTTTTTACTTTTGTTTGTACATGTTAAATTAAATCAAATGAATTAGTTCCATCACTCCCTTAAGAAATGCATATATGTAGCTATTTAGTTATTTTAAAAAATTCCTGGGTCTGGCACGGTGGCTCACGCCTGTAATGTGAACACTTTGGGAGGCCGAGGCAGGGGGATTGCCTGAGCTCAGGAGTTCGAGACCAGCCTGGCCAACAGAGCGGAACCCCATCTCTTCCAAAAATACAAAAAATTAGTCGGATGTGGTAGTGCATGCCTGGAGTCCCAGCTACTTGGGTGGCCGAGGCACCAGAATTGTTTGAACCCAGGAGGCGGAGGTTGCAGTGAGCGGAGATCGCACCACTGCACTCCAACCTGGGTGACAGTGCGATACTCCCTCTCTCTCTCTCTCAAAAAAAAGAACAAGTTAAGGTAACCAGAGTGAGGGGAAAGTAACAGTGGGATAGAAAACTAACAACAAGTTCTGTTAGTACCTGGAATTCATAATGTCCTACGTAATGGCTGGAGATGGGAGAGAGCGTGATTGTGAGGTAACTGACAAGAAGGAAGCGTGATTGACTACAAGAGCCCCCCTCTCAAGAACAGGCATGTATCAGTCACACTGGGGAAATGCATCTCTTCCCAGCAGTGAGCTGGGAAACCTCTCTAGTGGATTCTCTCGAAGAGAACATTCTGATGTTTTGAGTAGCATGCTCAGCAACATCCCCATGAAGATCTAGGCAGGTGTCTGATGTTGTTTTGCTGTTAGCATTCGGTAACGCACACTGAGGGCATGGGACCGGAGCACCAGGGGATGAAGGTGGCTCTCCCAGAGGACAGGGCGGTGTGGCCTGCTGTTGACTGACTTGCGTTAGCCCCCCTGCTGCCAGCATCTAGGATAACGGGTGGGCTGCTGTGCATCACACACTCTTTCATGAATGCCATTGAGCTTTTGGCAGGAGTTGGGCAACAGAGAATCCAGAGTTATGTTCTCAGGCATCAAGAAGAGCTGGTAGGTGTCTGCCGATGCTGACTGAGGGGAGCGGGCTCGTGTTGTTAATGCTCTCAGCACCTGGTCCGTGGCAGGCCTGCAGTGAATCTGTGTGCAGTAGTTAAATGTCCACATCACATGTAGGGTTGTCCCCCTCTTCCTAAATCCTTGCTCCTCATCTCCACCTGAAGGAAGGCCTGGGCAGTAGCTATGGATTAGGCCAAGGTGCTTCCTTAGGAAACAAATCCGGGACTGTCTTCATATATCAACCAAACACTTCAACGTCCTATGCCCGGAAACATGGATTTTACCAGTTTAATTAAAAAAAAAATTGGGGCTGGGCACGGTGGTTCATACCTGTAATACTGGCACTTTGGGAGGCAGAGGTGGGCAGATCACTGGAGGTCAGGAGTTCGAGACCGGCCTGGCCAACATGGCGAAACTCCGTCTCTACGAAAAATACAAAAATTAGCCGGGCGTGGTGGCAGGTGCTTGTAGTCCCAGCTACTTGGGAGGCTGAGGCAAGAGAATCACTGGAACCCAGAAGGTGGAGGTTGCAATGAGCCAAGATCATGCCACTGCATTCCAGCCTGGGCGACAAGAGCGAGACTCTGTCTCAAAAAAAAAAAAAAAAAATTAAGTCAGGCATTGCAGGTCAGCCCCTATGACATAAGAAGAGCTCAGTAATATGTACACTTGAAGACTAAAGCTCCTGTTAGTGTTACAGGGTAAGCTGGTTGAAAAATGTCTACATTGGTGAGTAAATTATCAGACCTGCTATATAGAATCGTTAAACATAAACGAATTTACTGCTGGGTTTGGCTCATAATTATGACTTTGGTTTTAGAATAGATGGTCAGAGCCATTTTCTTTTCCCTTGAGGCCTTTCTTAGTATTTGACAATAAAACTATTTTAGCAATATACAGGAAAATACTTACTTGTTCTCTGTAGCATGGGAGCATGAACTAGGCTCACCCAAAGATGGTTTCAAGTAATTCCGATGCAAGTAATGAAAAAGGAGCCAAAATACATCCCTATTTTAATTGTGTTCCAAAATTCAATTAATAAAATATTTGTTGAGTGCCTAAGACGCGCTTTTGGCCCAAGGCTAATTGCGAAGAGATGGTAGTGGCCAAGCGTGATCTCATCTGCCAGGAGGCAGCCAAGCCCACATCCTGTTGCTGTTGACCAGAGTTAAAGCAGAGGATGGTTCTGATAGAACTATAAGTGATCTTTTTTCCTTATCTATGGAATTCTCTGCAAAAATGATACAGTGTGTACACAGTAGCCAACAGTAGTCTATCAGGCCCCTAGTAAGCGTGTAGATTATTAACACACTGTAAGTCCTGGATTATTATTAAGGAAGTGGAATAAAGTTTCAGTGCCATTTCCAGTTAACCAGTGAGTCTTTAATTTGGGGGCAGTGATGGGGAGTGGGACTCATTGAATATTTTTTTTTAAGAGCTAACATTGAGCTCCTTCAACCTGGAGAAGAGCTTAAGAGTTAATGAAGGCGTTTACGTGAACAAAGACCCAAATCCTCTAGTGAGAGTGAGCTTCGAGTTGCTTTGATACGTTTAAAACTTAAACTTTTAAGTTAATTCTACCGTTTGAGGAAGGATTCTAGGCATTTATTCAGAGAGGTGTTTAGAGGCCCAAATTCAGGGTCGTGCTTCGGACTCCCAGACACCAATCAGGATGCAGCCTCCATGACTGTGTTCATGCCACTGTCCAGGATTTTCTCCCATACATGGTCTAGCGGCCAAGCCATAACCTTCCTTAAGAATTTCTTAAACCAGAGCTGTTTGGAGCTGATAAGAAATGTATAGCAGCATTCAGGATGGGAGCGGCTGGCCCCACCTTGCTACTACAGCTGGCGCGGTTGCCCTCTCCAGCTCTCTCAGTTGCTCCGGACTCGGAGCAAGCAGCCTCCACGCCGTCATACACACGAGGCACTTGAGGCCAGTCGTAGTCCCCACCCATCTCTTCTTGGATATGTTTCCCTGTGAATAAGATTGATGAATTAAATACCAAGAAACAAAAGGTGAGTGGTTGTTGACTGTCATTCCTCTCGACCGGTTCGTCTGGCGTCGCTTTCCTGATCAGCGCTCTGCGGTGCTCTGCGCGGCCCTGACGGCTGCTGTTCCTGAGGGAAGTCAGGTTTTTACGGTGTCAGCAGTTTCCAGATGGAATCTGTCAAAATCATCCTTGTCTTGGACACTTTATCCCTGGACTTCTGCTTTGCTGTTGGCAGCTTCATAGGCTAAGTACAATTTTTATTAGTTCTGCAGCTACAGACAGATAAGGTCCTGGTGCCCCTGTCCTCAGCAGGCTCACAGCTGAGTGGAAACAGATACAGAATGAAATGGTTCTGATCCGCTATGATAAAGGCATAATGAAGGGCACACACAGAGCGAAGGGAGCTGGGGAGCACCTGCTGGGTGTGCCCTTGGTCTGGAGGGCGCGGGGTTAGCACCATCTCCTGCCGTGAGTCACTGAGGGTGGTGGGTGAGAACCACGCATGTGGCAGGCTCCCCGGGGCTGGGATGTGGGTCTGTGGTGGGGATTGTCTGCCGAGTGCTGTAGGCATGCTTTGCACAGAGCAGGCTGGAATGAGGCATCTGAGGTCCCTCCTCACTGAGAGAGGTGGTGATTTTGTGGATTCTGTAAGGCAGTTGTTATTATGCAGTATAGGTTAGGGTGCACTGTGGCAGAAAAATTAACCCTGAAATCTTCGTGATTTACTGTAACAACAGTTTCTACCTCCCTCACACAAGTTTGGTGTGGGTTGGGTGGCTCTCCAGGGCAGCTGAGCTCTGGGAGGTTGCTGAGTGCTCCAGGCCGCATCTGTCTGGTGCTCCACCTTCTCAATGTCCAGCCTCCAGGATCACCATGGCCGTGCAGCCGAAGGAGAGAGCTGGGGGCTGGCCCGTCACTCTAAAGTGTGTGTCTCACAGAGGCCTCGGTGGCTCCCACTCACAACCTACTGGCCAGAGCTCCTCAGGTGGCCTCACCTTCCTGCGGAGGCCGGGAGGCGGGGGGTGGGGAGCACGTAGATTTATCACGATCAGTGTCACTATCAGTCTTCCTGTTTTCCCACCTCTGCTCCTTGTCCTTTCTGTCTGACGTCCAGGAGTGTTCCAGATCTTAACCACCGTCTTCCCAAACTGGTCACAAGGGTGACAGCACCTTCTAGTACTGTGGTTTAAGAGCATAGTGTCACCTGTTGTTACTGCTTTCCAGCCATCGGATTTGCGACAGTATACTTAGTCCCTCTTGCGTGAGTTTCCTTATTGATGACATGGAGACAATAGTAATAGTACCCAAACTAAGAAGGTGTTTGTGATGTTTAAGTGAGAGAATACATATGCAGTGGTTAGCACAGTGCCTGCTCATGCTCAGACTCCATGGATTGGTAAATTTATCTTAATGCTAGCTGGATGAATTCGAGCATGAGTACAGATTGGCAGACATCCACAGCTGGGATACTGTGGGAAGCGATGACAGATACAGATGCTGCTGCATGCGAGTAGAGCAGAGGGTGCTGTTGACCTTCTCATGGGTGCCATCTCTTCCCATGGGTCAGAGTCTGGCTGCCACTTGCTGTGGGCAGGTCCCTTGGGAAAGGGAGAGGCAGAGAGAGAAGAGCCATCCTGGGCCAGGCAGTGGGCCCTGTGCCAGGAGTCTTTAGCTGGATCCTCCCCATGGGTCCATGGGGAAGGTGGTGGCCCCACCTGCACTTTATACACAAGGAACCTACGTCTTAGAGATGGCAAGGCACGTGCCCAAAGGCACACAGCTGGTAAGTGTGAAGCGAGATTTCAAGCTGGCCTTTCTGACTCCAGACCATCCTTGGGCCCAGTTCAGGAGTCCCCAGAGGGAAGTGGCTGCTCCCCCAGTTCCAGGGAGTGATTTCCCCTGTCTGGGAGAATCTTGAGTTACTGTTGCAACACTTCCTTGCTGTGTCCTGATGCCTCGGAGTGCTTTTCCTCCCTCCATTTATCTTCCTTCTGACTGATTTACTGTTTTTCTGATACATCATGTTTGGTTATGTTTATCCTGAAACCACGCTAACCAGACAGTTGAAGTATTTGTGTTCTGTTTGAAACAACAGGCATGTGAAACTATTGAACCTTCCTGCTAGCCTCCGGCCACACAAAATGAAAAGCTTGCTGGGTCAGAACGTGTCAACCAAAAGTCCTTTCATCTATTCACCAATTATCGCACACAACCGTGGAGAAGAGCGGAACAAGAAAATAGGTAGGACGTCGATCCTGGCTTTCCCACCGTGCTCTGCCACCTGATTTCCAATGGCTTTTCTAGATTTTTAGAACAGCATTTTGAGCCAGTTCATGCATGTGCATGTGTGTGCGTGCGTGGATGTGTGCACGCATGCATATGTGTGTATATGTGTGTGCATGTGTGCATGCATGCATATGTATGTGTGCATGCGTGCATATGTGCGTGTATGTGTGTATGCATGCGTGCGTGCATGCATATGTGTGTTTACATGTGTCCATGTGTGGATGTGTGCACAGATGTGTGCGTGTGTGTGCGTGTGTGCAGTCTGTCATGGAAGTTTATTTGATTTGCTGCTTTTGGCAGGCAATTGCCCATAGATGTGATTTTAAAAAATTTATTTCATATAAGGTAATTTTGTGAAAGTTCTGGAAACCAGAAAGACTTTTGTTAACTGAGACTTATGTGAACTACAGAAGAGTGACAGTTGGAGATGTAGACTGATTTTACAAGGGCTGAAGTGACTTCTGAGTCATCAGAGAAAGATTCAGGGTTGGATGGTGTTCAGGACTGAGTGGAGGGTGAGGTAATCGTGTTATGTTCTTTTGTGAACACAGGTGATCAGGATAGTCAGTCCTGGGTTAAGCTGTGTTGTGGGAGAGACTGGGAGTGGACAATCTCTCCTGAGCTTTCCTGTGTCTGAGCTCTCGTCCCTCCTGCACCAGGGCTCAGCATGCACCACCGGCCCTGTCCCTTGGTGTCCTTCCCAAAGCCCGGCTGTAGTGCCAAGCTCCCCATCCCTTGCTGCCACAAAGACATGCCCGAGGCCCCTTGCAGGAGATTGTGACTGCCAGTCACTGGGGACCACTGCCGGCTGAGCCCACACGTCCTGTGACAGAACCTTGAGGGCCTGGAGGCTGGCCGCTGCTTGGCGACTGCCGGGGCCTCCGAGGAGTGTGAGCGGGAGGCCTGCGCAACCGCGGCGCTCTGTGTTTGATATCCAGTGCTTTCTTCTCCTTCTGTTTCTTTATTTCTACTCTTAATTCCTGTACCTCCAATTTAGGAAGAAGGCATTCCGGCTCCTTTTTCCACCATGCTTTTCTTTCCAGGACAGAGGCTTCCTGTTGCACTCGCAAGCTCACCCACACCCCGAGTTACGGACTGCAGGCGCTCCCTGACCCCCCCCTGCCCACACCCCTCCCGCTCTGTCGGGGTTTTCATGCCACCTCCTGCCACCATCACTCTGGTTTAGCTACAGGGACTCCTTTCTGGTCGTGGAAAGAAACAGGCTTGTTCCAAGCCCAGGGCTTTGGGGCTCGCTCTTTCCTTTGCCAGGAACTCGTCCCCTGCCCCTCTATCATTGGCTCTCTTGTTGTCACATCCTTTTGGTCTCTGTTCAAATGCCCCCTCCCTCAGAGGGGTGTTCTCTGATCCCAGCGCCTTGCAGGCCACTCCTCCCACCATCTCTAGCGGTGCTGTCTGGGATTCTCTTCCCAGCTTCTCTCCAGCTCAAACCCACACTGGCCCATTGATGCTTTGTCCTGCAATATCACCTGAAGCCCAGAATTCTGTCAGGCTGTGTGCAGCTGCTGTCTCCCCAGCACCTGGAGCAGTGACAAAAGAATGAATGAATGGATGGGGTACATATTATGAATCCCATTTTATAGATTTTGTTGACGGGGAAACTGATTCACGACGTTTAAGTGTCATGTCCAAGAACTCACAGGAGAACCTAGATCTCACTGTACATTTCATGTTCCTGGCAGGGCATGGTGGAATTCAAGGCAGAAGGGACAATAAGAGCATTACGTGTAGCACATCATCTTTTTTTTTTCTTTGAGACAGGGTCTAGCTCTGTCACCCAGGCTGAAGTGCAGTGGTATAATTAGGACTCACTGCTGCCTCAACCTCCTGGGCTCAGTTGATCCTCCTGCCTCAGCCTCCCGAGTGGGTGGGACCACAGGTGCATACTACCACACCCACTGATTTTTGTATTTTTTGTAGAGACGGAGTTTTGCCATGTTGCCCAGGCTGGTCTCGAATTCTTGGGGTCAAGTGAATCCCCTGCCTCGGCCTCCTAGAGAGCTGGGGTTACAGGTGGGGACCTCTGCGTCCAGCCAGCACATTGTCTTGATGAGCATTTCTCATATATTACTAGCTCTAGGATTTCTTAGCTTCTGTAAGGGTCTCATAATAAACTTCATTAACAATTTGTAAATTATCCGAATGCCTTAAAAAATAAAGTGCTTCAGAGGAAATAAAGTTGTTTGCTGAGATAAAGGGCATAACTAGGGTAGGAGTACTCAAAGAACCTTGTGCTTTTAAAAATGGTAATCATTTCTTTTATTCTAGTTGTGCTTTATAAGAGGCTATCATATGTTACCTTATTTAGTTTTTCCAGTATTTTTGGGAGATTTCATTTTTATCTCCCTTTTACAGATGAGGAAACAAACTTAGAGAAACGACTTTTAGAAGTAACTAAAAGTTACTCAGTTAGTGACAAGCTTGATTTCACATCACAGACCACGTGTCCTGTTCCCATTAGTACCCTATGGTTTCCTCTCACGTGCACAGTAGGTGTGGGACAGACCTATTACCTGGACCTCACAGTCCTCACCCTCGGCTGGTTTTTCAGTTTAGTTCATGCAGGCAAGACACAAACGTGAGAAGTTGACTATCGAGACTAAATGTGAATAAACGCTCTCTAAAACTGTACATCTGTCAGCAGGGGTACCTGGTTACTTACACGTTGAACTCGAATGAACAATAAACACTGGGCTAACTGGGAGTGGGGTGTGGGGTGGGGGCCCCGCAGACCCTGGGGAAGCCCTCTGGAGGCTCAGACACAGCCTCCATCTGAGGAGCCGTGTGGGCTTTGCAAGGAGTGGCTCCAGCTGTTCTAGCTGTTCACTGTTAGAATGAGAAGAAAATAAAGAGACATGGGGTCATGCCCTTGAAAAACTGCAGTCAATACTGTATTTTGGAAAATTTCTGAAAATGTGAGCACTAACTATATAATCTACTCTAGAATTTGTGTGTATCTGTATGTGTGTATGTGTGTGTATGCGTGTGTATATGTGTATGCATCTGTATGTGTGTATGCATGTGTATATTGTGTGTATGCGTGTATGTGTGTGTGTCTATGCATGTGTGTGTATGAGTGTGTGCATGCATGTGTGTGTGTGTATGCGTTTTTAAAATGCCATTTTTAGTCTATTGATTCTGAAAGACACCCCAATCTTGTCTCTCCTGCCACTGCTTCTCTGATCTGGAGAACATGAGGTGACAGGAAGTGTAGGCGCTGGGTAGACGTGGTGGATGAACAGGCAGGGCCTGATGGCAGCCCCAGATGTGCTCCAGCGTGTGTTGCGGTAAGCAGGAGAGAGCTGTACAAATCCTGTCCTCACTGTGTTTTGGGGACGTCGTTTCCTGGCCTCCTGTGGGAACTCCACCTTTCCTCTCTGGAGGGCGTCTTCCGAGCTCCGTGGGGATGGGCAGGCCACCCTCAGGGCTCCTCTGTCTCCCCTGGCCCCGGACTTGCTGTCCTACGAGTGCTCAGGCTCTTCCCCCTGGGACCTTCTAGAGTCTCTGGCTGCTCTTTTGTGTTCTCATTGGGGTTGGTGATGAACTGTCTCCCCTACGGAACTTTTGAGGAAAGCTTCAGTTCTTTCGTTGAGAAAAACTTCCAGAGGTGATTTAGGAGACTGGAGGTGTGAGACTCCTCTTCTCAGGATGGGCCATGTGATTTGTGGGGCCCAGTGCAAAATGCAAACATAGGGCCTTTGTTCAAACATCACTAGGAATTCGAAGACAGCAACAGCAGAGCGTGAACCCAGATGCCAGGGCACAGGGCCCTGTGCCACTGATGGCATGGATTGTAGGCCCTGCCTCTCTGCTTTTCCTTTTCAATCTTAAGAAATTGTTGGCCGAGTGTGGTGGCCCACGCCTGTAATCCCAGCACTTTGGGAGGCTGAGGCTGGTGGATTGCTTGAGCCCAGGAGTTCGAGACCAGCCTGGCCAACATGGCAAAACCCCATCTCTACACAAAATACAAAAAAATAGCCAGGCCTGGTGGCGGGCACCTGTGGTCCCAGCTAGTTGGGAGGCTGAGGTGGGAGAATCACCTGAGCCTGGGAGGTCGAGGCTATAGTGAGCCAAGATTGTACCACTGCACTCCAGCCTGGGTGACAGAGCAAGACCCTACCTCAAAAAACAAATAAAAAGACATTGTCAAAGATTCCTTTTGTGAAAATTACAATCTGTATTTGTTGAAGAGGGCTTAAGCAAACATTATCCAGTGATTCTCAAAACTATTTGATGCTGATGCTGCCGGCATTATTATATTCCCTATTTGCAAATAAGAAAATTAAGACTGAACGAAATTTAAGTACCTGCCCCAGGTCAGATAGCTTATCAGTGACATTCCCCGGGCTCCATGCCAGGTTGCAGGACTCGATGCCCAGGGCCTTTTTTCTTTATAGTATGGCTTCTCACCATAGTAAGAAGTACCTGCTCATCTGGGCTGAGGACAAATTCAGTGGATGATGTAAGATTTTTTTCTGAGATATAACGCAAGTTTCAGCCAAAATGCACATTATTTGTTTGGTAGGAAAATGCAATTTATATCCCATAGCTTCTAATATCTTTTTGGCAGTGTACTGATCAGTGAGTGCTTGTGCAGAAGCTTGACAGATCACATAACTTTAACCTAAATTTCCAGTCTCTCTAAATGAACCTCGGTGTATAATTGGGGGAGGTATCATCACAGCAGGTGGCATAGGGTTTTGGAGATGAAGAAACTCTTGAGGGTAGTGTTTGAGACCATTTTCCACTTTAACTTGGGATAGTTCACGAGTCTTTGTGTGTTGGCTGGTGTGGCCATCATCTGAGCTACATCCATGCAAAGATGACTGCAACACTGGCCTCAGCTTGAGTGTGTTGGGTTGAAGGCCTTCTGTCATTTGTGATAGGTCTTTGTGGTGCTGCCAGGCTTAGTGCCAAGGTCGACTGCTGCCCCAGAGGCAGCGTGGTGGCCTGGAGAGGCTGTGGCTGTCAGGTGGACTTGGGCTGCACCCTGGCCCTGCAGCTCCCCACTGTGTGACCGTGGACAGCTGATTGTGCCTCTGTGGTCTGCAGTCATGCTATCTGCAGAATGGGGACATTAGAAGCTGACACGGAGGGTGGTTTTGAGGATCAAGGGAGATAATGTTTCTAAAGTCCCTGGCAGCCATTCAGTAACATTTTTGGTAGCAGTTATATGCCCTGTGCTATGTGCTGGGGATGCATTGATAAATCAGGAGTCTTTCCCGCCACATGGGTCCATACAGTTTAGCAGAAAGAGACGAACTTGTCAATAAACGCCACTGCCTGGTGCCGTGGGTCCACAGATGACAGCATGCACAGTGTGTCCCGCAACAGGGAGGGCAGGGCCTGAGATGAGGGGGTTTCAGAGAGGCTAATTCTTGTGCCTTCCCACTACTTCTAGGACAAAATAGTGAGGAAGGGCCACCACCGTGTGCTTTGACATGCTGAGGATGGAAAGGGGTTATCTCCTTCTTTCAGCAAAAATCACTTTTCAGGCTGGGTGTGGTGGCTCACGCCTGTAATTCTAGTACTCTGGGAGGCCAAGGTGGGGGGGATTAGTTGAGGTCAGGAGTTCGAGACTAGCCTGGCCAACATGGTGAATCCCTGTCTCTACTAAAAATACAAACAAATTTAGCCGGGCATGGTGGCGCACACCTGTAGTCCCAGCTACTTGGGAGGCTGAGGCAGGAGACTCGTTTGAACCCGGGAAGTGGAAGTTGCAGTGAGCCGAGATCACACCACTGCACTCCAACCTGGGTACAGAGTGATACTCCATCTCAAAAAAAGAAAAAAAAAAAGAAGAATAAATTTTTATGTAATCAACAGTTTATTTTAGATTTACCCTTTAGTAGACATGGACCATCTAAGTGTACATTATTTTTTTAGTACTCTAGAAAATGATTTTTCAAATGGCTTATTATCATCATCATCATCATCATGACCATGATAGGGCAAGCCATTTCTTAATTACCAGACGTTAGCCACTTGTTTAAAGAGAGTGACCTTCTTCATTTGTGGTGAGGAGTGGTCTGGGATGCTGACCATCAGTGGCCCCGGGCAGGCTGGGTGAGGCGGGGTCAGGCGGGCTGGGAGCATGTTGTGCTCTGGCCACTGACTTGTGTAAATGAGGAGGTCGGGTGAGCTCCCTCCCATTGAAGGTCCTCAGAAGCTGGTGGGCCTGGGAGGTGGGGGGCATGGAAGCTGGGATGAGGGAAGGACAAGACCTGAGTTTCTGGGGTCCTGAGAGGTGAAGCAGTAGGGTGAAAAGAGTGTAGGTTTTGGAGACAGACTGGAGTTCGAATCTCAGTTTTCTTGCTTCTCAGGACCATAGGACAGGCAGGCGGGCCAGCCTGTCAGGTGGGTTCTCCTTTTTTGTAGAACGGGCATAACATTTGTGCTGCTGACATAGACTGTGGCCATTCACTGCATTGTGCAGAGGCTCAGATGAGTACATGGTGGTGCAGGCATTAGGGGAGCTGTTAGCTCACCTGGTGGGCACTGTATTAATTAATTAATTAATTAATTTTAAATTTTATTATTATTATACTTTAAGTTTTAGGGTACATGTGCACAATGTGCAGGTTAGTTACATATGTATACATGTGCCATGCTGGTGCGCTGCACCCATTAACTTGTCATTTAGCATTAGGTATATCTCCTAATGCTATCCCTCCCCCGTCTCCCCACCCCACAATAGTCCCCAGAGTGTGATGTTCCCCTTCCTGTGTCCATGTGTTCTCATTGTTCAATTCCCACCTATGAGTGAGAATATGCAGTGTTTGGTTTTTTGTTTTTGCGATAGTTTACTGAGAATGATGATTTCCAATTTCATCCATGTCCCTACAAAGGACATGAACTCATCCTTTTTTATGGCTGCATAGTATTCCATGGTGTATATGTGCCACATGGCCTTAATCCAGTCTATCATTGTTGGACATTTGGGTTGGTTCCAAGTCTTTGCTATTGTGAATAGTGCTGCAATAAACATACGTGTGCATGTGTCTTTATAGCAGCATGATTTATAGTCCTTTGGGTATATACCCAGTAATGGGATGGCTGGGTCAAATGGTATTTCTGGTTCTAGATCCCTGAGGAATCGCCACACTGACTTCCACAATGGTTGAACTAGTTTACAGTCCCACCAAAAGTGTAAAAGTGTTCCTATTTCTCCACATCCTCTCCAGCACCTGTTGTTTCCTGACTTTTTAATGATCGCCATTCTAACTGGTGTGAGATGGTATCTCATTGTGGTTTTGATTTGCATTTCTCTGATGGCCAGTGATGGTGAGCATTTTTTCATGTGTTTTTTGGCTGCATAAATGTCTTCTTTTCAGAAGTGTCTGTTGATTCCTTTGCCCACTTTTTGATGGGGTTGTTTGTTTTTTTCTTGTAAATTTGTTTGAGTTCATTGTAGATTCTGGATATTAGCCCTTTGTCAGATGAGTAGGTTGCGAAAATTTTCTCCCATTTTGTAGGTTGCCTGTTCACTCTGATGGTAGTTTCTTTTGCTGTGCAGAAGCTCTTTAGTTTAATTAGATCCCATTTGTCAATTTTGTCTTTTGTTGCCATTGCTTTTGGTGTTTTAGACATGAAGTCCTTGCCCATGCCTATGTCCTGAATGGTATTGCCTAGGTTTTCTTCTAGGGTTTTTATGGTTTTAGGTCTAACGTTTAAGTCTTTAATCCATCTTGAATTAATTTTTGTATAAGGTGTAAGGAAGGGATCCAGTTTCAGCTTTCTACATATGGCTAGCCAGTTTTCCCAGCACCATTTATTAAATAGGGAATTTATGCAATGTCAACATGCCAGCTCTGGGTCAGATGTCATAGGTGTGGTGGAGTCAGTCCTCATCTCTGTGCAGGTTGCAGAGTGTGTGGGAAAAGCTGTATCTTGAGAACATGCTTATGAAAGCTCTGAAAGTTGAATAATTCTGGTCAACAGACGTTCTTATCTGCTAGAGAAGAAGCCCTCCACTGCCCTGTTAGCCACCCGTGTCTGCTCGGGGTGCCTCTGAGTTCAGAGGCCTGAATCCAGCAGCTCCTCTCGCTTGCTGTGTGGTTCCTGGGCCAATTTATTACCCTGTTTGGACCTTGAGTGTTTGCCTTGCAGTGACGGGGGTTATCATACCTATCTCAGGAGGTCCTTATGCAGAGTAATGAGATAACCTGTGTGGAAGTGCCTCACACCTAACACATGCCTGCCACCTGTTGATTGATTCTGAAATTCCTTCTGGTTTGCCTAAGAGAGGATTGTAAAGGGAGGAGGGGGTGATGGAAATTGGGACAGATGCTGAATTAGCTTTCTGTTGCTTTGTAACAAATGACCACAGACTCAGTGGCTTCAAACAACACAAATCTGCTTCCTCATGATTTGTGTGGGCTTCAGCTGGGTCCTCTGCTCAGGGATTCACAGGACTGAAATCCAAGTGGCATCTGGGGCTGTGTCCTCATCTGGAGGCTCAACTAAGGGAAGGGCCTGCTCTCACGACTCCTCAGGCCGTTCTTCATTCATTTCCTGTGATCCCCGTTCTCTTGCCAGCTGTCTGCCGGTGCTGCTTTCAGCTCCCAGAGGCTGCTCTTAGGCCCTTGCCATGTGGTCCCCTCCACAGGCCCTCTAGGCAAGGATATGGTCTCCTGTGCGGTCTCACCTGATTAGAACAAGCCCATTCAGGACAACCTTCCTTTTGATTAACTCAGAGTCAACGGATTGGGGTCCTCAATCACATCTGCAAAAACTTTCCACCTTTGTTTTACAATATAGCCTAATCATCATATTCACACTGAAGGTGGGGATTACATAGTGCATGCACACCAGGTTGTGCACACCAAGGCTGGGGGTTTTGGAGGTCGTCAGAATTCTGCCCCTGCACAGGTACTGAACTGCAGTTGACCTGGGAGTGGGTGGGGAGGAGAAGACTCCCCTCTCACAATCTTAGGGGAATAGGGCAAATCACACTCCGTGTTACTCACAAGTGACCCCAGTGCCGTCTTCCTGTGTTGCCAGCTTCTGGGCCCCGTGAAGCGCAGTGTGCCTTATGGCTCTGTACCAAGAACAGTGCCATCTGGACTGATGCCAGCATGAATGCAGCCCGCCGAAGGCAGTGACAAGCGCCATTCATGTGGCATCAAAGTGCCAGTGACAGCTACCTTGCTTTGTTTCAGAGAAAGCTGGTGGAAAAAGCAGCTTTGAATCACCCATCTCAAGAAGATCATAGAGCCTGCTGCCTCACTGAGAATGTAAATTGCCAGAGGAATAATTGGAAACCATGTAGAAAGTGAAAAAATACCAACTAATACATGGATTCATTTATGTGTGTGTATTTTCTAGATTTCCAGTGGGTTCAAGGAGATGTGTGTGAAGTTCAGCTGATGGTATATAACCCAATGCCGTTTGAACTTCGAGTTGAAAACATGGTATGTATCACCAATCATTTGACCTTTTTGGGCTAACATACAAACTTCTCATTAAAGTAGGTTTTACTTAATGTCTGAGGCACACATCTTACGATATGTGTCTGTTTTTATGTTTGTTTTGCCAAAGCATATAAGCTTATTGTAAATGAAGACCATGTTTTGTTATTCCTGTGTCTTTAGGCTTGGTTTTCAATAAATATTTGAACCTACAAAGAAACCTCTGATTTGAACACATGCCGAGCTTAGTTGATTGGGTATAAGATGTGAAATAATAATTTCGAAGCTTACGTGAGATGTGTTGAGGTTGCAAAGTCCCCATTCTGCCTGCTACTCAACGGTATCAGCATTATTTTATTGCTGCAAGATGATAAGATGACCAAGGCCCCAGGGAAGAACAAGCTGTGGAATGGGAGGATAAATGACCACACCACCACCACCACGAGCTTTCTCTTGTTTTGAAATCCTGACGTCCCATTTCTGTGCTTTGTGTAGGGTGTGAAAAATTCAGTTTGTAATCTCTTCTGTTGGAAATGCTTACCCAATTCTCTAGTCAGGGGGAAGGAGATTAGTACTGGCGCTCTAAGCTGATTCTGTGTTTTCAGAGCGGGCCCTCCCATGCCGATGTAGGTCCCATCCCTCAAGTCTTCTCTGCATTGCTGTGTGGTGCTGCTGTGTAACTTTTCAGCAGCACGCAAAGGAGGGTGCTGCGAGAATGGATGTTGTCTTTTAGAGTTTTATGACTGGTGTTCAGGGTAAGAGGCGGGCCTTTCATGCATGTATCTCGCTGAGTGCTCTTGCCACGTGTCGGTCCCCAGGCAAGGCCCTGAGGGGACAGAGATGGTCAGGCCCTGGTCCCTGCTGCGACTGTGACCAAGGCTCTGTTGGGGTGCATGAGGTGTTGCAGGCCTGTTGTGGACGGGAGTCTGCCTGGCCCTGGAGAGTCAGGGAAGGGTTCCTGGGACAGATGTGACAGCCTGGCTGTGAGTACAGGCTGAGTTGCAGTTTGCCAGGTGGACACGTGGTGGCTGTTGAAATGCTGTTTAGGCCTCTAGCACGTGGCATAGTTTCCCGAAATCTGTCTGAGCTCCTGGAAGCTCAGCTGGATGTTCAGCTTGTAGTCTCGAGGTGCGCTCGGGAGGAGCGCCTCTCCTCCTGTTGGGCGAGGACTGACCTGCAGTAGGATTTGGCTCTGGCCTTTCCTGTGGCTTTCTGTCTCAGCCTTAGTAGGGAGAAGCAGTTTAGAGAATTTTCCCCAAAGTGGTTAAAGTATCAAATGCCTGCTGCTCTTTCTTACACATTTTTTTTTTTGGTCTTAAAATGTAGCTTTCATTTTTATCTGGTTTAAAAACAATATGTGCTTATTATAACAAATGAGGAAGAGCAGGGAACAAAATAAAAAGCACCACATGGAGATAGCCCACAAATCATGGGCAAAGTTTTAAAAACTAAATTAGGAAGTATTTTAAACCTATGAAATGTTACAGGGAATAGTACACACTCGCATCTCCACCATTCACATTTAAAAAATGTTCACAGTTGGCCATATTGCTTTAGCTATTTTCAAAAGAAATAAATGCCAATATATTTGCCTAGAGACAATTGGCTCCTCGGCTTCCACCCTTGCCTGCTGCATCTGTTCCACACATAGATCATTTCACACCTTGGCTCCAAGTCCGGGCACTAAGTGTACTCACTGCCGAGAGAGTGGCTTTGCTTCTGGGTGCTTCCTGTAGACAGAGTTGGGAAAAGTCTGTGTGCATATACACATACATGAGAACACACACACACACACACACACACACACACACACACACACACTATATATATATCTAAACCCATATGCCTACATATATGTACACATGTGTATACCCCTGCGTCTGCACCATAGACATGCATGTAGCATCTGCCCTGTTCACGGGGACCCTCGCTTTCCAGCACTTCTCCAGAGGGTGCTTGCCTTCCTCCATCTGTGTGTGTCCTTTCTTCCCGCGTGAGAACTCGGGCTCCCAACATCAGCACATCTACTTAGATGCTCAGTCCTGTCATATCTGAGATAGTTGCGGGGTAGCTTTGACCATACTGCTGCAGAAAACCAACCCGCTAAAAAGAATCCAGGATTTCCCCCTTCGCCCAGGGCTTCTTTATCTCAGCAGTGTTCTGTAACTGTTATGAAACCTTGCCTGTCATTTGTTAGGTTTATTCTAATGTAGTTGACGGTTTTGATCGCTTGTTAATGATATTTTACCCAATTGCTTATTGCTAAACTATAGAAATAACGCCTTTTTTTTCTGACTCTGTCACTTTGCTAAATGTACTCGAAAGTTCAAGTTTCATTGTAGATTCCATAGCGTTTTCTGACCCTGGTTTTGTTTTCTGTGAGTAATTGCCTGTATGACTTTTCTTCCTTTTTCTTGCTTTAGTGCCCTGAGTAGGACCTCTGTTACAATGCTGAGAAGTCCTGAGGGCTGACATACCTGTACTGCTTCCAATCATGGGCCACCGTCTTGAGGCCAGGGAATCTGCCTGTTTTGTTCACTAGCAAGCTTAGTGCCTGTACTAGTAAGCTTAGTACATACCGAAATAAGTTGATAACTCACAGATGTGTGGCAGGGATATTAACTGGTGGTATAGTTCCACACTTTATTGATTGATTGATTGAGATAGGGTCTCACTCTGTCCCCCACGCTGGAGTGCAGTGGTGTGATCATTGCAGCCTCAGCCTCCTGGGCTCGGGTGATCATCCCACCTCAGTCTCCCAAGTAGTTGGGACCACAGGTGCGTGCCACCTTCCCTGGCTAATTAAAAATTTTTTTTGTAGAGATGGGGTCTTACTGTGTTGCCCAGGTTGGTCTTGGTCTCCTGGGGCTCAAGTGTTCTTTCCACCTTGGCCTCCCAAAGTGTTGGGATTACAGGTGTGAGCCACCATGCCCAGCCATGTTTTTATTTATTTTTGTTTATAAATAAAATATTTTCTCTTTGTGTTCACATTCCCATTTGGTAAAATGATAAATATCAGACAGCAAACAGGGCTGAAATCAAGTGGATCCGTGGTTTATCGCCTGAGCACCTGCAGTGCTTACCATGTTTAGGTGGTTTTGTGTTACACTGTACACTGTCTCCGAAGTTCTCTGTGAAGACTGTTGGTGATTTTATTCCAGCAGTTCCGATGTGCCATAGCCAATGTCTTAAGGCTCATTTGGAACTGAGCACACACAGTAGGTTTGCTCCGGGCTTACGATGCTGCGTCGCTTGGTTTAGGGGCTGCTCACCAGCGGAGTGGAGTTCGAGTCTCTCCCTGCGGCGCTTTCTCTTCCGGCTGAATCTGGTCTGTACCCAGTGACGCTCGTCGGGGTCCCGCAGACGACTGGAACGATTACTGTGAACGGTAAGGAGAGTCCCTTCATGCTTCCTGCTCAGGAGGGTCTGCTGAACCCTTGCATGGCCTCCATGAGGTCCAGAGCCGATCGCCCGTCATGCCAGTCCTAACCAGTTAGAAGATAATGAAGACCTTGTCTCTTTGGGAAGCATGAAAAAAACCTGTTCGTGGGGTGCGGGATGTGTGGTGGTGGGAGGGGTCCTTCCTGTGCTCTGACCCCACTGCCCATGCCCCTCCTCCCTCTGCTTCGTCTCCTTTCTGCTGTCTTCCTCCAGTGAGCCTTCCTTCCTCCTGCTCCTTCTTGCTGGAACTCCTCAGAGGGTGTCTACACACGCTGAATCTCCCCTTTGCAGAGGGCCTTTAACCCTCTACATCCTGGACTCAGCCCTTTTCACTTCCCCAAAACTCCTGTCACAAGCAGTATTTTTTGGGCTAAATACAGGGCCTACTTTTCAGTTTTGTTTCTAAATTCGCTCCTCAGTGCCCTTTGAGTCCCTGGCTGACCCTCCACTAGGCATGCCCTCTCCTCTGGCTGCTGCGAGCCTACCCTCTGGATACTTTACCGCCTCTCTGCTCTAGCTGCTGTGACCCTGCCTCTCTGGATGTTTTACTGCCTCTCTGGCCCTTCTGTTTGGGTCTCTTTTGTCTTCTGCAGCCCACTCCTCAGTCAGGCCTTCCTCACACCCCACTTCTTTCCTTCCCCATCTCTCGCCCTGTGTTCCCTGGCCCTGTTAACTCTTCCTCTTCCACAGGCTACCTTAGGTGATCCCACCGATGCCCTGGCCTTGCTGTCTTCCAGTTCCTCCAATGTGCAGATGATTTCCAGGGCTGGACTTCTTCCCAGCCTGCACCTCCAGCCCTTCCCAGCTGGCCCCTGGGCGCCTCGCATATAATACATGCAAATCAGAACTCCCTACCTCGCCTCCCCAAAACTGCCCCTGCCCCCGTCAAGCCTCCATCTCAGTGCGGGCATTCCCATCAGCCATTTGCCCTAACGGGTTCTTGGGGGTCATCCTGACCCTCGCTGTCTGTCACAGCACCCCCACCTCCCTCCCTCAGTGCTTCCTGAGAACTGCTGCTTCTCTCCACCTCCACTGCCCCTTCCGGTCTTGCAGATCATAACTCTTCTAGGGTTTGTCACAAAAGCACTGGGACTGGTGTTTTTGCCCTGGTCTTGCTTGCTAACAGACCCACCTCCCATCTGTGGCCCGGCGATCTTCCTAGTGTGAATATGCCCCTGACATCTCTCAACTGGGAGCCTCACAGCTGTCGCCAGGCCCTTGTTATCAAGGCCCAGTCCTTAAGTGTTGCTCTGGAGCCCAGTGTGGTCCGGCTCCTGCTGGCCTCCGCAACCTCCTCTCTGCCTCTCCCCTCCTACTTCAGTCTCCGAAGACTCTTTAGTTCTGGCAGCTTTCCAGGCTTTCCGAGGCTTTGCCTGTGTCCCATCGAGTGCTTATCACCCTGGCCGGCTCCTGGGCTTCCCTCAGTCCTCAGCACAGGCTTTCCTTCCTCCGGGAGCCTTCCTCGGCATGGGCTCGCTGGCCTAGGCCCCTGTGCGGTGGCCTCCTTCCTGACTCTGTGCAATAGATTCCTTGCTGGCCTCGTGTGTCTCGCTCAGCTGCAGCTCCGTGCCTATTGTGGAGCCTGGCACACAGTAGGTCTTCAGTGTGTGTTTGTTGCCTGGAAGAGCAAACATTTGCTGGAAGGGTGCTCCCTACGGGTGAGTGAGGCAGGTGTAATCGTAGGTGAGGGTGTGCTGCCCCAAGTGGGAATACGGAGTGGAGTGGCCGTGGGAGCGAATGACTCTGGGCATGGACCCAGCGGGGAGAGTGAGTGGGTCAGTGACCCTGAGGCTTGAAGGCTAACTAGGAACTATTCAAATGAATGGGGGTGGGCTGTGGGGGGAGTCCACAGGGGGCAGAAAGAGGGTTCCAGGCAGAAAGAACAACGTGGTGGTAAGAGAGAACATGGTACATTTGGGGGACCTGGGGGTGGTCAGAGTGGGTGGTCCAGGCCAGGGTGGCAGAGATGAGACAGGCTGGAAGGGAGGCAGAGGGCCGACCTGGGTTCTTACACACGGTGCCAAAGGATGCTGGCTTTCTCTGGAGGGCATTGGGGCTGCTGCGTTATTTGAAGAGAGATGTGGTCAGGTGGGCAGTTCAGAGCCATCCCTCAGGATCCAGGATCCCTGTTGAGATGGGAAGGACTGGAGGCAGGGACAGCAGTGATCAAGCTTCAGCGATGACCCAGGGAGAAAGGGACAGAGGTAGGCCCATAGCCGTGGCCTGGCAGTGGAGCATAGGAGATAGGAATGGATGAGAGAGGAGTAACGAGGAGTGAAGGGCTTGATTCAGAATAGCACATAACCGTAACTAGTGTGTTCACAGTTGAGGAGTCAGAGCCTTAGTCACGCAGTTCTTGGTTGTTTATCCTGGGTCCAGACTAGTGAGTGTTCATTTTTAGCCCGCTTTGGGAACAAGGTCAAAAGGACTGACCTTGTATTATCAGACATTGTAATGTGCTATTTGTCCTCAGACTTTTGGGTTTATATGGCAGTTATTTTAAGCAACAGGTAAGAAAAGGAAAATGACTGACTTAAATTAAGAATTGCAAAATAATGGCTGCTTAGCAGACAAAACCATGTCATACCAGGTTTTATAGAAAGGACATTAGTGCAAGATGTGGTTTTGGGAAGGAGAATGTTTGCCAGTTTAAGACGTCTTTGAAGAGGTATACTTTAGAGGAAGCGTGGCTGCTCTGAATGGGAGTTGTGTTGATAGGGCAGCTTTAAGCTGGCAGGAGGTGAGCACGGGGCTGACTGAGGCTGTGTAAGGTCCCTGATTTGCCCACGAGGGAGTGCCTGCCTCTCCTTTTAGTATGGAATAGTTTCATATGAATGCAGAAAAGTTGTCACCCTAGGCATCTAGCCATGGGGTATTGTTTAATTTTGTTACAGAGTGAATGTTGTTTATAATAATTATCTCGTGAAATTTCAAAAGCCATTTTAAAGCTTTGCTTAAACAATTTCAAGTGATTATCTAACCAGTGGACTTTTTTTTTAACATGGGAAATTTGCTAATCTTAAATTATGGTGCTTATACACACACAGCACATCTGCCATATCAGCAGCAGCTACAATAACAATTGGCTCGTGTGTGAACTTTCATCTCTCAACAGAAAGCTTTGAAGCATTTTTCACATACTCATTAAGTCACATTATGTCCTGGGAAAGAATATTAACATTCTCGTTTTAGAGATGGATAAATCTGAAAAGCAAATGAGTAAAGGGATGAGATACTGATTATTAAGTAGATATTTATAGTTTACAAGGACCTTCACATATATAGTCTTTCATTTGGGCCCAGCCAGCCTTGTGAAACAGGAATGCAGATGCTGTTATCCTCCCCATCACGTACGAGGACAGTGAGGGTCGTGGGGTTGAGGGCGGGAGTGTGGGTGAGCGCCGGCGGGCCCCGGGCAGCTTCGGAACTCAGGTCTTCTGAAGAGGAGCCCCGTACTCTTCGCACTGCTTCAGCCGTGGGCGTGAGACCCAAAGCCTTGCCAGTGGAGTGAAGAAGTTCCTTTTCTATTCCAGGTTACCATACCACGGTCTTCGGTGTGTTCAGTGACTGTTTGCTGGATAACCTGCCGGGAATAAAAACCAGTGGCTCCACAGTGGAAGTCATTCCCGCGTTGCCAAGACTGCAGATCAGCACCTCTCTGCCCAGGTAGTGTGCACGAGGGTCACAGAGCAGAGTGGCTCTGAGGCATCATTTTTGGTCCTACATTTTTTTTTTTTTTAATGGCACAAAGAGCCTGTAATTCTTATGACCAGAATATAGGTGAAGGATTTCTGTAAGATAAGCAACATCAATACGCTTTGCTTAAAATGAATTAGAACAAAGTTGAAATCTTTCTTACCATGATCAGAACAGAATGTGAAATTAGCCTATGGAATCATAATTCTTTTGAAAACAAAATTAGGGAATTTAGGAATTCCCTTAAAAACATAGGGAATTTTGGCCTGGCGCGGTGGCTCACATGTGTAATCCCAGCACTTTGAAGACCGAGGCGGGTGGATCACAAGGTCAGGATATTGAGACCATCCTGGCTAACACGGTGAAACCCCGTCTCTACTAAAAATAAAAAAAAAAATTAGCCAGGCGTGGTGGCGGGCGCCTGTAGTCACAGCTACTCAGGAGACTGAGGCAGGAGAATGGCGTGAACCCAGGAGGCGGAGCTTGCAGTGAGCCGAGATCGCGCCACTGCACTCCAGCCTGGGCGACAGAGCGAGACTCCGTCTCAAAAAAAAAAAAAAAAAAGGAATTTTAATTAAACTTTTATATTATATTATATTTTAATTAATTAATTAATTTTTTGAGACAAGGTCCCACTCTGTCACCCAGGCTGGAGTGCAGTATTGTGATCTCGACTCACTGCAACCTCCACCTCCCAGGTTCAAGCGATCCTCCCACCTCAGCCTCCTAAGTAGCTGGGACTACAGGTTTGTACCACTACGCCTGGCCAATTTTTGTATTTTTTGTAGAGATGGGGTTTCACCATGTTGCCCAGGCTGGTCTTGAACTCCTGGGTTCAAACAATCCACCCATCTTGGCCTCCCAAAGTGCTGGGATTACAGGTGTGAGCCACCGTGCTCAGCCAACTCTTATCCTGTAAGAAATAGTTTTGATCTTGTTTATTTGTTTTTTAGCGTTACAGGAAAACATAAAAAAGAAAGAAAAAGAAATCTCAGGAGTCCCAGAAGCAATTACTGTAAATGATTTGTTGTGATATTTCCTTCCAGTGTTTTATCCATCCTATTTAAAAATATGTATTTGAATAGTTGAGATTACATGACATCATATATAGTATTATAGATTACTTTTTGCATAACCACGTAACGTAAGCTTTTCTTCATGCCTTTACAAATTCTTGAGAAAATTCAATTTTAATTGCTTCAACAAAGCGCATCATAAAGATATCTCAAAATTGCATACCCATTAATTTCCTTGCTATTGGAATTTGGGATGGTCTCAATTTTTTTTTTTTTTTGACGGAGTCTTGCTCTGTTGCCCAGGCTGGAGTGCCGTGGCACAATCTTTTTTTTTTTTTTTGAGGTGGAGTCTGGCTCTGTCGCCCAGGCTGGAGTGCAGTGGCGCAATCTCGGCTCACTGCAACCTTCACCTCCCGGGTTCAAGCAATTATCCTGCCTCAGCCTCCTGAGTAGCTGGGATTATAGGTACCCGCCACCACGCCCAGCTAATTTTTGTGTTTTTAGTAGAGATGGGATTTTGCCACATTGGCCAGGCTGGTCTCAAACTCCTGACCTCAAGTGATCTGCCCACCTTGGCCTCCCAAAGTGCTGGGATTATAGGCACAAGCTACCACATCCAGCCTGTTCTTAATTTTTGCACTTACGAATAACACTTAATGGATATCCTTTTGGCCATTTTTATAAAATGTGTCTTGGGATTTTCTGAAATGTTTTTAAAGCCCATTCATGTGTTCAATAGACCCTTTCATTTGCCAGTTGCTGTGCTGGGTGATGGGGCTGTAGCACTGATCATGACAGTCCTGGTCTCTGTCCTCACGGGAAGTTCTGTCAAGTGGAGAAATTGACAAGTCGCCGAATAATCACAGTGCACTGTCGTCAGGACTGTGATGCGGGAGGTCCCATGTGCTGGGGGAGGTCACAGACTCAGGGAAGAGTTCTTCCAGGAGGCGACAACAGGCTCGATGGGAGGGAGGAGGAATTGGCTGGGTGCAAGAGCAGGCAGGGCGGTCTTCAACAGAGGAAGGAGAGGTGGAGACACTGACGTATAACCGGGGAATAAAATGAAACACAGACAACATTTACTCAAAAGGGATCGTAGACCTGAGTTTAAAAGCTGAAAATATATAACTTTTAGAAGAAAATAAAAGAAAATTATCATGACCTTGAATTGGGCAGAGTTCTTTGATGTGACACCAAAAGCAGGATCCCTGGAATAAAACGTTGACAGATTGGACTTCATCAAAATTAAAAGCTTTTACGCTTCCAAAGACACCATTAAAAGAATGAAAGTTACAGACTGGAAGAAAATATTTGCATATTAAATATCTGATAAAGAGCTTATATTCACATTAAGAACTCTTAAAACTTAATAAAAATAAGGCAAACAACCTAATTTAAAAAATGGACAAGAGATTTGAGTACCTATTTCACCACAAGATATACAAATAGCTCATAAGCAACCTGGAAGGATGGTCGACATCATTAGTCTCTGAACTGGCACCATGTGAGGCTCCAGTTCACACCCGCTCACAGGGCTCACCATAGCAGGGCTGCAAGGTTTCGGAGAAGCTGGACGCCTCGTGCGAGGCCGATGGGGATGCTGATGGGACATCCCTTTTGAAAATACATTGGCAGTTTCTTCAGAAGTTACACATAAGTTTACCATGTGACCCAACAACTCCACTCCTAGGTACCTGCTCAAGACAATGGAACACATATGTTGACACAGAAACCTGTGTGCGAGTGTTCATAGCAGCATCGTTCACAGTCAGAAAACTGGAAAGGGCCCAGATGGCCATCAGCTGGTGAATGGGTCAGCAGAATGTGGTGTGTCCCTGCAGTGGAACACCACTCCGCAATGAAGGGACGAAGGGACACGTGCCCCAGTGCAGACCAGCCTCAGAGGCGAGCTGCTGAGTGCAAGAAGCCAGATGTAAGAGGCGCAGAGCGTGAGTCCTCTGATGTGAAACATCCAGAAAGCAGGTCTCTAGTGGCAGGACACAGCTCAGCGGCTGCCTGAGACTGCCAGTGGTGTGGGGACTAAACTGATTGGAAGTGCTCCTGCGTCATCTCTTTGGGGTGCTGCAAGTGTTTTAAAACTGGGTATCAGGCTGGGCGTGGTGGCTCATGCCTGTAATCCTAGCATTTTGGGAGGCAGAGGCGGGCGGATCACCTTAGGTCAGGAGTTGGAGACCAGCCTGACCAACATGGTGAAACCCTGTCTCTACTAAAAAAAAAATACAAAAATTAGCTGGGCATGGTGGCAGGAGCCTGTAATCCCAGCTACTTGGGAGGCTGAGGCAGGAGAATCGCTTGAACCTGGGAGGCGGAGGTTGCAGTGAGCCGAGATCGCGACATTACACTCCAGCCTGGGGGACAAAGAGCGAGACTTTGTCTCAAAATAAAAACAAAACAAAACAAAACAAAAAAACAATAGGTATCAGTGATTTGTAAATTTACCAAAAATGATTGCATTGCATACTTAAGCTAGGTGGATTTTATACCTGCACATGCTGTTTAGAAAGATGAATTTTGGCAAGGCTTCAGTGTTGGATGGACACATGATTTCCGCCGAGCCTGCCACCAGGACTTCCCGGGCCTGGACGCTTCCAAGCACATTAGCTTGAACAGCCAGACGCTCAGACTCCCAGCTCTGGCTTTGGCTGCTGAAATTCTGCCACTGCTGTCCGTAGAACTGTGGCACCCAGTGGGCGCTAGGCTAGGAAGGACACTAGCTTCAGCTACAGTGTCACGGCACGCGCTCACAGGCCTGTGCAGGGCACCAGCCGCCCAACGAAAGCTGGAGGTGGGCACTGAGAGAGCTCATAAAGGAGATCGTGGCTCCATCTCCAGCTTAGCAAGCTCCGGCCAGCGCTCCAGCAAAAGGGCGGGGGGTGGCTTAAGGCGAAGAAACGCTAAGGGCAGATCACCAAAAAGGAAAAATAACTTGAGAAGAGGTACTTTAACTTTGTCATTTGTCCTGCTAATAAGGTGTCCCCGAAGGTCCCTGCCAGCTGTAAAAGGCAGTGAAGAAAGCAGGTCCTCTAGCTGCTTCTCTTTGTCCACCCCACATTTTTCTCCTGTGTTTAGAATCATTTCCAAAGATAATGCCTCTGACCCCCCATTTTTATTGTCCTGCGGATGCACTGTGACGGGGGTGCGTGCATGCTCTGGTACCTGCTACCTCTCAACAAGATGTGCTGCTGTGGGCGGCCACCACGGCACCGAGCCTGGGCCCTGGGGAGGAATGTGGATCCCAGCATGGTCCTGATGAGGACCAGGGGCTGGAGGAGGAGGGTCCAGTGGAACCGATTTGGAGTTAAAATGTTTGCTTTTTATTTCTTATTTTAAAAAATTGTATATAATGTATATATTTTTCTAAGGTGACTTCCTGAAATAAAATGTGACTATTCTTTGAGTTTTGATTGTTATTAATCTAATATGAACATTCCAGTGACTGATTCATTAAATTTACTCACAAACGTTTATCGACACCTACCATGTGCTTTAGGCTCTGTGCTGTAGGACTAGCAATTAATAAAAAATGCAATGAATAAAAAATGCCCTCGACCTAGGCCGCTGCCCTTGTATGAGCTCTCAGTCTGGAAGGAGGTACTCAGACTAACTAGAGTCAAATTTGCTAACTGGCCCTGTAATATAAAAACAAAGTAGAGGTTGACCCTGTCTTTGGGGTTCGGGAAGGCTTCACAGAAGATGTGGTATTAAACTGGGCCTTACAAGATCCACAACAATTGGTCAGATAATCAAGCATGGAAGAAAATGCAAAGAAGAGGGAACAACAAGTCAACCAACCCAATAAATACAGACCATGGCGCAGGAGAATTCAGCGCTGTGATGAAAACACAGTGGGTCAGATGAGATGAGATGTCCAGAAGAGGCAGGCCTTCAGAGACAGAAGGCAGGTCACTTTGCGAAGCAGTGTCAGATGGCCAGGCTTGCTTTGCAGGGAACTTCTCAGGAAAGGCCTCTGCCGAGGAGACGCGCAGAGGAGCAGAGCTGGTAGGCAGCCAGTGGGATGTGGCAGAGAGCATTCCAGGATGGGAGTCGCGGGTGCCCAGATGGAGCCTGGCGGGAGTGGTGCCTTGAGCACTGACAGTGATGAGGGCAGAGGTCAGGAGCAGGCGGCCTGATGGCATCTCCTGTGGAATTGCGTTGTCCGGCCCTCTCCATGGCCAGGCAGCCATACAGAGATGCACTGCACAGGGTGAGGCTCAGCAGGAGGCAGCTGTGAAGTGTGCAGCAGGCCACTCTGTCCCAGGCCCATCTTGACTACTGCTAGCGTGCTTTTCTGTGTCGCACAGTGGTTCAAGTTTGAGATGCTTATTAATTTGTTCAATACATACTTAGTGAGTACCTGCTATGTGCCAGTTGCCTGGCTGGGTAGGAGCTGATAATGCAAGATAAAAATATTGTCACGGCCGGGTGCGGTGGCTCACTCCTGTAATCCTAGCACTTTGGGAGGCCAAGGCAGGTGGATCACCTGAGGTCAGGAGTTCGAGACCGGCCTGGCCAACATGGCCAAATCCCATCTCTACTAAAAATACAAAAAAATTAGCTGGGCATGGTGGCATGAGCCTGTAATCCCAGCTACTCGGGAGGCTGAGGCAGGAGAATCGCTTGAACCCGGGAGGCAGAGGTTGCAGTGAGTGGAGATTGTGCCACTGCTCTCCAGCCTGAGCGACAGAGCGAGACTATCTCAAAAAAAAAAAAATTTGTCCCTGTCTTGAAAAAACTTTTGGTCCAGTGCAGGGGTGGGGAGGGCAGAGCTACAGGAAGGGCAGCTGAGCCCACAGAGTGCTCGGGGGACACAGGCGTGCCAAGCTTCAGGCACCAGTGACTCCCGTTGCACTTCCTGTGCTGCTGAGACCCAGGGGCTCCCTCAACACAGACCTCATATGAGGGGCCATCTCCTTAAACAAGAGAGTCTCATCGCCATAGACCTTACTCCTACCTCCCACAGTTTGCCCATAGTCCCACATTGGAGTTTCTCTCTGCCAAGAAGCTCCCGGTCCTCATCTCCTCCTAGGAGACTGGACCTGACCCTTGCCCAGCCTCTGCAGCCCCTCCCTGGGGGCCTGACCTTGGCTGGAGTGGGGTCCCTGCTGCCATCTCTTTAGTGCCATGGCCTGTTCAGGACTCAGCTCCTTTTCAGTGCCAGCCCGATTCCCACCCAAGCTCCACTGCTCATGACAACTGGGATGCTGCAGCTGGGACCGTCAGGGCCTGTGTTAGGCCCAGGCCCTGTGACTGCCAGGTGAAGCGTTGTTTTGTTTTGTTTCAAAATCCTGTTGTTTGAGACACAAAATAGTGAATCTTGGCAGTGTTTTATGTTTTTCCGATACCTTCTCTGCAAATCCACATTGACTATAAACTTTTGCTTGAGAAAGGCTGCCTGCTGAAAGGTGGGAAAAAGCCCTTGATGGTAAGGACACGAGTCCAATTTTCCTTCCTTGACAGAGGAAGTTTATTTCTTGACTCATGATCGTTAAAGATATTTAAATTCCAAGGAGCTCACCTTGATTTATTATGCAATTGTTTCACCAAAATTTGGTTTGGATGCAGAAGCTCCTCTATCAGAGTCTGTATCTGGAAGCCCCCAGGAAACACGTGCCCGGCACCATGAGCTTGGCTTGTGTTAAGCAGCATTTCTTCCCTTGGGTGGCAGAGGTCTGAGTCTGGAACATTCTTTTCTGTCCTTTGGACCAATAGTGTGTGACACCAAGTGCTTCGGCGTGGGAAGCAGATCCGACTCCGATCCTGTGTGCTGTGACCGGGAGCAGGGCCAGGAGGAGCTGGGCATTGGAAAGACTGCTGGAGAGTGTCTGGAGTGGGGTGGTCCACAGTCCGCTTAGTTGACTTCATGAGCCATTTCTGGATGCACTAAGCACACGATGTTGGCTCAAGTATGCTGGACTAATTGTGGCTCTCTGTGGAAATCCTTCAGGGACAGGAAGAAGGTAGTGGGGTACTCAGGAAACCTTCAGGCCCCAGGAGAACATGTTGGCCTCCCCGCTCTGGCCACCTCCTCTGTCTGCCCCTTTGTCCTGTGGCCAAACTTCTCCAGGGAGCCGTGTGTGTGTTTAACCTCACCTGTCACATGCCTCTATTTGTCATCTGCTGGCATTTGTCCCCACTGTGCTACCAGATATATTTTCTCTGTGATCACCAGTGACCTCCTTCCCAACCCACTGTTTGCAGCCTGTGGATTGGGAAGGATGCAACCAGGACAATTAGTTTTGTGGATTCAGTTAAAGTCAATAGAAGTCAGGTGAGGGCTCACAGGCTGAGAGCTTGAGTGCAGGAGCCTCGGGGAGGCCCTGGCTTCTGTGTTGCACGTTCATCTGGCTTGGCTGCCTTGGCCTGTCCCGTAGTCCAGGGCCTCACCTGACTGGTGTGAGGATGGAGCCCCACAGATACTGCCTGACCCCAGGGCCTGGCCCAGCTGCCCTCATGTGACGCCAGGTGTTGGTGGGCATTCCTTACAGTTTGTACCTGTAAGAAGGGGTCTGTGGGACAGCTTCTGTTTCCTCTTTGGCCTCAGCTCTATGTTAGCAGCTGGAATGGTTGGTATACATTTTCCTCTTAAATCTATGGAGTTTCCCAAGGTACTTCTAAGCATGACATTTTTTAGATTTTGAGAGAACAGCGGCCTCATGGTTTATTTGAATGAATTCATCATGTAATTTTTATACCCCATAACTTAGTAATTAAGTATTTTTATGCTTCACATATGCCTGAGAAATGAAGGCTGAGTGAGGGTGTTCATGTTTATGACACACAAAGACCTGGACGTGTCTGCATGAGGAAAGCATGAGGCATGTGGCAGCTCACTTTCCATTCCTGAGAGCTGGATACTGAACTCCATATATGAAGCCCAGATTTCCTAGCCCCTGTTTCTGAAATGCATGAGTATGGTGATTCTTCTTTGGGAAGTGAGTAATTTTCAAATGGCCTTGGCTTCTTCCTTCTTTCTTCTTTAAATTTCTTCTTCTTATTTTAGATCTGCACATTCATTGCAACCTTCTTCTGGTGATGAAATATCTACTAATGTATCTGTCCAGCTTTACAATGGAGAAAGTCAGCAACTAATCATTAAATTGGAAAATATTGGAATGGAACCATTGGAGAAACTGGAGGTCACCTCGAAAGTTCTCACCACTAAAGGTAGGTATTGTAAGCAGCTTTGACCCTGGGAATGTTTGTATTGTTTACTTGTAGAAGAGATACTTTAAATTCTCAGTTTTCAGAGAATCTAAAAACTTCTTTGTGGATTCAGTTGAAGTCAGTAGAAGTCAGGCGAGGGCTTACAGGCTGAGAGCTTGAGTGCAGGAGCCTTGGGGAGGCTTGGTGCCATCATGACAGTGGGAAACCAGTTCTTCATGAAAGACACACAGCAGAAGACAGTGGGACCGAGCACACACCTCTGTACCCCCAGTGCCCTTTCCCAGACCTCAGCATCCATCAGCTACTCAGCAGAACTATTTCTTCAATGAATGGGAGAGAAGCATTAGCAGGCCTGGAAAGAGTCTGTTTGGGATCCAACCCATCATGCATCCAGCTCGTGTAGTTTGGGGTCAGGGGACCTGTGCTGAAGTTTGGACTTCACCATTTACTAGCTATTTGTCCTTGGGGAACTGTTACTCCTGTGCCTCGATTTCCTCTTGGATAAATAGGGGGGGTAGTATTTAGCACATACATTACAAGAGTGAACTAGGGAGGTCGTGTTTGGCAGGACACCTGGTGTGTCAGAGGCTGGCGAGTGCATTGATCAAAGGGGAATGTATTGTATAGGAGGAGGGAAAAGTATCAAGAGTAATATGTGTAAATAAAACCGGGTAATTTAATACAGTTAGAGAAATTGTAGGCTAGTGAGACCAGACAGAGAATGAAAAAGGGAAAGCAAGTTAGCAGGACTTTGGGGTGTTTTATGTGCTTTTGACGTATGGGTGAGATGAACCAGGCATACAAGGGGAGTTTGACTGGTTCTGGTTAAGTTTCCAGTAGATGATGTACTAATCACATGTTACTTCCTGGCAGAGGGCTCCCTCCCCATGCTAATGACATTATAATGCGACAAACCAAGTTTCTTAGAGGTAGAGCCACAGACCCTCTGGTTAGTTCCAGCTTGAGGGAAGGTCCAGGGCTGAGCTTGGGAGAATTTGCAGGCAAAGAATTATGTCATGAGAGAATGAGTTTGGAGTGTGTAAGAAAGGGTTAATTTGGGCTTGTACCGCTCTGGAGAATTTCAGGGTATCTTGTATTCCCATATTTCTTCCACTGATTTTGATAGAAATCTGTGTCTGTAGGAAGTAAAGCACGAAGCTTTGCGTCCGCATTGTCTAACCCATTCTCCCGGTCCGTGTCTGCCCTGGAAGGAGCCTTGCCCTGGGGAGGGACCCAGGCTTGTCCTCTAGTGATTTATGTGCATGGTCACGGGGCTGGAGCCGTGGGGCAGCCCACCTTGTGTTCTTGCTCAGGAGGGCCGGGTGTGCCCAGAGCAGGGAGTGGGCATGGAGCAGGAAGTCACCTGTAGCTTGTTGGTGCACACTCATTTTATATTTTCTTGTCTTGAATCCTTCCCTTTTCTGTGGGTTTTTTTTTTCCTTTTTCCTTTCAGTGCTAGTCACACAACATGGAATAACAAGTGTATTTTTTATTGAGTGAGGCCATAAGTGGCAAATTGTTATATGCTAAATAGTTATTAAAAATGCAAGTCTGATGTGTTCGTCTTGCTCCCTTGTCCCTGAGGAGTGGTTCTTGCATTCATCTTAGGCTTCGCTTCAGCCCCAAGGAGATCACAGGGAGGTGGTCCCATCCCCTGGGGAGCCGGGGCCCAGTACAGAACCTGCTGGCAGTTGTTAATTTGGCATGGTTTCTGCATAAAGATGGCAGAAGAGTAGCATTTTTATTCTACTCTTTCTCTTGAAATCTCCCCCGAACAACAAAGTGTGAAGAAACAGTGAAAATAAAACCATTCCCTGTGAAACAAGGAAATCATTTCAACCCCCCGTAACAAAGCATCGGCCACAGGTGTCGTGGAAACTGGGTTAGAGGGAGGGCGAGAGCGGAAGTGGGACTCTGGGAGGACTAAGGAAAAGCTGTTCCCCGAGTAGGCAACGCAGCACCCAAAAGTACCCCAACAATGAAAGCCAGGCAGAGGGGCCTGGGCAGATGCCTGGAGCAGCAGGAATGCCGAGGGGTTACCTTTTCTGTGCCAGGCCTTTGGCCAAGAAAGGGGAGGCCTGGGGTGGGAGGGGAAGGAGGCATTGGAGCTCACTGATCACACAACCTGTGTGTGAAAGGCTTCACTGCAAGCCTCACCTGCATTTTCAATAACAAAAACACGGGCGGCCTGTCTCTAGGATAAGGGAACTAGTGGCATAGCAGCCCAAGCCGAGCTGGATCACAGCTGTCGGTGGCCAGGTCCCTCCTTGTGTCACTCCGGGGCCAGGCAGGAGACAGGCCACACCAGAACAGAAAGAATCGCTATGAACAATGGCTGACAGGTGCAGAGTGTTTGAGAGGCAAAGATAATGTAAAGCAACAGGAAGTGCGAGGAGGGAGGCAGCTCCTGCCCTGGGCTGGCACAGCCTGTGAAGAGGTTGGACGAGTGTGGCCCAGAAGTTGAGAGGAAGTACCCAGGAGCGGCAACTGAGACCTCAGAGGAGTGTCCCGGCTCCGGTGCTGGAGTCTCAGCTCGGGGCACCCAGACCTCTGGGGAGGGCACTGTCTGGCCCTACTGTTCTGTAAAATAACACTAAGAATGGTACCTACATCTCATTGATTTAACTGAGAATTAAATGAGATAATATGTGTGAAGCACTTGAGACAGTGCTTGGCATGTAAGCACTCAGATTTGTTCTCACACAAGTTACTACTTGCTGTGGTTTAGGTGTGTGTCCTCTCCACCTCTCATGTTGAAGTATCATCCCCAGTGTTGGAGGGGGGTCTGGTGGGGGGTTTTGGGTCATGGGGGTGGATCCCTGATGAATGGCTGGGTGCTCGTCTCATGGGAATGAATGAGTTTTCACTCTGTTAGTTCTCATTAGTGCTGGTTGTTCGAAAGAGCCTGGTGCCTCCTCCCCTCTCCCCTCACTGTGTGACTGCCTGCTCCCGCTTTGCCCTCTTCTGCCATGAATGGAAGCTTCCTCAGGCCCTCACCAGAAGCAGAGGCCAGCTCCGTGCTTGTACAGGATGTGGAACTATGGGCCCAAATAAAACCTCTTCTCCCTGTAAATTAGCCAGCCTCAGGTATTCCTTTATAGCAATGCAAAGTGAATTAATACACTGCTACTTTTGCCACTACTGCCACCACAACCACCGGCATCACCGCTGCCACCACCACCATCACCATCACTACCACTGCCATCACCAGCACCACCATCACTACCATCACCACCATCACCATCACCATTATCACCATCGCCACCATCACCATCATCACCACCACCCTCACTACCACCACTCTCTCCACTGTGACCACCAAAACCACCATCACCACTATAACCACCACAACCACCACTGTCACAACTGCCACCACCATCGTCACCACCACAAACACCACCCCAACCCCCACCCCCACCACTACCACTATCAACACAACCACCACCCTCACCACTGCCACCATCACCACCATAACCACCACCACTATAACCACTGCCATCACTGCTACCACCATCACCATCACCATCGCCACCATCACCATTGCCACCACCACAATCACCTCATCATCAACACAACCACCACCATCATCACCATCACTACCATAACCACCACAACCACCACCATTACCACTGCCACCATCACCCGTCACCACCATCACTACCACCACCACCACCACCATTACTGCCATCCTCACAAGCACCATCACCATCACTGCTGCTACCACTACCACCATCACTACCACCACCACCACTGCCACTATTGCTATTGCCACAGACACCACCACTTTGTAGAGTTGTCATGAGGATTGAAGTTTTGTGCATCAGATGTCTAGCCACTTCTCTGCCTAAGGCTACCACTGTTTGACTTCTAATGGCATAGATTCATTTCACCTGCCTTTACTTGGTGTTTGCACTCATGTTATTCATTCTTGAGATGAGAGTGGTGAGAGTGAGGTATATAATGGTGTAGCATTCGGGTTTCAATTTGCTTTTCCCCGATGATTGGTGAAGTTGAGCACTTTTCCAATGTTCTGGCCACTCGTATATCCTCTTTTGTATGAGGACTTTGCCCTTTTTTCCCCCATTGGTTGTCTTCTCTCTCTCTGTCTCTATCTCTGTTTCTCCCTCCCCTTCCCCATCTCTCCTGACTTGGAGGACTTCTTTATGTATACCCTTGGTGTGAGCTCTTTGTTGGACGCGTGGCGTGACCATCCTCTCCCATACTATGATTTGTTTGCCTTTACCTCTTAGTGGTGGCTTTGGATGAACAGAAGTTCTTAACTTTAATGTGGTTCATTTAATCATTTTTTCTTTTAAAAATGTTGTTTATTTGTGTCTTATTTTAAAAACTTTGTATAGTCTTTGAGAAATTTAATGATACTACCTTAATTTCATGCTTTCCTACCCACCCTCCTTTTGGGACCAATTTGGGTGAGGTAGAAAGTGCTTCTCTGGCATAAAATCCTTCATCTGGTACTCTGAACTTAATTAATTGGTTATAGAGTTTGGTTGATACTTGAACAAGCAAGCTAATATTGAATTACAGAAAATTACAGTCTACGTGGCAAACTTTTCTCACATCTCCTGTAATTTAACTTGCCCTCCCAGCTTAGCAACTGGAAAACATTTTTTCCTTACCTCAAATAAACTCTGTGGTAATCGTGTGCCCATTATTCATTACAAAATCCCCCTTTCTTTCTGAAGCAAAAGTCTTCACCTGCTTCTGTCTTCAGAAATCCATGAGTGGCTGCTGTCGCCCTGGCCCCCGCGGCCCTGTGTGGCCCAGCCTCTGCCCCATGCTTGGCTTCATCTATGGCCACCTCTCCTCTTCAGCTGGAGTCGCATTGCTGTCAGGAGCTAATTTTGGCTTCCTGGATGCTCCTGCCATCTGCCATAGACACACCCTTTCCTCCCCGGGCACGCCATGCTGACTTCTCCCACCCCTCCTGCCTCCTCAGCTCCGGAGCATTTATCCTCTGGGCTCTGGCTTGGCTGCCCTTTCTGGAAAGCCTGCCTAAGCCTGGGCTCCTGGGTCTCCTTTGCTGCCTCAGGCTGCTCTGACTTAGTGCCACAGGAGGTCTTGCCACTGTGTATGGTGATGGCTTCTTTATTGGTCTCTTTCTCTAATCAGGGTATGGTCTCTCCAAGGCAGTGACTGGGTTTTCTCTTCTATTTCCAGGGCCTGGCACATAGCAGGTGCTCAGTACCGAGTAATTGGTGACGGAAAGACATTTGGTGGCATGGCCCTATCAGCCGCATTTCGAGAATGAGGCTGATGGGAGCATGCCTTTCTCTCCTGTTGGCTGAGTGGAGGACGTAGACAAGCGTGTGGGAACCACTGTGCGATTTTGAATGTGCGGCACGGCTCTGCCTTAGATGCTCCCCTCTCCACGCCTGCTCTGTGCAGGTCACTGCCTCTGCTGCTCTACCTTAGACACCGCCCCCTTCCCGGAGAGGCCTTCCTCTGCTTCTTGGTCATCTGAGGTCTCATCTCAAGGTCCAGCTTCTGTCCCACCTTTCTAGGCTACCTTAGCCTTTGGTGTTTCTCTTTTTTTTTTTGAGATGGAGTCTCGCTCTGTTGCCCAGGCTGGAGTGCAGTGGCGTGGTCTTGGCTTGCTGCAACCTCCGCCTCCCAGGTTCAAGAGATTCTCCTGCCTCAGCCTCCTGAGTAACTGGGATTACAGGTGCCTGCCACCATGCCTGGCTAATTTTTTGTATTTTTAGTAGAGATGTACTTTCACCAAGTTGGCCAGGCTGGTCTTGAACTCCTGACCTCAAGTGATCCATCCACCTTGGCCTTCCAAAGTGCTGGGATTACAGGCACGAGCGACCGTGCCCGACCATCCTTGGTGTTCCTTATGTCTCTGACTTCATCTGGAACTTGTTCTGTATCAACCATCATTCCATCCTCAAACTTTTATTATAAGAATACTGAACCATGCAGAAGAGTTGAAAGAATTTTATAGCAAACACTTACATACAAACCATCTAGGTACTGTAATGAACATTTTGTTATATTTGCCTTATTACATATCTATCCAGCCTCCTATCCATCCTTTAATCCATCTTATTTATTTATTTATTTATTTATTTATTTATTTATTTTATTTTATTTTTTGAGACAGAGTCTTGCTCTGTCACCCAGGCTGGAGTGCAGTGGTGCGATCTTGGCTCACTGCAAACTCCGCCTCCCGGGTTCACGCCATTCTCCTGCCTCAGCCTCCCGAGTAGCTGGGACTCCAGGCACCTGCCACCACGCCCAGCTAATTTTTTGTATTTTTAGTAGAGACAGGGTTTCACCGTGTTAGCCAGGATGGTCTTGATCTCCTGACCTCGTGATCTGCCCGCCTCAGTCTCCCAAAGTGCTGGGATTACAGGCATGAGCCACTGCACCTGGCCAAATCCATCTTATTTTTTTTTAATGCAGTTTAAAGTAAGTTGCAGTTTTCAGTATATTTTACCCCTAAATGCTGTAGCACATGTACCATTAACTAGAGTTCACTTTTTTTTGGTAAAATACATGTACAGTGACATGTGCAAATCTCGTGTACCATTTAGTGAGGTTTAGAAATACATGGATCTGTCTAACGCAAACCCTTATCAGGATATAGAACGTTTCCGCCACCCCAGAAAATTCCCACATGTTCCTTCCCAGCCAATCCCTGCCCCAGCCCCGGGGCAAGCCACACTTTCCATTTACCTGGTCGGCCTAGAGAGCACTTCCAAGCGTTGATGTAGAAGGTGGGGAGCACTGTGGCAGCGGGACAGAATTCCAAGGGAGATGCTTTTGGCGGTGGTTCATGCCGAGACCGTCAACATGGTCGTCTTCTCTCCCCAGCCCTCAAGTGTAGTCACCCGTCATGCCTTGCCTACACTTCGTCTGTCTTTGTTATTGTGTGGTTTTCTGTGGTTCTCTCCAGTCGGGTCCCCAGTCAGTCTGAGGATGCGCAGGGCACATAGGGCCACCCTGGCTTTATGCACAGGGAAAGTGAAAGCAGAAGAGGTGGGTGGCCAGCCTCAGGTCACAGGTCAGCTGCACGAGGAGCCGGCATAAAAACAAAGGCCTCCTCCTTCCCAGCTCTTGTGACTTTACCTGTAATCATGATAAACGTAAATAGACGGCATGGTAGAGCCATTTTCAAAGCAACAGGGTTACACGTGAAAAATGAAAGCTATCATTCTTTTTTAATTCTTGTTCCAAGCTGCGGTACATTTACATGTGGAATTACATTAATGAAAACAAACCATCTGTTTCCAAAATACACAAAGGGAGTAATTCCTGTCACTTTAGTCCTACAGCACCAAAAGCTGCCAGCATGAATGAACAGAGGACCTGCTCAGAGGACATGGGAGTATGAGCAGAAGCCTCTGGTGGTGGGGAGGGTGAGGGAGGCGGAGCAGAGACAGTATAGGACTCGGTTATGGATGTTAACTATAGGAGAAAGTATAGGATTTGGTTGTGGATGTTAACTATAGGAGACAGCATAGGACTTGGTTGTGGATTGATTTTTATTTTTAAGTTATCCTTATTCTGAGCCCATTGAGCTTAGCTTCTTTAACTGTCTCTAAAATGTCTGCTGTATAAAATTTTGCCACACGAGATGAAAAACCCCCTTCTTTGGGTTCCCATATGATTCTCTTTGTACTTTGATAGAGTTATTTTATATCTCAGTACTACGAATAGCTTTTACTCAGCTGGGTGTGGTGGCTCACGCCTGTAATTCCAGCACTTTGGGAGGCCGAGGCAGGTGGATCACAAGGCCAGGAGTTCAAGACCAGCCTGGCCAATATGGTGAAACCCCATCTCTACTAAAAAATACAAAAATTGGCTGTGCTTGGTGGTGGGCACCTGTAATCCCAGCTACTTGAGAGGCTGAGGCAGGAGAATCGCTTGAACCCAGGAGGCAGAGGTTGCTGTGAGCTGAGATCGTGCCATTGCACTGCAGCCTGGGTGACAGAGTGAGACTCCATCTCAAACAACAACAACAACAACAACGAAAAACCCCAAAAGAATAGCTTTTACTCTTAGCGCTCTCCACATACCAGGTGAGTGGTACTTCATGGAGTTTTTTCTGATGAAATAATCACACCAAGTGTAAGAGGTCTTTTTGGGTGGGCGGTGGTGGTCGTCTGTTTATTTCACTGCTGCATCCTTAGCAGCTAAGAACTAAGAGCAATGCTTGCCGCATAGTGAGTGCTTACGTAGTATTGACACTCTTACCCGCTGCATAGGGTTGTGGTGAGCGTGAAATGTTAACGCAGGATGGGGAAAGCTCTTGGGACAACGTCGAGCTTGTTTGCTTTACAGATAGCAGTTGTTCTTGGTGTGTGCATCATTTCTGCAGACCACGTTTGCATGCCGGTGCCTGGTGCCTGCAGGAGCCTGCCTGTGGACCCTACAAATTGTCCTTCCCCTTTTCCTTTTCCTTCCATCCCTGACACCTGGGAGGCACCAAGAGTCCCATGAGGGGCCCCCTCTAGTCTCTGCACACATCTTCACTCCCTCAGAATAAACCGCTTTTTCTTCAGACATCAATCTTCAGATAAAGAAGTTTCTTGCTTTGTTTTCTCCTCTCATCTTCGCTTTCCTGACTTATTTTAATTCTTACTATTACAGACTCCCTTTAAAATCCCCTGCATTTTAAGTTTATGGTAAAGATCCATGATATTAAGGGTCAGACAGACCTTTGTGGGTCTCTCAGGGGTCTAGACTGTCGTTGGGGCTTTTATGGGGTGAGTGTGTCCCTGTGTTCACAAATTCCTAACACAGAGATGAGTGGGTTTTTTTTTGTTGTTGTTGAGATGGAGTCTCGCTCTGTCGCCCAGGCTGGAGTGCAGTGGCGCGATCTCGGCTCACTGCAAGCTCCGCCTCCCGGGTTCACACCATTCTCCTGCCTCAGCCTCCCGAGTAGCTGGGACTACAGGCACCCACCACCACGCCCGGCTAATGTTTTTGTATTTTTTAGTAGAGATGGGTTTGCACCATGTTAGCCAGGATAGTCTCTGTCTCCTGACCTCGTAATCCACCCGCCTTGGCCTCCCAAAGTGCTGGGATTACAGGCATGAGCCACTGCACCCGGCCACAGAGATGAGTTTATAACCCACCCCATTTCTGGACAAGGAGGGTCTAGCGATGTCATGTAATTCTTCTAGTTTGAATTCACGTGTAAGCAAGTTTTTTTTTTTTTTGTCTTGTTAGACAGAGTCTCACTCTGTCGCCCAGGCTGGAGTGCAGTGGTACAACCTCGGCTCACTGCAACCTCCACCTCCCAGGTTTAAGCGATTCTCCTGCCTTAGCGTTCCAAGTAGCTGGGACTCCAGGTATGAGCCACCACACCCGGCTAATTTTTTTCTTTTGTATTTTTAGTAGAGGCAGAGTTTCACCATGTTGGCCAGGCTGGTCTTGAACTCCTAAGCCCAAATACTCTGTCCGCCTCAGCCTCCCAAAGTCCTGTATTACAGGCGTGACCCACCATGCCTGGCCACTTGTAAGCAAGTTTTTATGTGTAGATTGTGAAAGAGGTGAACTCTTGCTTTTGCTTAGTCATAGATTTCATTGTAATAAAGCTGAAATTAAGAAACATTGACTATATTAGCTTTTCCAGAAATGTTCACAGATATGTGTATATGAGTGTGATACAAATAGAAACATATACATACCTGTATACATAAATGCACGTTCACACCGCTTAATTTCTTCATTCTTCTGTTTAATATTTTAACAAAAAATGATGGCTCCGTATTGTTATAATTAAAAATTCATAAATGTTTTGAGGCGAGATTCTCTTTATTGCTTTTCTCATGAATGTTGTACCACAGCATCCCTGGAGTTAGGAGCTAATATTAATGGCTTCTTACATGTCTCAAGTTCACAGCGGCAGTAATTCCTCTGTTATTATCAACGTAAAGTAACCAATTTCACCTGATAGCCCTTACCTAAATGCTAGCATTTAAATAATGACTATTATTTCTGAAATGAAATTTCACAGGGGAAAGAAATTGGTGACAGATGTTCCACTGTTAATCGATGGCTCTCTTGTTATTCCTGCAGCATATTACTGTGTAGGATTCTGCAGAGCCCCTTCAGACACCCAGTTCTGTGCCACAGGAAGGATGGGGAAAACAGGCCCACTTTTGAGGTGCAAACACATATTAAATCGGACGACCAAGCTATTCAGCTTTCCATAGTGCTGTGGCTATAGAAAAATCATCTCTGCACTGTGAATTTCCTCTCTTATTTCTTAGCTATAAATACCTTGGTTGGTTGGCATCAGAGGGGAATAAGCTGTTCCCATGTGTGTGGATTTGCTTGTTATTTGAATACGTCACTCTTAAGCTACAGAACTTAATACACAAATAAGCAGTGTGGTTAGACATCTTCTGAGCATACCTTATGCTTGGAAATAGTAGCATTCTGAAGGTGGGACTTTGAACATTCTTCAGTTACTGGCCTGGGCGCGGCCTGGGGTGGCAGCGTCGAATCTCTTGCACTCTGCTGCTTCTGTGTATGTGGAATAGGCCGGCCTGTTGCCCTCCTGGTTTCTGTGTGGTTTTCCTCTCCCTTTCGTGGGTGTTGCTGTTGCTCGTTGCCTCTGTCGCTTCGGGTTGTCCAGCACAGTCTCTGTTCAGCTGGCGTGATGACGAGAACACGGGTTTTGGCGTCTCGTATTGTTTAGCTTTATGACTTGTCTTGAGCAAGTTGACTGAGTGCTGGAGGCTTGGTGTTCTCGTCTGGATACTTACCAGGATCCAGTCCCTCTCTCACGTGGTCATCCCAGAACACACGCTCCTGTCTCTGGAGGACCTAACACAGTGCTTAGCACAGGGTGGGTGGGGTAGGAGTAGCTGTTTAGTTGCAGTCCCAAGACTGATGGTTTGGCTTCCTTGGTCTGCCAGGGCCTGGAAAACCAGAACATCCAAATTGTTAAGGCTGACTTGAAATAAGCAAAGGCATGCCCCGCTTGAGGAAGTCAGGTGCCTTTGTCTACATTTCCTGGGTCCATCTCTCTCTCTCCCCTGCCCTCCCCCTCCGCTCTCTCTCTCTCTCCCTTCCCCCTCCCCCTCCTCTCTCTCTCTTCTTTCCCCCGCCCCGTTTTTTTTCTAGGATGATTCAGAAACTGTCTTAGCTTTCCCCTTGTTCTCAGACTTTCTGGGATGGTGAAATGTAACAATTCCCCGGGTGAATAAAGGTATACTTTCATTAAAACCATAGCAAATCCAAACCAGAAGCCATTTAGTAGAGTCAGCATAAGGCCTGCTCATAACACATGGAAGGAAGCCGGGAAAGCAAGAGTGTAAGAAGCACCTTGGGAGGCCATGGGGAGCACCTGGGAAAGGCAAGAGTGCGAGAAGCACCTTGGGAGGCCACAGGCAGCGCTGACGGGGAGGAGACGATTGGCTCCTGCTGACAAAGGGAAACCTGTTACTCGTGCAATTCTCAGGACCCGAGGGGTTCGGTAATGAGCTGGCTGAAGTGCCATATGAGAGCTACCCACCCTGCTGGGCTTTCTAACTTTCTGGTCTGGTCTGTTTCCGAGGTGCTTTTATTAGGCTATTTTTACATAATTCTTTTCTTAAAAATAATCACGGCAAGGCAGGGCAAAATTTTAGAAATCAGTCTCGGAGAAAAGTGGCTTCTACTTCTTGGTATTGTCATAGAGTGGAGTGTCTTGGGGAGCGGGGGAAAGGATTCAGTTCCTCTGATCTCTGCTTCAGTTTTCACATCAAGTCCCACTTGCATATCTCGGCGTGGACAGAGGTAGAGATGGAGCTGAGGACAGCTGCAGCAGCCGGCTCCGGGTAGCCAGGCCAGCAGACTAGTCGGAAGCCTCTAGGTCAGGCCTCCCTCAATTTTCAAGTTACTTATGATGGTCAACGTTATAATATTTAGGATCAGATGGACTTTTGTTAGAGTCCTGGCTTTGCCACCTACTGGCTGGGTGACCTGGACCAAGTTACTTGTGTCTGTGACCATTGTCCCCTCCTAGTGGAGCTGGCACTCCATGGCTCTTCTGGTTGTTATACTACATGCAAGGCACTTAATACAGTACCTGGCATTAGTTAGAGCTTGGTAAATCCTAGTTCCTCCTGTAAGGTACTGTTATCTTTGATGCTGCTGCCATTGTCACCTTATAAAAATGTCAACTCATTTGTCACCTTTCTAAAACATGTTGAAATTATTTTCCTATCCCTAGTTTCTTAGCCCAGCGTTCAGGGAAATCCATCCCATGGCTGGCTGCCCACCTTTTTCCTTCCCTTTCTTTCTTGCACATTTCCCCAGTACCCACTGTGCTTCAGGTGTTGTGCCTTGGGGAGCAGGACCACAGTCATCCCTGTCCTCCCGGAGCTCTGAGAGTAATGGGAGGCTCAATGGTAAACAGGTGCAAGGTGTCCCGTGATAGCAGTGGGCAGGGCGGGGGCAGCAGAGGGATCGTCCTCTCTGCTCTTTTTTGGAGTGGTTGCTCCCTCTGGTGCTCACCTGTCTGTCTTCATGGCTGCCAGCTGCTCTTGCCTTTGCTGGACTCCTCAGCAGCCCGTACTGAGCACTTCCTACATGGTGGCCATCGTATCGGGCACTGGGGACACCGGGCTGAGTGCTACCGAGGGCTCTGCCCTGGGGAGTGCAGAATGTTCTGCCACAGCCCTTGTGCTGCAGCTGTCTTTGAACACACTTTTATGTATTTGGAACTTTGCTCACTCCCAGATGTCCTCTGTGCATCCCCAAGTCTGTCCCTCATTTGCAGTTCCGTCCACTGCCACCTCCTGAAAGCTTTCCCGAGCCCTTCAAGTAGAATTAATTATGCCACTTCTACCGTCCATTGCCTTGCTTATATTCTGTTACAATAACACTTACCTCACTTGGCTTTGTATTATTCAACAATCAAACATTTACATCACATTGACATGCCAGTCACCGTGCAGGCACATGAATAATGCATGAACCCTGTCCTGAGAGCTCACGGCTCAGTGTAGGAGGCAGACATGTGCACTGAATTGAACTGAATTCCGACTGCACATCCTGTATTATTTCTACTGCATGTTGACTAACCACAGTGAGTGAATTTACTGGTGTGTCTCCTAGAAAGACATTGAAATTCCTGAATGACTAAAAGTCATTCAACTTGCTGCCCCCCCCCACCGTATACACAATTGCAGCGGCTTTCTGGTACGGTTCAGCATTTTACACATTTCTAGGGTCACGCTGGAGAAGTTTACAAAATAAGCTGATCTTAAGACAAAGTGAAATGCCTTTTAATCAGTTCTGTGAGACCTGTCATGTTCAACGCCTCGGGAGCATGGATGGGAAATAAAGAACTCAGGGAGGGCTGAGGGGATGAAGGTGTCTGGCCTGCCACTTGGGAGCTCCTGAAAATCAAACTCCCACTTAGTTGTTTGGGGTCTTTGGTATGTCACGTCTCTGTAAAAAAAAATGAGGAAAAAAGTGCACTTCTTAAAATAGAACTACAGCATGATTTCACAGGCTTTCAGGATTAAGCCAGTGAACTTACTAAGGGGTAGGTTGTAGAGCAGAGTGTTGAATCCTGGCTATACCCACTTCTGCATGGCCTGAGTAGCTTCCCTAAAATGGGTGTGATAGCAGGACCTATTCAGAGAATCAGTGTGTGGATTTAATGAGACAATAGACGTACAGGTCTTAGTACCTGTTTTACGGGAGTACTCCATAGAGCTTAGATGGCTGGTGATGGTGATTTAAGTAACAGTAACTAGTATGCTAAATGTTTGTCTCCTCCCCCTTCTCTTCCTTCCAGGTTGTGTTGGGCAGGTGGTATTTCTTTAGTTTCATGTCTCCATTACAAGCCACTCCTCCTGATCTGGGTGTCTGACGCATCCTGCAGCCATGACTATGGGGAAGCCTGGTGGGCGGGCATTCACAGTCCATTTTGACAGGGTTCGTCTCTCAGTTGAAGCACGTTTAAGAAAAGAAAAGCCATCCCAACAGGCAAGAATAGTGCTATAATTATAGTTTTTGAATTTAGTTGTACACTCCTGATACGCTAGACTGAGAGCTGAAAGAATGAGATATTTTATAGAGGTCTGGGACCCTAGCAGGTTCACCTTTTACTTCCAGCTACTAGGACAGCAAGTCTTATTTCAGTTATATGCTACCCTGGCTTGGGCAATTAATTCAGCAAGCAGTTGTTGAACCTGTTCTATGTGTAATGGTATTATAAACTTTACAGAAATTTTCAGATAGAGAGAAGCCTGATCTCTCATCTGGTCCCAGCTTTCAGGGGCTTCTCCTGTAGCCCCGATACCATTTCTTCCTACAATCAGAGACAACCTCCCCAGAGGGCAGGGGCTACATCTTCTTTATCTCTGTCCCCAGAACCTAGCATAGCGCCTGCCATGAGGATATTTTAAGGCTGTGCAGTAAGTGTCCATTGAATGAATGAAATGGGCAGCAATAGAATGTAAAAACCAAGTCTCATCACAGTGCTGCAGAGCAGACAGAGGACTTTCATGCACATGACCTAGGCGGGTTCTGTGTGCCAGGTGCCGCAGAAAGTCCTTATGCTGTCTCATTCTGTCTCCACATCACCTCTAACATGGTCTCCATGTACTGACAGGGCGTCTTGGGATGACAGAGGACATGTGACTGCCCATGTTCAAAGAGCTGGTAAGATGGCAGTATTAGGACCCAGATTCACGTGTGTCTGACCCTAGAGCTCATGTGCTTGGCCATTATATTTTCTTTTCTGCCATATCTTTTCAAAGTACTCTCTCCCTTCACCTTCATGAGCCTCTCCTTGTGTGTGCTTTCCGCCTGGTGATGATGCTGGTTGGGTTCATGGGTTCAGATAAGGGGTGAGAGGCAGATTGGTCTTTGCCAGTGCTGGATCTGACTCTTGGTTCTGTTACTTATTAGCTGTTGGGCTTTGGGTAAGTTGCTTAAACTCTCTGACTTTTAGTTGCCTCTTTAATACACATGTGGACAATGTAGCTGTAATGTGAAGTCAGAAGATAGGACTTAATAGATGGTTGTTTCAGTTATTGTCTTGTGTTCTCCTTCCTCCTTCCTCCAGAGTGGCCCTTCCATGCTATGTTAGCACAGGTAGTAGAAAGGAGAGGTAGAACTTACCTAATTAGTTTGCACTAGTGGTTTTCATTAGCCTGGGCAAATTTTTTCTAGGCATTTGATCACCTTCCAATTTGCATGGCTGCGACAGAGTTCATCCACCACCTCAGAGAACTTTATTCAGCTGGCAGAGTTGAGTCTGGGGACTTCAACAGTGATAAACATGCCCCATTTGATTGTTGTCCTTCTCACCAGTTCACATGATTCCCTGGCCCTCTTGTAGGACACCATAGAAAGCATCACCATTGGCTCAGAACCCACTTCACTCTCGAGCCACGGGCCTTAGCAAGATCAGTCTTGCACGTGGATTTGCAGGCCAGATCCGTGGGGCTTCTCTCTATACTAAATTGGAGGGTGGTGGTAGGGTGGTGAGCTTCGACTCGAGTGAAATGTTAGCATGGTTTTATATCCGTGCATGTGTGTGTATAGGTGTGAGCGTGTATATGTTTGTTTATAAAAGCGTAATGTATACTTATCGTCAAAAATTCAAAAAAATATAAAACAATTTGAAACTACCCATGATCTCATGACTCAAGGACAACCAATAAGAGCAGATAGGCAGGTCTTCGTTTTCTTTTTCGATGTCAGTGTTTTCATGTAGTTGGAATTAATCGTATATTCACTGTGGTATTCCGCTTTTTTCACATAGCTCTTTTCCGTCTGTTCTAAGCGTGATGTCTGGGCACACGTGTGTGTTCTGCCTCATGCACTGTTGAGTGCCTGCTGGTGGCCAGGCCCTGTGAGCCATTGCATGGGAAGGGGTGCTGATGGCAGCTAACCCTAACGTGCACTCACTGAATGCCAGGGACAGGGTTAGACACTCTCAGGAATCACTTCGTCCACACAGCTCTGATAAAGGGTTGTGAAGATTGTCCGGTTAGGAGAAGGAAACTGGGGCTTGAGGAGTGGGAGGAATAACTAGCATTGGTTGAGTACTTATTCTAAGCTGGGCGCTATTGTAAGCATTTGACTTCCGTCAACTTGTTGATTCTGCATGACGACCCATTTTATAGATGAGTAAACTAAGATACACAGAACTTTGGTAACTTATCGAAGGATAGCCGGCCGGAGCCAGGATCTGAACCCAGGGCCCTTTGTCCTGAAGCTGGGGTTTGTAACTAGCACACACCCTGCCTCCCAAGGTGGTGAGGTTCAAAGGCAAGGTCTGGTCCCTGCCTTCCGTTTTTGACCGTTTGGTGGAAGAATGAGCTGCTTGGTACCTGGATGGTGTTCCACTAGAGGCGTGTGTGTTGGAGCCCAGAGCAGTGATGTGGGATGGGAAGGCATCACAGGAAAGGAGCCTCCAAGTTGGCTTGTGAAGGACGCATAGAGTTTCTGTATTTGGGAAAGTGAGCGGGGCATTCCTGGCAGAGGGAGTGGTGTGTGCAGGCGGGTAACTAGGGCACAGGGGTGAAGAGCGGGGAAGGAGAGCAGCCGTGAGAGGGGATTCCTGGGTGCCCATCCCACGATGTTGCTGTTATGTGCCATTGCAGCCGGAGATGAGCCTGAGAGCCCTCTGCTGCTTCCTCCGCGGGGTGGGCTGAGCTGCCACAGGGCAGGACCCAAAGGGGCGGCTGGTTCTTGGGGCCCGTGTTTCAGAAATGGTCTGACAGGACACTTGGGAGGGGAGGCTCTTACAGGGCCTCAGTATCTCAGCTGTATTGGCGGTTCACGGGGAGGTTGGCCAGGACCCCTGCAGCCCTGGGATAGGCCATTTAAAGAAGTTGGCACACACTTCCAATGTTCTTGAGGCCTTGGGCCCTGGCCCCCAGCAAGCAGGCCCCATTGGTTTTCTGCACTGGTTTCATGTGGCCTGGCCTCTCTTATCCCATTCTATCCTGAATTGATTGACTGGATCGAAAAAGAAAGACAAAATGCCATTTATGAATCTACTGGGTGCATATTTATATAATGTTAAGTTCCTGGGTCATCAGGAGGATCTTGGTGCTGTAAATGGTTTGGAAGGGAAAGCGATAGCTTCCATTTTGGGGTCAGGTGCTGGCAAAACCCCTAGAGAATGTATCTAGCAGGCGGTTTGAATTTCTGGAGTGCAGTTTAGGTGAGAGATCAGGAAAATTTGTAAAGTTTAATTGTGTTTCCAGACTAGGTTAGTGCCATGTGCTTCAAGAACAAAAGAATTATCAGCAAACATCTAAAATCTTTATGTTCTATAGATTATTATAGAGGAAGAAGATGGCAACAGCCGTGTGTGTGAGGAGTTTTGAGTGAAATGTCAAATCCATTACTTGTGCCAGGGAGCGTGTGAACGCGGAGAACAAGTCCAGAATTAGTCGCACAGGGTCACCCTCCCTCTTTTGAACCTGCCCAAGCCCTCCTGCTCCCTCAGGCCGTGTCTGAATGGCGGTCTCTCCGGGGAGTTTCTCTGGCCCTCCAGACTTGTCTGTCGTGTGCTGTCGTGTACCCAAGACAGACTGACCTGGTCATGACATACTTTGTTGTCTTGTGTCTAGTTTTCTGCCTAATTTCTGCCTCCTCTGTCAGACCATGAGCCCTGGGAGAGCGGTCACTGGCCTGTTTGCCCACTGGTGTGTTTTTTTGTGCTTGCTACAGAGCTTGACACACAGGAGACACTCAATAAATATTTATCTGAAGAATGACTACTTACTTTGCCAAAGGACAGTGATGCAGTTCTCCTCACATGCACATCCCAGTGAGAGCTACAAACAGAAAGATCAGCTCACACAGTTGGGTGCAGAGTGCTGGAGCCTGTCCTGGAGGCATGTGCAGGTGTTTGCAGGCATGGCGGGAGGGCTTCCAGCCTAAGAACAAGGGCTGGGATGGTTGCATATCTGAGTAGATACCCTGGACCTGGGTATTAAAAAGCTCTAGAAAATCCAGCCAGGCAGAGAAGGTAGGGGAAGACATTTCCAGTAGTAGGCACACGATGGGGCAGAGTTCTGGACTTAAGAAAGCATTCGGCATATTCAGGGACCCCCCATGCTAGGAGTCTATTGGAGGTGTCACCAGATGTCAACTTCTGAAAGGACGTGTGCTTCTTTCCTCCCTCCCCTGTGCGCTCGCATGGCACGGGGTCCTTTTTCCCACTCCTGGGCTCCTGTCTGGGGAGGCTTCTTTTCAAACCAAGGTGGGTCTAAAGTAGTGTCGTCAGGATGGCACCTCCGAGTGCCATTGGAGGAGAAGTAGAAGGAAGGTGGACAGGTTGGCTCAGCGCAGAAGAGGCCCAGGCCAGTGCCAGCACTGCTGCGTGGAGAAGAGGCAGCAACTGCGTTCTGAGCTGCCAGAGGACTGAGGCACGGTGAATGGGTGTGAGGGCCAGGGTTCACCTCTTGACTCTGGGACATCCTAGCTTTGTACCCTTAGGAAAGCTGCTTGATCTCTCTGAACTCTAGTTTGCTCATTCATATGATGTGGATAATGCTGGCATATGGAGATTTTGGGAGGAGCTAAGGGTATGCTGTAAGCTAACTACTCTGCACTATGGCGGAGACTCATGCCTCCTCTGGCCTTAGCATATGAACTTCAGACAGTGCCTGGCACAGAGGGAGAGCTCAGACACCTGAACACTTACTGGGACTGTTCTGTAATGGAAGTAGCAGGAAGTAGTAGACATGGAAGGCTACGAGCCCCCATCATTGGTGGTGGTGTTCTTGCCAAACCTGAATAATTATAAGAGCAAACACTTAACTGAGACTCACTGGGCACCGTGCCCTGTCCTAAGTACTCTATATGTTTTAAACCCGCTAACCCTCACAGCAGCCCTAGAAAGTAGGTACAGGTATTTCTCCCTGCTTTACTTGTAAAAGAAGGGGAAGCTGAGACCCCAGAAAAGTAACACAGCCAATGGCAAGCTAGGAAGGTGGGGATCTGGGGTTTGAACCCAGGCCTGTAGTTTCAGTTGTGTTTAACCACAGCTTCTGCAGCTGCCCACAGATGTGTCGGCACCTACAGAAGAGCACAGTGGAAAGGAACTCCAGCGTCTTGTGGGAGGGTAGATTCTCAGAATACACATAGAATGGCAACCAAGCGGAAGCAGGTGGGCCTGCCCGGGGGTCCTGCGTGGAGGAGGTCACATCGAGTAGGCAGAGAACTGGCATGGCTTGAGAGAGCAGGTGGGAAGGAAGAAAGTCAGTTACCTTCCTTACTAATGAGCCAAGATGTCGTCAGAACCCTTCTGAAGGAGTGGGAAGAAAGCTGCGACCCAATTGATGATGTGATTTTGTGTCAGACTCTCCTTTTCCTTCTGCTTTCTCACCTGTAAGATGGCTTTGAAGTTCTTTTCCCATTTGGAGACAGATCTTTGTTCTTTCTCTGACTGAGTGACTTACCGTCTAAAGGATAAATCATATATGTGAGTATCCACACATTCCCCTGAGCAGCCAAGGGCCAAATGTTGTGTGTTGAAGCGGGTTTCCAGACAGAGAATTCAGTAGCCTGTTGTCATCATGAAATACCAAAGCGACCAGTGTTTTGTACCCTTTGCCCCCAAAGCTTGACTGAAGTGTTTAGATTTTTATCCTGTAATTAGAGTGGCTATAATTGGATATGATTCACTTTCTTTGACTTTAGGTGATTCTTGTTGACCCATTCCATCTCCCACTTTGAGTTTTGGATAATACTTTCCTCCAATTCTCCATTTCCCTTTCACTAAATTCCTATAAGAATCTCATCCAACAGCCACAGCTTCTTCTGTTTTGGGGACGGAGTCTCGCTTTGTTGCCCAGGCTGGAGTGTAGTGGCGCGACCTTGACTCACTGCAACCTCCACCTCCCTGGGTCAAGTGACTCTCATGCCTTGGGCTCCTGAATAGCCAGGACTACAGGTGTGCGCCACCATGCCCAGCTAATTTTTGTATTTTTAGTAGAGACAGGGTTTCACCCTGTTGCCCAGGCTGGCCTCGAACGCCTGGCCTCAGGTGATCTGCCCGCCTTGGCCTCCCAAAGTGCTGGGATTACAGGTGTGAGTCACTGCGCCCGGTCCACAGCTTCTCGAAATCATCTGAATGTAGGGATTCATTCCTCAGACTGTCGTTAAAGTTGACTTTCCAGGAACCAGCCTGCTCAACGATTCCATCATCCTTTTCCCAGCCATCTGTCTTTTCCCAGATCATTCTAAAATACTGTGATAGTATCAGTTTGCAAAGCATCTGAACACCATCCAAGGTGGTGGACTGGGTGATGCTGAAGGGCAGCTAATATTTATCAAACATGTATAATATGCCAAGTCTTCCACTGACAGCTGAATGACCTGTTACATATGCTAACCTCCTTCCATGATTTCACTGGTTGTTGGGAGGATTAAGTGAGGTAACACGTGGAGTGTCTGGCACATTTGAGGTGTTCTGTGAATGACTAAGTAAATAAATGAATGTGATGTGGTTTCTAAACACTTTTCAAGGACGCTGTCCCCTGGATCTGTCTCTCTGTGTTAGTATCCTTCTTTAAGGAAACATGGAGACATAAACGCCGTCTGTCAGACGTGCTCCAGAGGGAGCTTGGCCAGTTCTGCAGGACCGTGCCATGGTCGAGCACACCTCCGGCCAGGAATATGTCTGCTTATTTTGCAGCTCAGTTTGTCCTCGTGTTCTGGAGTTAGCACACCACGTATCTTTTTTCTTTCATGGGGATTTTGGTCAAGCTCTCCGTCTTCCCCTGAGCTCCTGTGAGGTTCACTTCTGGGTCTTCCGACCAGGACTTTACATTTGAACTTCACCATGAAATGTCTTCATGCAGGAAGTGAATGTGACTTTGGAATCATTTGGATCTAGGATTCTAGACTGATTCCATAGTTGGTGACCATGGATAAGTTACTTCATCTCTCTAAAACCGTCTCCTTATTCAGACCGAAGACGTTCAGCATAAAAAACTGGTTCCCAGAAAGGGGATAGTGGGAAAACAGCAAGTCGCTCCTGCCTCCTAGGCTGGAGGGGCACCAGGAGGAGGACCTTTGCAGAGCCTGGAAGCTGGGCCCTTCCTGGGAGGAGGAGGGCCCCGTGCTCATGGCTTCCTGTCCCCTGTGTTGGTCAGGAGGGTTTCTTGTTCTACCATGTGGGGACAGCCAGAGACCTAGCATGTGCACAGGGCATGTGCACCTGACAGCAGTTCATTGGTCACAGACACTCACAGCTGGGGAAGGAGGATACCATGCCACGTAGGGCCATGTGGGCTGCACTCAGGAACAGAGAGAGCAGCTGCCCAGGGGCTGGGGGAGGCGGGCTTTGGGGTATGGAGAGGGAGGGCTGCCCCCGGCTCCCCAGGGAGGATGTGACTGGCTTATTTCAGTCCCTTCCAGGCTGGCAGGGAACTGACACCCACTGCCCAGGATACACAGGGCTGCACCTGCTTTCCGCACCTGGAAACCTGCCTGGCTGAGGGACCCTGTATCTGCAGGAGCAGAGTCAGGAGGGGACTTGTGGTGAGGCCGTTTGGGGCCCTCCCAGTTTTGCCGGATGTCAAGGCAGCATATCATACTGTGCCTGGGTTTTAGGAACTGGAGCCGTGGAGAGACGCAGCTACTTCAGCGGGCACCAGCAGTGGCCTCCCCATGTCCCCTTCCTGTCCCCCTTCCTCCCGTGTTGCCTGAGGTTCTTACAGTGCTGTGGTCTTCTTGGTGCTTTTACAGATAGTACTTTATTGAATCTGTAAAATAACCCTGTGGTGCAGTAATTGTTATCCCCATTTTACACACGAAGAAACCTTGACTCCAAGGGATCATTATTCTCCATGGCACTCGAGTTAGTCAGTGTCAAAAAGGCACCAAAGTCAAGGCCATGTGACTCTAACATTCAAGACTTTTTATTAAAGACCATGGTGTATTTGCCAGAAAGCAAGGGAAACACCTCTCCCCGGAGGCCCTTCCCAAGGTGCCGTCCTTAATTCTTTGATTTGATGTTTTTTTTTTCTTTTGAGATGGAGTCTTGCTCTGTTGCCCAGGCTGGAGTGCAGTGGCATGATCTTGGCTCATTGCAACCTCTGCCTGCCGGGTTCAAGCGATTCTCCTGCCTCAGCCTCCCGAGTAGCTGGGATTACAGAGGCGCGCTGCCACACTGGCTAAATTTTGTATTTTTTTGTAGAGATGGGGTTTCACCATGTTGTCCAGGCTGGACTGGAACTCCTGATCTCAAGTGATTCACCCTGCCTCAGCCTTTCAAAGTGCTGGGATTATAAGTGTGAGCCACAGCGTCCTGCTTGGGTTTTGATTTTTTATTCTCTTTTTGTGAAGAGGTGTCTCATATTAAATATACACTTTCCCTACTACACTTGGATCTGTTTCTCTTTAAGGTGATATAATACAGAAAATATTCATTGTGGAGAAATTTAGTTTAACTCTGATTTAGTTTATAAGAGCAAAACGGCATTTATTTGGTCAATGAGAAGGAGTTGCTCACTAAGGCGTCAAGATGGCTTGGCTTGAGCTCGGTGCCTCTAGAGATGAGCAGTTCTTCCTCCTCCCTGTGCCTCCTTCATAAACAGGGGTGATTGCCTTGCAACACTTCTTGGTTCTGGAATGTTCTTGTCACTTTGATCTTACACATTTTAAAAGCTCTTCTTTTTCCTTGGCTTTTGAGAATGCATCAGAATTTTCTAGGGGATTGGTAAGTCCCATACTGCCTCAGTTACAGCATCCTCATCACTGTCATTGTTATTATTACAGAAAAATTGTATGGCGACTTCTTGAGCTGGAAGCTAGAGGAAACCCTTGCCCAGTTCCCTTTGCAGCCTGGGAAGGTGGCCACGTTCACAATCAACATCAAAGTGAAGCTGGATTTCTCCTGCCAGGAGAATCTCCTGCAGGATCTCAGTGATGGTAAGCGCTTTCCTAATTTTAATTAGCACGTCAGGGTCCTAGATACTGTGTAGCAACCCCCATCCCTTGATGCCTGCTGTTTGCTGTTTGTAACTCACTTGTCATTCATTAACTCAAGCTGCCTGAGACATCTCCTGGGCACTTTGTTAACAGAGTGTGTTACTGTATGTGTCTGAAAGTAATAAAAGTACTTTTTATCTAAATGATTTAATTCTCACTCTTTATTATTTTGTACTCATTTACCAGCAGGTCATTCTAAATTAGTGGAATGTAGGAATTACTGCGTTTTTTCAAGTATAACTGCTGTGATTCTTTAGACATCTAATTAGCTGTGATGATAAAGTTTTCCTTCAAAGTCTGATGATATCTATAAGGAGGTGGAGTGTGGAAGAAATGGAAATTTATATTTGTTGTAACATTAGGACTGATTAGAGATAAGATTTCATAGATTGGCTGGGTGTGATGGCTCACACCTATAATCTCAGCACTCTGGGAGGCCAGGGCGGGCGGATCACCTGAGGCCAGGACTTTCAGACCAGCCTGGACAACATGGTGAAATCCTGTCTCTATTAACAATACAAAAATTCGTCGGGCATGGTGGCGCATGCCTGTAATCCCAGCTACTCAGGAGGCTGAGGGCAGGAGAATCGCTTGAACCTGGGAGGCGGAGGTTGCAGTGAGTCGAGATCACGCCACTGCACTCCAGCCTGGGCAACACAGTGAGACTCCATCTCAAAAAAAAAAAAAAGATTTCATAAATTAATTATGCCAAATTATGAAGCATTCATTTGGAGGCAGTGTGGAGTCTTTCAGTCAACTCAGGCTCCCCTAACAAAATACCACAGACAGAACAGCTTAAACAACCAAGATTTATTTCCTCATAGCTCTGGAGACTGGGAGTCTGAGATCAGACTGTCAGCCGTGGTGATTTTCTGGTGAGGGAGGGCCCTCTTCCTGGCTTGCAGATGGCCACCTTCGTGCTGCGTCTCCACGTGGAGGAGAGAGGGAGCTCTGGTGTCCACCCCTTCTTACAAGGGCACTCATCTCATAGAGGGGGCTCCATCTCCATTGCTTCATCTAACCCTAATTACCTCCCAAAGGCCCCACCTCCTAAAGCTGTCCCACTGGGGGATAGGCCTTCAGTAGATGCAGCTGGGGAAGGGGGACGCAGCTCAGTCCCTAACAGACGCCCTCCATAGAGTTTGCTGTCTGCACCCTCTGCAGTTCAAATAGTCAGCATGAGCTTCTTGTATAGTGCTGGTATTTGGTAAAATATTCTTTTTATATTATTAACAAATGTAGAAAAACAGATTTAGGGTTGGATACATTAGAAAATGAAAAAAGTTGAGAGGATTTCAAATTATACCAAGACTTAAAAATGTCTGATGACACGGATTTTTTTGGTTGGTGTGTAAACGGCTTTATCCCGCTGAACTGCATTTTTTCTTTTTAATCAGTAGACAGAGGGTTACATAGGTTCTGACTTCTTCTTCCCAAGAAGGGGGTTTGGCAGAATAAATGGTGCCCAGCACCTGCCCCTGGAACACTTGGGACTGGATATTACCCCAGGGCTATGTCTTGGCACGTGGACTCCAGGCTAGCAGTGAGGGAATGGTGACCGTGGTTTCTCCCATGGCCTGCCAGGGTCGTCTTATTCCTGAGGAACAGTGTGGAAGGCTTCCATGTGGAAGGCTTGGCTTTTTGTGCTTGGTTGTTTGAATTTGCATGTTCAGTGCAGACCTATTTTGTCCTGTTATGACTGTGCTTCTGCCTTTTGTTATAGAGGGGACTAGGGCAGTCTCTCTGCCCTTCTAAGGTCAGAGAGAAAAATTGAGCAAAATTGCAATTTGGGACTTGTAGCCTGGGAATACCTTCTTCTATCTTTTAAAACAAAACCAAATCAGGCCTTGAATTATGGTCACCAGGTGGTTTGTAAATGTGAGGCTGGCCTGATTGCTGGTCATGGCACGTAGTGGTTACTCATGAGATGCCCCCTTTATTAATAACAGTTAATAGAAGCTCTGGCTGGTTGTTTACATAGTATGTGGCAGAAAGAGACAGCAAATCTCTAAGGTAAGTTTTACCTTAGAAAAACCAGGAAACCAGGTCAAGTTTTATGGAGGAAAAGGTAGGCACGAAGAACCACCCAGAGCTTGGTCCATGGAGGCTGCCTTGTTACGTGCAGTTCAGTCTGAGGAAGCACGAGACAATCACGGCGCCCTTATGTGAAGTGGCTGTGAACTCAGTGGCAGAGGCTCATTTGTGGCCTCTGGGAACTGGGAGACGACCCCCTGTAGCTCACAGTCTAACATTCTCAGAGACATCTAATGGGGGACCACGTGTGGATCCAATTTGATTCTCAGGCATGGACTCGCATTAATTATGGTTACTGAAGTTAAATGACGCTTAAAAAATTCACAGCAACCTGGATAGCTGTTGCACAAACCGGGATCCTGGATTCAGTGTCGGCCATAGATAGCTGGAAGATAATTAATGTTTACTGAGCATTGTCACATGTTGTGTATAAAGACTGGGCTAGCCACTTTTTTTCTGGCATTATTTCTATTTAATCTTTGTAAAAACTCTATAAAGTAAATGTTGTAATTCCCATTTTATAAACGCAAGTGGGAAGAATGTTCTAGATTAAAGGAGATTGAAGAGCTGTAACAATCAAATGCCGTGCATGATCCTTAATTGTATCCTGGATTTAAAAAAGAAGACTTTGTTTTGGGACAATTGAAGAAATTGAATACTATAATATTATTGTATCAATGACAAATATATCGAGTATGATAATGAAATTGAAATTGTAGCAGAAAATTCTTGTTCTTAGGAAATAAATGCAGAAGCATTTAAGAGTGAAAGATCAGGCCAGGCACGGTGGCTCACGCCTGTAATCCCAGCACTTTGGGAGGCCGAGGTGGGCGGATCACGAGGTCAGGAGATTGAGACCATCCTGGCTAACATGGTGAAACCCCGTCTCTACTAAAAATACAAAAACAAAAATTAGCCGGGCGTGGTGGCGGGTGCCTGTAGTCCCAGCTACTTGGGAGGCTGAGGTGGGAGAATGGCGTGAACCCGGGAGGCGGAGCTTGCAGTGAGCCGAGATCGCGCCACTGCCCTCCAGCCTGGGTGACAGAGCGAGACTCCATCTCAAAAAAAAAAAAAAAAAAAAAAAAGAGTGAAAGATGATTTGCCTGCACTTACTTTAATAGGGTGAAGGAAAAAAAATACAGTGTGAATGTGAATCTAGAGAGAAATAAAGTAAAAATGTCAAATTATTAAAAAGAAGTGTCTTTAACTATTTACAATACCAAATATGTGGAATCGACCTAAGTGGCCATCAGTAGTGAATTGGATAAAGAAAATGTGGTACATATACACCCTGGAAGACTATGCAGCCATAGAACAGAATGAAATCATGGCCTTTGCAGCAACGTGGATGCATCTGGAAGCCATTATCCTAAACCAATGAATGCAGGAATAGAAAAGCAAATACAGCATATTCTCACATATAAGTGGGAGGTATGCATTGAGTCCTCACAGACATAAAGGTGGCAGCAACAGACACGGGGGCTACTCGAGAAGGCAGGGAGTGAGGGGTCAGGGAGGGAAAAACCAGTTGTTGGGCAGCACGCTCACTGTCCGGATGACAGAATCACTCATTTCCCAAACCTCAGCATCACACAGTATACTCATGTAACAAACCTGAACACGTACCCGCTAAATCTAAAATAAAAGTTGAAATTACAAAAAAAAGTTGGCTTTAGATAAAGAGATATAGATCTTCATTTCTTGTGACTTTTCTGTAGGCTCGATATTTTTCAAAATAGTAACAAGAAAAAGATTTTGTAGAGCACTGTTTGGATGTATTATTTTGATTTCTAAGTGAATTTTAGAAATTGTTTCTAAATGAAACATCAGAAAGCAAATTATTTACCTTATCTTCAAATTCTTGGCAGATATCTATCTTCTTCATATAACTAGCCTAGGGTAAGAGAAGTCAACTTTTCACCCACAAAATAGTATATTCTTTTCCTATGATCCTTATAATACTTGAAATCTCTGATTTCTTGGAATTTTATGTTTAAAATTAGAAGTCCTGGAAGATGGTGGCAAACTGTCTTAGGTTTTGAATATATGAACTATTCAGTCAAACAGACTGAACAACTAGAATAGAAAAACCAAATACCCATAGGCAAAAATATATAGCAAAACCAGTTACCAGAGTATCCCCACGGACCCCAAAATATAAGTAGATGTGGACAAACCACTAATAACAACACGGTTTCACCGTCTGCACAAGAGGAAGCCGGAAACACACACACCCAGGAATCCCCACACAGCCAGCAGGTACTCATTGGGCAGCTCAGTGGGCCAAGTTGAGAACAGCAGCTGAAATGTGGAGGAGTTTGTATGTTCCAGTAGCAGATGAGTGCAAATAATTCCTCTAGAACAAAGCCTCACCTGTGGAGAAGCTGCTGGGAACAGAGGTGGGATAGCAGAAGCAAGGAAAGAGAAGATCTGGCTGAAACTAGGGGAGGAGAACAGAGTTAAGTGGTCTAGAAAGTAATTTCTTATATTCTTGAGTACCACCCCCAAACACAGAATACAGTGTGTAGATTTACTAGAATTAGAAGAGCTATCCTGAATCATTTCTCCTAAACATTCATGAAAACTAGTTTCATGTAAAGATGGTCAACAGAAAAGGATCATGGCCAAACTCTATGCAGAGTGATTCTAGTGAAAACATAAGCAGCGAGATAACATAGAAGAACGTGCTCAGAAGCTGATAAAAATTACAAAAACCCATAATGAGCTAAAAGACATGAAGAAGAAGTACAAAAGAATAACATAAATCTGAATGAGAAAAACTCAGAGATGAGATGGATATAACTCAGGAAAGAATTTGTAATAGAATAAATTTTTTTTTCCAGCATTGTAGTTTCTAGTGAGTTATATATACCTGCCAGATACATTAAGGGAAGCAGAAGATGAAAAGAGAGAAGAAAAAAGAATCGAGAGAAAGATGATTAAAGAGAAAGTGACACACTTAGAAGCTAGGCAAAGAAGATCTAACGTACATGCATGCATGCATACATATATACATACATATATCTGCTATGAGACACCAGAGAAGGAAACGGAAACAATGGAACCACAACATGTTAAAAACTATAATTCACAGAAAACTTTCTGTAATTAAAAAAAAAAACCCTTGAAACTGTTGCATGAATGGGTACACTGTATACATGAGAATCTTGACTTAGAATGAGCGGGACATATTCTAGTTATATTACTGGACTTAAAGTCTTTTGGGCTTTTAGACCCAGATAGCAAGTGATTTATGAAATAAAGAAAATCAGATTATCATTGGACTTTTTGACAGCAGCAGTATTCCAGAAGCCAATAGAATAGCATGTATCTAGACTATGTCTAGCTACTCATGTAATGAAAATTTAAGCCAGAGATTTGTAGGCACAGCCACACTAACTTTTAGGTATACAGGGCTTAGACAAATTGTTGTCAACACGCAAGACTGGAAGAATTAAATTCTCATGATTTCTTGAGGATTCTACTAGGGAAGCACAGCCAAAGTAACTAGAGAGACGTTGTCATAAGGACTTGTGGTGAACATTAAACATATCGTTGCTTGTATAGCTAAGACCAAATGAGCATTCAAAGGGAGAAGATAGTATGTCATGGTAATCTGCTCTTACAGTATCCATCACAATAATTTAAAACATGGGGGGAGCATGGGAAGTCATATGCAAAAGTAATTTTTTTTTTTTGAGACAAAGTCTGGCTCTATCGCCCGGGCTAGAGTGCAGTGGCACGATCTCAGCTCACTGCCACCTCCTCTTCCCGGGTTCAAGTGATTCTCCTGCCTCAGCCTCCCAAGTAGCTGGGACTACATGCGTATGCCACCACACCTGGGTAATTTTTGTATTTTTAGGAGAGACGGGGTTTCACCACGTTGGCCAGGCTGGTCTCAAACTCCTGACCTCAGGTGATCCGCCCGCCTCGGCCTCCCAAAGTGCTGGGCGATTACAAGTGTGAGCCACCATGCCCGGCCCCAAAAGTAATTTTTAAACTGTTCTCTGTAATTGTTTTGGTAGAGATAGTGTTAGTACTCATATTCTGAAACTAGGTATCAGTGTAGGGTAAAGTAAATGATTAATTCTGTGATAATCTCATTCTATCATCTGAATCTAGTTTTGAACTAGGGTTCTCATATGGAAGACAGGAAGTAACTGATGTCAGATATGAAGTTAAGTAAAAACCTTGTAGTTTAGAATTTGAATAAAAAATAGCAAGAAATCATGAACTATTTGAAAAGCTATCAATCTCCTAGCCTTGTACAGTGTCCGAGTCTAGAAACGGACCAGTCCAGCAGCAGTGAGCATTCCTAATGCCCACCTCCTGGTCTTGAAACACACTTTCTCACTCAGAGAAAAATAACCAGTTCTAGATGTGGAGCAGGAAACAGAGCAGGAAGGTGATCTTGGACCATCTTGTCAAACTTGCAGCAAAGGAGTGATTAGAGAGCATTGAGGTTGTGTTGAAGGGCTCCGCCTGAAGAAGTGACCACTGGCAATTTGAGCATCAGTAAAGATGCGAACTGTGTTTCAGTCCATGAGTTCTCAATGCTACTTGAGAGAATTGTTCGCCCTTGGAAAATGATGGGGAAGTGATTTATCATTTTGAAAATGGTAAGCAATGAGTATTTATTCTGCCTTTTCATGTAGACTGCGCGATTGGACGATCTAATACCAGTTGATGAGGGGAGTCTCTCTTTATAGAAGTATTTGGGCTAACAATGGAGATAAGGAGGATAGAATTCGGATATCATCATTTTGCCATCCCTAATAGATTAATGAGTCGAGACAGTAAGCATCCACATAACAAAATAAGAGACAACCACACATTATGTTCCTCCTGCTGGGAGAACACAGCACCTTCTGTGAATTAGCAGTGTCCCAGAATCACACCTGAGGCTGATCAGCGCTCTGGCTCTAACTGCTAATTTACAGGACTTCAGAAGGCAGAAAAACTTGTTAAACTACACCACGGGGACACAGTTGGCAGTCCAGACTCCAGGAAACCCTGCAGTCCATGAATTGGTTCTCTCAACAAGTAAATTATCAGGGGGAAAAAGGCATGAAGTTCTGGAGATAGATGATGGTGATGATTGTACAACAGTGTGAATGTGCTTAATGCTGCTGACCCCGTACATTTAAAAATGGTTAAAGTGGTAAACTTTAAATTATGTGTATTTTACAGACACACACACACACACACACACACACACCACAAAACAAAGAGATGAAAAGGCTATCTGTAGTTTAAGAGAGAGTTAAATGACGCATTTAAAAACAGGCACAG